>NC_000006.12:31272121-31575151 GCF_000001405.40 Homo sapiens
AACCGGGACTGCGGAGACGCTGATTGGCTTCTCTAGAACCCGACACCCAATGGGAGTGGGAATTGGGGACGCGTCATGAGTATTCAGGAAGAAGGACCCGACGCAGGTTGGGAGAAGTGAAACTCAGGGGAGTGGAGAATCCCCAACGCGGCGCCTCCCCAATGCAGACACGGCCCTTGGAGCCTGAGACCCTGAGAGCCCCGCCCGGGACCTGGGACTTCGTCCTGATCCCTCTTCTCCTACACCAAGCATCTTTGTCACACTGTGTGCCTGAGTCCTGGACAAGGATCTGTCTGTGGAAACCAGGGAGAGACCCCAAGGCTGCGCCCAGCCCCTTCCCCTTCACTTCTCCTCCTGGAATCCCCGTCCCTGAACTGGACTCCCTGCCTCCCACCCTTTGCCTTACCTTACCTCACCTCAGGTAATATTAAACTACATCCAGCAAAATAAAGGAAACTTACCTCTCCCCTTGGACTCTTGTACAGGGAAACTCACCATGGGGAACTTGATGCCAGACAGTGAGCTCGCCCTGGGAATGGACGTGTAGAGTCAGGAGTTTTCTCTTTAAACCTGGTGAAGTTTTGTCTGAAAGCACCAGGTAGAGATTCTCATAGAGACCAGTTTCCTTTTTGTTTATTGATACAGTAGGTAGCACAATATTGGTAATCCCTGAATGATTAGAATTCCAATCTGTGAAAGACCTGTGTCAAAACTGCATTACAATTAAATTCTCAAAGCTCCTGTTTTACTTTCGCAGACTATGGTTCTGTGACTCTGGGTTGTTGCATTTAAAGTTATCCTCATTCTCTAGCCAGAGTTTCCCTGTGTGAGTCCAGAACATCTCCTGAATACAAAGAAGCAGGGTTTGTTACTGTCTATTGCAACCGGGAGCCTGTAGTCATCACCTCAAAGTTGCGAGGGCTCCATGCAGTCCCAATGCTCTTCACCAGCGCTCCAGCACTGCCCGTTTTCGTGAACTATGCACATCTAAGCAGTGTGCATATTTTATTTGGACACTTGATATTTTTGTAACCCCTTTTTAAAAAAAAATCATAAGGAGCCCATTAGTTTTAAGGCAGTCACACAAAATGTATTAAATACCGAATGCAAAGAACCCCCTGCCAGGCTCTTCTACTGCTTTAGAATTCTTTCCTCTGCTCCTTTTCCTCACCTCCTGCTTCTCCAGCCCTTCTCTCTGCCCCTCTCATCCCTCACACCCTCTTTCCCCTTTAGTCCCCGCCACCCTGTCACTCCTGAATTGTGGCACTAACACTGTCCCTCACCTCCTGCCCATGTCTGTTCTCCCCACAGTGCTCAGCAGTCCTGCTAATGTGACTCAGGTCGTGTCATTTCTTCACTTATAATGGTTGGGTTTTGGTCTACCATTTTGCTATACGTTTTCAATTTGTCTCATATCTTTTTGTTTCTGTTCCTCCTTTGCTACTTTCTTATGTGTCAAGTAAACATTTTTCAGCTTATGGTTTTAATTCTCCTAGTGGCTTTTAGCTATATTTCTTTACATTAATTTTTTATTGTTGTAAGAATTGAAACCCAATTCCTTGACTTTTCACAGTGAAATTCAGGTAATATTAAGCTGCATCCAGCAAAATAAAGGACACTTCAAATGGTGTAGTTTCACTTAAACTATCATTATGCTATTATTATTGTATATGTTACATCAATATACGTTATAAACTCAACGATACAGTGTAATACTTTTTGTTTTAGACAAGCAGTCACATATCTTCAGGAAATTAAGAAAATGGGTGTGTATGTGATATGTGTATGTGCATCATTTCTGTTGTTAATTGTTCCTTTCTGTATATCTGGGTCACCATCTAGTATCATTTCCCTTCAGCCTGAAGAACGTCCTTTAAAATTACATGTAGTACAGGACCCCTAGGAAATGAATTTTATGGGTTTGATGATCTAACAATGCTTTTATTTTTGCCTTCTTTCCTCCCCCCCCGCCTTTTTTTTTTTTTTTTTTTTTTTTTTTTTTTTTTTTTTTGCTTATTAGGGCGTTTACGTGTAAAAAAATTCACCAGTTTTAGCTGCACTTTTTGGTGGATATTGGTAATTATTTATAGTGTAACTACCACACTGCCCAGTAGAGAAACACCAAATGCAAAGATCCTCCTACTAGGCCCCTCCACTGCTTTAGAGTCCTTTCCCCTGCTCCTTGTCCTCACCTCCTGCTTCCCCAGCCCTTCTCTCTGCCCCTTATCCCTCAGACCTTCTTCTCCCCTTACCTCCCCCTCCCAGTCACTCCTGAGTTGTGGCGCTGTAGAGAACAGTTTCTTTTCCCTAAAAACTTTCTTTATCCCCCTTTCTATTTAATCCTTGCCTCCCACCCTCACCCCCTTCCCTTCACTCAACCACTGCTGTGCTTTCTGTCACTGCAATAGTGACATTTCTAGAATTTCATGGACATGCAATCATATGTTATGTAGTCTTTTGTTTGGTCTCTCCCTTAGCATAACGATGTTTGAGATGATGCCATTCATTCATTTTTGTTGCTGAGCAGCTGCCGAGTATTGCTGGAATCCCAGTTTATTCATTGGTTTCTGTGTCTCCAGTTGATAGACATGTGGATTCCTCCAGTTAGGGCTTGTTATTAATGAAGCCACTATAAATAACTGCTTACAAGTGTGGACTTACGTTTTTATTTCTTTTGGATAAATACGTATTTGTGGAATTGCTGGGCCATGTGGTAATAGATGGGTAACTGTATAAGAAATTGCCATACCACTTTACAAATTGGCTGCCACATTTCTTGCATTCCTACCAGCAATAGCAGACATTCCTATTTTTTCCATATTCTTGCCAGTGTTAAGACTTATCATATGTCTTTTTAACTTTACCTGCTCTAGGTGATGTGTGATGGTTTCTCATTGTGGTTTTAACTTGCACTTCTTAGATGACTAGTATTGTTTGCTATCTTTTCATGTTCATCTAAGTGACTTATTACATATATTTTACGAACTATTTTGCAAATTCAATGATTAATTCCAGAGACTTTTTCAGAATTCCCTAGTGTTTTCTACATATACAATGAAGCTGGTGACAAAGAAAGACTTTCATTTCTTCCTTTCTTATCCATTGATCTGTTTTCTTTTAAAATTATTATTATTTGGTAGAGATGAGGTCTCACTTATCAGGCTGGTCTCAAACTCCTGATCTCAAGTGATCCTCCCACCTCAGCCTCCCAAAATGCAGGGATTACAGGCATGAGCCACCATGCCTGGTCCTTGTTGCACTGGTTAGGATGGCTGTTAGGTGTTTAAACAAGAATGATAAGAGCTCACATGTTTGTTTACAAGGAACTTAAACAAATTTACAAGAAAAAAACCCATCCCCATCAAAAAGTGGGCAAAGGATATAAACAGACACTTCTCAGAGGAAGACATTTACGTGGCCAAGAAACATATGAAAAAAAGCTCACACACGTATATGAAACGTGACTGTTTATAATCCTATCCAAAAAAGACCTGATTTCAAGCAACAGCAGGATTGCTTCCGTTCAATACTTGGACCTGCAAACATCAAAAAAGCCACTGGAGAAACTGAACGACTCTCTGAAAGCCTTAAACTAAGATATGAAGAAGTTGAAATCTGGAAAAAACTTGAGGAAAAGGACAGGCAGGGGGAAGCACAGTGGCTACAACAAAAAAGGCAGGAAACAGGAAGAGAGGATGGCAGCACGTTGGCTAAAGGTTCTTTGGAGATTGTATTGGATTCCAAAGACAAAACCCAAAAGAGCAATGGTGAAAAGAATGAAAAATGTGAGACCAAAGAGAAAGGAGCAATCACAGCAAAGGAACTATACACAATGATGATGGATAAAAACATCAGCTTGATTATAATGGATGCTCAAAGAATGCAGGATTATCAGGATTCCTGTATTTTACATTCTCTCAGTGTTCCTGAAGAAGCCATCAGTCCAGGAGTCACTGCTAGCTGGATTGAAGCACACCTCCCAGATGATTCTATAGACACATGGAAGAAGAGGGGGAATGTGGAGTATATGGTACTTCTTGACTGGTTTAGTTCTGCAAAAGATTTACAGATTAGAACAACTCTCTGGCATCTGAAAGATGCACTTTTCAAGTGGGAAAGTAAGACTGTCCTGTGCAATGGGCCTTGGGCTTTGGTTTTAGAGGGAGGCTGTAAAAACTGGTTCCTTTGCTATTCCCAGTATACAACAAATGCTAAGGTCACTCCACCCCCACAACACCAGAATGAAGAGTTGTCTATCTCATTGGATTTTACTTATCCCTCACTGGAAGAATCAATTCCTTCTAAACCTGCTGCCCAGATGCCACCTCCACATATAGAAGTGGATGAAAATATAGAATTGATCAGTGATCAAATAAGTGATAATGATCAAAATGAGAGGACGGGACCACTGAATATATCAATTCCAGTTGAACCAGTTGCTGCTTCTAAATCTGATGTTTCACCCATCATTCAGCCAGTGCCTAGCATAAAGAATGTTCCACAGATTGATCATACTAAAAAACTGGCAGTCAAATTGCCTGAAGAGCATATAATCAAATCTGAAAGTACAAATCATGAGCAACAGTCTCCTCAGAATGAAAAAGTTATTCCTGATTGTTCCGCCAAGCCAGTAGTTTCCTCTCCAACTCTCATGTTAACAGATGAAGAAAAGGCTCATATTCATGCAGAAACTGCTCTTCTAATGGAGAAAAACAAATAAGAAAAAGAACTTCAGGAAAGACAGCAAGGGAAACAAAAAGAAACTGAGGAGGGAAGAACACGAGCAAAAAGCCAAAAAGAAACAAGAAGCTGAAGAAAATGAAATTACACAGAAGCAACAAAAAGCAAAAGAAGAAATGGAGAAGAAAGAACGTGAACAGGCCAAGAAAGAGGATAAAGAAATCTCAGCAAAGAAGGGCAAAGAAATAACAAGAGTAAAAAGACAAAGTAAAAGTGATCATGAAACCTCTGGTGCCGAGAAGTCTGTAGAGGACAGGGGGAGAAGATGTTCAACCCCAGAAGTACAGAAAAAGTCAACAAGAGATGTGTCCCATACATCTGTGACAGGGGATTCAGGTTCAGGCAAGCCTTTTAAGATTAAAGGACAACCAGAAACTGGAATTCTAAGGACAGAAACTTTTAGAGAGGATACAGATGATACTGAAAGAAATAAAACTCAACGAGAACCTTCGATAATAGCACGAAGTGAAGAAATGGGGAGGATGGTACCAGGACTGCCTTCAGGCTGGGCCAAGTTTCTTGATCCAATCACTGGAACGTTTCATTATTATCATTCACCACTAACACTGTTCATATGTACCCACTGGAAATGGCTCCTTCATCTGCACCTCCTTCCACCCCTCCAACTCATAAAGGCAAGCCACAGATTCCTGCTAAGCAGGATAGGGAACCTTCCAAACTGAAATGCTCTTACTCCTCCCCAGATATAACCCAGGCTATTAAAGAGGAAGAGAAGAGGAAGCCAGCAGTAACTCCAACAGTTAATCAGGAAGACAAGCCAACATGCTACCCTAAAGCTGAGATCTCAAGGCTTTCTGCTTCTCAGATTTGGAAACTCAGTCCTGTTTTCAGAGGTTCTGGACCAGCTCTTACTGGACTTCGTAACTTAGGAAATACTTGTTATATGAACTCAATATTGCAGTGCCTATGTAATGCTCCACATTTGGCTGATTATTTCAACCGAAACTGTTATCAGGATGACATTAACAAGTCAAATTTGTTAGGGGCATAAAGGTGAAGTGGCAGAAGAATTTGGTATAATCATGAAAGCCCCGTGGACAGGACAGTATAGATATATCAGTCCAAAAGACCTTAAAATCACCATTGGGAAGATCAATTACCAGTTTGCAGGATACAGTCAAGATTCACAAGAATTTCTTCTGTTCCTAATGGATGGTCTCCATGAAGATCTAAATAAAACTGATAATCGGAAGACATATAAAGAAGAAAATAATGATCATCTCAATGACTTTAAAGCTGCAGAACATGCCTGGCAGAAACACAAGCGGCTCTATGAGTCTATTATTGTTGCACTTTTTCAGGGTCAATTCAAATCTACAGTACAGTGCCTCACCCGTCACAAAAAGTCTAGGACACTTGAGGCCTTCATGTATTTGTCTCTACTGATAGCATCCACAAGTAAATGTACATTATAGGATTGCCTTAGATTATTTTCTAAAGAAGAAAAACTCATAGATAATAACAGATTTTACTGCAATCTTTGCAGAGCTCGACGGGATTCTTAAAAAAGAAATCTGGAAGTTACCACCTGTGCTTTTAGTGCATCTGAAACATTTTTCCTACAATGGCAGGTGGAAACAAAAATTACAGACATCTGTGGACTTCCCGTTAGAAAATCTTGCCTTGTCACAGTATGTTATTGGTCCAAAGAACAATTTGAAGAAATATAATTTGTTTTCTGTTTCAGATCACTGCGGTGGGCTGGATGGAGGCCATTACACAGCCTACTGTAAAAATGCAGCAAAACAGCGGTGGTTTAAGTTTGATGATCATGAAGTTTCTGATATCTCTGTTTCTTCTGTGAAATCTTCAGCAGCTTATATCCTCTTTTATACTTCTTTGGGACCATGAGTAACTGATGTAGGCACATAAGGAGACATAGGTTATAAACTAGTTATCTTTTAAAAGGCTCAGCAACACAATTCTTGAAATGCTTATCAAGATAATGGTAGCAATAGCTGGCCATTTAGAGGAATTCTAGGACAGTGGGAGCTGTGTTACTAGCACTATATAATTCCTGTCAGTGGTGACAAATAACACTTAGCAAGTATTGCAGTAAGCATCACTTACAGGTACCATTTATTTCAAAACAACTTTTTTAGTCTGCTCCAAAGTTAAAATAATTAACTAGCTAAGCATTATTATTCTACTGGTCTAAAAACCATTGTACCCTTTTTTTCCTTTTCACTGTTACAGCCTTTTCACATTTCTAAATCCCATCTTCATATACTATGAATACTCTAGAATGATGTGAAGCAGATAGGAATGTATGTGTACATATTTATTGCATACTTACACATCAAATCGATATACATAGTTTAACATGTGGTCCTTTCGTGAAACTTAGAACTCAGAGGATTGCATTTTTTTCTTTGAGCATATTTTGAGTAACTGCAGTGCTTTCTTATGGAAATGACAGGGCAAAGCTATTTTTCTGTTGGCTTTGGGGGCATTTGGGTGCACTAAATCTTTATCTTAAAAAATAAATGAAAACTTCCTTTAATTTTTTGAAATGAGACATTAAAATCTTAATGAGAAAAATTAAAAAAGCTCAATATCACTGCTCATTAGAGAAATGTAAATCAAAGCCACAATGAGATACCATCTCCCGCCAGTCAGAATGGTAATTATTAAAAAGTCAAGAAACAATAGATGCTGGTGAGGCTGTGGAGAAATAGGAACACTTTTACACTGTTGTTGGGAATGTAAACTAGTTCAACCATTGTGGAAGACAGTGTGGCCATTCCTCAGAGACCTAGAACCAGAAATACTATTTGACCCCTTGGGTATCTACCCAAAGGAATATAAATCATTCTACTATAAAGACACATGCACACGTATGTTTACTGCAGCACTATTTACAATAGCAAAGACTTGGAACCAACCCAAATGTCCATCAGTGATAGATGGATAAAGAAAATGTGGTGCATACCACCATGGAATAGTACACAGCCAGAAAAAGGAATGAGTTCATGTCCTTTGCAGGGACATGGATGAAGCTGGAAGTCATCATCCTCAGCAAACTAACACGGGAACAGAAAACAAAGCACCTCATGTTCTCATTCCTAAGTGAGAGTTGAACAATGACAACACATGGATACAGGGAGGGGAACAACACATATCAGGGCCTTTTGGGGAGTGTGGGGGGCAAGGGACGGGAACTTAGAGGATGGGTCAATAGGTGCAGCAAACCACCATGGCAGACTATACGTATGTAACAAACCTGCAGGTTCTGCACATGTATCCTGGAACCTAAAGTAAAATAAAACAAAGCAAATTAAAAAAAGAAAGCCCATGTCTTACATGTATGCATATGTTCATTGCAGCACTATTCACAATAGCAAAGACATGGAATCAACCTAAATGTCCATCAATGGTAGACTGGATAAAGAAAATGTGGCAAATATGCTCTACCGGCAGGATTTGATGGCGTGATGTCTCACAGAAAGTTCTCCACTCCCAGACATGGGTCCCTCGGCTTCCTGCCTTGGAAGCGCAGCAGCAGGCATCGTGGGAAGGTGAAGAGCTTCCCTAAGGATGACCCGTCCAAGCCGGTCCACCTCACAGCCTTCCTGGGATACAAGGCTGGCATGACCCACATCGTGCGGGAAGTCGACAGGCCAGGATCCAAGGTGAACAAGAAGGAGGTGGTGGAGGCTGTGACCATTGTGGAGAGGCCACCAGTGGGCATTGTGGGCTGCGTGGAAACCCCTCAAGGCTTCCGGACTTGCAAGACTGTCTTCGCTGAGCACATCAGTGATGAATGCAAGAGACATTTCTATAAGAACTGGCATAAATCTAAGAAGAAGGCCTTTACCAAGTACTGCAAGAAATGGCAGGATGAGGATGGCAAGAAGCAGCTGGAGAAGGACTTCAGCAGCATGAAGAAGTACTGCCAAGTCATCTGCGTCATTGCCCACACCCAGATGCAACTGCTTCCTCTGTGCCAGAAGAAGGCCCACCTGATGGAGATCCAGGTGAATGGAGGCACTGTGGCTGAGAAGCTGGACTGGGCTGGTGAGAGGCTCAAGCACCAGGTACCTGTGAACCAAGTGTTTGGGCAGGATGAGATGATCGACGTCATCAGGGTGACCAAGGGCAAAGGCTACAAAAGGGTCACCAGTCGTTGGCACACCAAGAAGCTGCCCCGCAAGACCCACCAAGGCCTGTGCAAGGTGGCCTGTATTGGGGCATGGCATCCTGCTCGTGTGGGCTTCTCTGTGGTACGTGGTGGGCAGAAAGGCTACCATCACCGCACTGAGATCAACAAGAAGATCTATAGGATTGGCTAGGGCTACCTTATCAAGGATGGCAAGCTGATCAAGAACAATGCCTCCACTGACTATGACCTGTCTGACAAGAGCATCAACCCTTTGGGTGGCTTCGTCCACTATGGTGAAGTGACCAATGACTTTGTCATGCTGAAAGGCTGTGTGGTGGGAACCAAGAAGTGGGTGCTCACCCTCCGCAAGACCTTGCTGGTGCAGACAAAGCAGCGGGCTCTGGAGAAGATTGACCTTAAGTTCATTGACACCCACTCCAAGTTTGGCCATGGCCGCTTCCAGACCATGGAGGAGAAGAAAGCATTCATGGGACCACTCAAGAAAGACCGAATTGCAAAGGAAGAAGGAGCTTAATGCTGGGAACAGATATTGCAACTGGTGGGATCTCAATAAAAGTTATTTTCCATTAAAAAAAAAAGAAAAAGAAAATGTGGCACATATACACCACAGAATACTATGCAGCCATAAAAAAGAATGAGATCATGTCCTTTGCAGGAACATGGATGGAGTTGGAGGCCATTATCCTTAGCAAACTAAGGCAGGAACAGAAAACCAATTACCACATGTTCTCACTTATAAGTAGGAGTTATATGATGAGAACACATGGACACGCAGAAGGGAACAACACACACTGGGGTCCACTTGAGGGTGGAGGGTGGGAGGAGGGAGAGGATCAGGAAAAATAGCTAATGGGTACTAAGGCTTAATACTTGGGTGGGTACTAATGGGTACAGAAATAATCTGTACAATAAAACCGCATGACACAAGTTTACCTATATAACAAACCTGTACATGTACTCCTTAACTAAAAATAAAAGTTAAATTAAAAAAAAAAGAAACAAAGAAACTGCATATCTGGAAAGAGCATATGGTTGGGTTCTGTGTTTTGTTTTTTTTTTTTAACCAATTCACACAATCTCTGCCCTTCATTGGAGTGTTGATTCATATAGGTTTTTTTTTCATTATTGATAAGTTTTAGGTCTACCATGTTATTTCCTCAGTTTTGGTTTCTCTGTTCCTCTTGTCCTGACCAACGACTTCTTATTAGAAACCATAGAAACAAAAGAAAGTAGAATAACACCTTTAAAGTGCTGGAAGAAAAAAAGGACAACTAAGAATTCTATATCCAGCACAGATGTCCTTCAAGGACAGGCAAAATAAGGAGATGTTTCAGGTAAAAGAAAATTAAGAGAATTTGTCACCAGCAGATCTGCACAATAACAATTGGTAAAGAAAATTCTTCAGGCTAAAGGCAAATGATACCAGGTGGGAAATGAGGTTATCAGAAAAGATGAAGATGATCAAAAATGGTAAATACTGAGCTAAGTGCAAAAGGCTATCTTGTTCCCCTCATTTACTCTAATTTATATACATAGAACTGTTTAAAGATAAGAAGAAGTTTTTTTCTTGTGGGACTTATAACCTATATAGATATATTACATATAATATCTGTACCATAAAGATGGACATTTTATAGAGGATAAATGGTTGCAAGATTTCTCTATTTATGGGTACTAGTACATTTTTAACTGAAAGTGGACTGTGAAATGTTAAGAAGAGTTAAATTCTGAAGGAAATTGAGACACAAAAACCATTCAAAAGATTAACAAATCTCATGATGGTTTTTTGAAAAAAACAAAACAAAACAAAATAAAAACTAAACAAAAATAAAACCCTAGCCAGTCTTGAGTCTCATCATTCTACGATTTCAGAACTATTGTGAATACAAAAGTAATCAAAGAACAGTCCTGCCCAGAAAGAGGAGTTATCCCTAAATATGGTGTCCCTGGAACAGGTGGCTCTCCCTGCTGGACCTCTTCCACGTGGGTGCTTTCTGCAGTGACTTTGTTGCCTTGCTATTCCACTTTACCCAGTGTCCTCACCCAAGAGACAAGGGGTGTCTGCTGCTGTATCCACACTTGGAGAAAGAAACCTTGATAGTGTCAGTACATTACAAGCTGGGCATGACAGCTCACGCCTGTAATCCCAGCAATTCAGGATGCTAAGGCAAGAGGATTGCTTGAGATCAGGAATTGGAGACCAGCTTGGACAACATAGTGGGACCCTCGTCTCTAAAAAAAATAAAAATCAGTAAACGGCTGGGCCTGGTGGTGGGCGCTTGTATTTCCAGGTATTGTGGAGGCTGAGGTGGGAAGATCCCTTGAGCTCATAAATACAAGGCTGCATTGAGCTACGATCCCACCACTGGGCTCCAGCCCAGGCCAGAGTGAGGTCTTGACTCAAAAAAATACATTGTAAGCCTTTGCTCACTATGGGTTATTTATTATTTATTCAATGTGTATTTTGATTTTATTTTACTGGCAGCACAATAAACCAGGACATGCTGAAACTAGAAATCACATCCACTTTCCAGTGTTAAAAAGCCCAGTCTAGGGAGGTGAGAAGGAGACAGTCCTCATTAGCGTTGAGGATTCAGGGAGATCGAGATGGGCTGGGCAGGAAGGTTCTTACTTGGAACCTGGAGGATGAGCAATGACATTCCTCTCTCCACCTTAAAGCTCATCCTGGGCATCTGCCTCCTGGGAGCAGGAGCACTGCAAGCTCCGCCTCCCGGGTTCACGCCATTCTGGCTCAGCCTCCCGAGTAGCTGGGACAACAGGTGCCCACCACCACGCCCGGCTAATGTTTTGTATTTTTTAGTAGAGACGGGGTTTCACCATGTTAGCCAGGATGGTCTCAATCTCCTGACCTCGTGATCTGCCCACCTCGACCTCCCAAAGTCCTGGGATTACAGGCGTGAGCCACCGCACCCGGCCTCTCCTTGGGATTTCTTTACTGGACACCAGCCTGAGTCAACTTTCCTGTAAAGCAAAAGAAGCGTGAGGTTGCTAAAGGAGGAATGGTGTGATCTCCACCTTTGGCGAGATCCCTGTCACCGTGTTCAGGCGAAGGGCCAGGCCTTACTCCCCATGCAGAGAGGAGGCTATGGCCATGAAGACGCCTGTGGAGAAGTGAGGACCCGCTCCCTCTACACTGATGGCCAAGAGCCTACAGATGGCGGAGAAGGCTTCCCTTCAGCTGTGTCCTATCAGGTTCTTCCAGGAGTCAAGGAGTAGACCTGCATGTTACCTCTGGTGATGTAAGCTGCATGCACACCTAGAAGTGAGGTCACCCCTGCTGGGGGTCCTGGGGCTGCTGGTTGTTCTGGGTGCTCAGTGTCCAGAAAAGAAGATGGGGAGGAGGCTTTGTGCAAAACAGTAACCATACTCTATAAATTATTTTTTCATTAGCCTTTGTGTCATAAAATAAAATATAGGACTCCAAAAGAAAAAAATGTCTAAAATTTGTGTCCTTTAATACAAAGTAAACACCCATTAATCACCAGGGATAGATGTTTGTGGGGCAAACCAGAAGCCCCATCATTTGCTCCAGCCCAGCAATAAACTCTTTCTTCCCTCAAATAAAAACACAACCTGACTTTTACGATCATCAATTCTTTGTTTTATTTTTATTTTTATCATCCAATATTATGATTTAGTTTTACCTTTAGAAATATGCTTTTGTTTTCTTTATTCTATAGATTCTTCCTTGAAATTTATATTGTGTGGTAGAGCTTCCCATAGTGTGCATTTTGCTGATTGCTCCCCAAGGCATAGTTTAATATGTATTTCTATTATCTGTATTGCCTCTAAATTGGTAATTGGCTATGGAGATCAGCTTCTATTCAGGCTTGGTTTCTTTTTCACTTGGACTTGTTTGATGGTGCTGTATTGTGTTCTTCCATCAAGAGGAAGAACCTCACATTAGTTTTTTCTTTTATTGTGTTGTTAATTGCCATTGCTATTCAATGGCTAAATCTGTTAATTCATGATGGGTTGCAAAAGAGTTATTATAGTCTCAGTCTCTCATTCCTTCTTCATTTATTATCTGAATAATTTCTAAGTAAGAGATTCACCCTCCTCTACTGTTTGTTTACTACTAGAAACTTGGTTTTTGAGAGACTAAGCCAATCATCTACTCACCTATGATCCAGCAATAGCACTCTTAGTTCTAAACCAATAGAAATGCATGTATGTGTGTGCCAAACTATATGAAAATATTATTCATAGCAGCACGATTTGTAAAATCTGTATACAACAAAATTGTCTATCAACAGTGAAAGGACAAGAAATGTGAGTTATTTATAAAGTGGAGCATTGGACAGCCATGGGAGTGAATAGGCTACGACCACACACAGCGAGATGATGAGACCCAGGGTCATGATGGTGACTGTATAATGCCATTCAACTAGACCTGGCAGAACTCATCTGTATTAGAAATCAAGAGTGGCTACTCTAGGGTGGGGAGGGTGGTTTATGACTGAGTAGGACCCAAAGATGCCAGCAAAGTAGGCCTCTACATTAAAAAAAAAAAGAGAGAGAAAAATTAAACAGAGAAATTTAAAAGTTTATAAATAATGTTTACTTGTATTCAAGAAAATTATAGCGACAGCCGCCAGATAATGATCAGCTCTAAAAAGAGAAGCTCAAGAAGCTCATGCCACAGCAGCTGGTACAGCTGAGGAGATCAGATAAACCAGCACAAGCATGGTCATGAAAGGGAGCTGCAGACATATGGTTTCCAGAGTTTCAAAATCCATATGACTAAAATCTATGTGATGCGTATTATATGATGACTGCCTCAAGACAGACAGGTGTCCACTTAGAGACACAGAGCTGTGACTTGCAGGGGCTGGTTGATTTTCTCAGAACTCATTAACCTAAATCCATTAGTTACCATCCTGTTTCCACTCCTATCATCACCTCAGACAACCCTGCGTTTAGCTCAAGATTCTTCCCTTCATCGTAACTGAAAGTCACTAATGACTGCAATCAATTTGAAATACTATAAGTAGGTAAGATTTCCTCAGTAAGTAAATGGTCTTAGCATATTTTTGAAGTCATAACTATAATCAAAGCCTGGGACATTTATTTGCTCTAAACAAGCAGTTATTCTTCATCCAGAATTACACAATAGAAGCTCTCATTCTTGCATTTCCCAACAGTTTGCCTTAGCCAGGAAAATAAACCCCATGGGTCTCTAGCATGACCACAGTGCAAGAATAAGGGGAAGGGCAGAGGTGAGAACTAAGTGCTCTTCTACAGCTACGGGTCTATCAAGGTAATCTTGAGAGGTACTTATCAATATGTGATGTGCCAGCAACAACATGAGGGAAGATAACCACGTGTTTCTAGGATAAGGCAAAGGCCCTGCTCATGGATTCATCCGTAATCTGAACACAGCACATGAAGAGTGAACAGCTGTCAATATCTACTTTCACCTCAATGTAAACTTTCAAAATTAAGACCAAGTGGAGCACGGTGCCCTCTGAAGCACTGTCTGTCACACACTAAGGAGCTAAGAACTCCTGTGGCCTCCTTTAGAACACAGCTCTTCCAGGACACACAATGAGCAGGCCTGCTTTAGCACCCAGGGCCCACATGCAGCTGCTCTGCCCAGAGCTGCCCAGCTCCTGGACCACTCACCTCTGCTCCTGCTGGCTGGTGCCCAAGCTGTAAGGGCTGGCAAATATTTTGAGTATTGGTCCCAAAGGCCCCTGAAGGTGAAAGGATCTTGTTCTTCATTTTCATTACTTCTAAGCACTGAGACCTCTTACAAGAATCATCCACAAGCATTTACTAAGTGAATGTTCACAGGAAACCCTTCCTGAAAAGGGTCCTTCCAACTTTACATTTGACAAGTGTGTACTAAGGCAATAAAACTATTCAACTGAGCATTCAAATTCACACAGAGGATACCACGCCAAGAAAATGAAAGCAGAAATATTGGATTCTCCTTATTTGTTAAACCTTTCCCTCTAGAACCAACAGCTTTTCAAACTCATAAAACACCCCAAAACAGTAAAACAATATCAATTACTCATCTGAAGATATCCACCTGAAACACAGTTATTAATCTTCAAAGGCCTAGCACCAGGCAGCTTCACACAGCACATCTGCAGAATTGTAATGATCAATAAGAGTAAACCCAAAGTACACTAAATACTTTCATGGCCTACAGGAAAAAAAAAAAACGCTCTTTTCAGGACGATGTAATAGTTACACCCTATTTCTTCATGTGCAGCATGATATTCTATGCTTAATGGCATTTAAATGTTACACAGTAAATACTGAGAAAACCCAGAATTTTTGGATGTGCAGAAGCAATATCACATCATTAATACAAAAGGTGCTCAGCTGCGGGATTATAATACCATTGAGTGCTGAGACCACTTGAAATCTTAAGTACATTCTTAGCATATGGTCTCCTGGCTGTCACCCAGCCTGGTACCAGCTACCCACCTGTTGCATAGAGCTAGCCCCAGCACTGCCTTGGTTGGGCCGGTTGTTTTTGTCAAACTCTAAGTCTCCCTCAGAATCCCTGTACTTCTCCACTGCAATGTATTGACAGGGTTGTGACCTTGTCCTTCCCAAGGGGCTCACTCTTGGCCTCTTGCTCACACAGATCCTGCACCTTTTCCAGTCAAATCCCCATTCCAGTAGCAGCAAGGAGATCACTTCTCGTATCACTTTTTGGTGGCTGTGCAGGTTCTTGACACTTTGCCTCAGCTACTGGTGGTAGTGTGGGGGCGAATGCATGGGGAAGACAAAAAAGAAGAACTGAGCCAAGAGGCCTGGTGGGGAAAGTGTGTGGCTGGAGGAGGGAATGCTGGACCCAGGGGCCAGTGGAGGGAGGGTGAGGAGGAGGGTGTGTGGAGCCAGCTGATATGAGGAAGGAGGCGGCAGGAGGATTTGCAGAAGGCAACAAAGGCAGTTTGTACTGTAAAAGGGGGAAGAGAAGGAGGTCTTGACGGGTTGTAATATGCAAGCACCTGTGCTGGGAGCATCCTGTAGTCTCCTGGAGCCATAAGTGCACAGGATTGGAACACAGCTGGGGTAAGGCAGGGAAGTGGGGGCCGCTCTTGAGGTCCATTTAGGGCCATGTGCCTCACTGAGGCAGAGGAGGGGTGGCACTCAAGCTCAGGGGCCTGGTTTGTGGGCCCATGTGGACATGCATCTTCAGCTGCCTAGGAAGGGTCGTGAGAATGGTTTGGAGTAGCTCGATAAGAGCATCCCTAACATCCATTGTATGGGACCTGCTGTCTAGGGACAGGGGTTCTTGCAGGATGCTCCATGGTACACACTGAGACAACCTGTTGCTGGGTCTAAGCTCTTTGTCATATGCCATCATATTCCACTCATGGTGCTTGTTTCTGGCTTTTGTAATCCTTTTCACATCATAAGTGGTGCCATCTATGTGGTTTTGCTACTTTTGATGCCTTCTGTCTTTCCTTTTGTCTTCTGTGTCCTGCAGCACTTCTTCTTTCCAGAGGTCAAATAAATGGGAAGGATCAGTATAGAACTTCAGCCTGTCTTTATCATCTCCATGTGCTCTCATGCTATTCAGGGGAGGTGGTCAATCACTCTGATTGTAAATGTCAGCAGCAGGAGTAGGAATGCTGCTCTTTGAAACTGCTTGCTGGTCTTGGGCTGGGGAACTTTTGAGGGCTTTTTCCATGTTGATGTCCTGTGGTGACACCTCTTCCACTGCTGAATCCAGCTGAGTGACTTTGACCATGAGGCAACAAATTCTAAGAGAATTTGATCTAATGTGGAAGTAGTTAGCCTCCTTAAATAGCTCACCAAATATGTCTTCAGCATGTATGTTCAGATTGCTTAGCTGGTGCGTAATAGTGACAAGATTGTTGTTGGTTACACTTTCAAGTCACTGGTAATCCCTTCAGGCAGAGTTCCCTGGTGCAAATGCTGGGATTAGATGCTCCTCTTCACGGGAGGCATGGCTTATAATGTTCTAATTGACTAATGGCTTCAGAAATTTCCTCAGGAAGCATCACCACTTTGATTCAGATACCAGCAGTAACTGCAATCAAAATTAAAATGATCAGTCCCGCTGATGTAGAGGCAGAGATTGCACTGGTAGCTCCCTGATCTTACTCCACACCAGAACACACATCCCTGGGGCTAGCTAAGTTGCCTCAGGCCAGGCCAAGGCCTTGGTCACCCTATTTGTAATTTTCTCTGCAGTTATTTTGCTTTCATTTATTGAACACCTTAGATATGAGCTAAAATCCCCCACCAAATGTGGGAAACTTTCAACTATTATTTTCTCAAATATTTTTTTCTGATCCTGTGTCTTCTTTTGAGGATCCACTTGCATATCTGGTCACCTGCTTTATATTCTCTGATGGGTTCATGACGTTCTCTTCATTTTTTTCTTTAATCTTATTTCAATCTGTGTTTTGGATTTTAGAATTGAGCACATTCTGGAGATTTATATTCAAAGTCACAGGCTTGTTCTTTATTCTGCCATCTCAAAACTTCTGTGGACCTCTTCCAGAATACTTTCATTTTCTTTTTTTTCTGTTTGAGAATTTCCACTTAGTATCTTACGTGGTTTCAGCAGGGGTTTCTGGGTGTGTGTCCTGCATCTGTGTAATTTAGAGGTTGACCAAGTATTTGGGTCATTTATACTCAGATTTTGTGATTCAACTTCATTGTGGTTGCTTTGTTTCTGGAATTCTCTTTGAATTTCCAATTGTTTTGTTAGACTCAAATCCTGCCTTTTCACCTCTCAAGCCAGTAAGATTTTTGCTTTCTTCTACTGAGCTCTGTGCAGGTTGGCAAATGCACTCAGTCCATGTTACTGAAGACTTGCAGATCTTACCAGGATCATTTATCTCTTTGGAGGGTAGACCTCCCTCTAGTTTCTTTCTGGTTTTTCACCAGATTCCCAAGTGGCCCACACCCATGCAGAGTTTAGTGTTCAACTAGGGATGAGCATAATTTGCATTCACATTGTTGATCTCAACTCTTCTGCAGCTCTCTTTCAACATTCTCATTTACATTTCTAGCTGATTTGGGCTCTGAACTCTATAAACTGCCCATATTGAGCCACTAGGGCTGCAGTTATCTGCTGGGAGGCTGAAGAGCACTCATAGGTAAGAAGGAAAGGCCACCAACTTGCAGTCCTTACCTAAGACAGAAGGAGTCTTAAACAAGAAAGCTCTTATCACATATTGCTTGCCTTTGTTAATTTTCCAGTGACTTCAAATGTTTGTTTTTAGTATTTAGTACAGTTTTCATGTTGCTGTTGGAGGAAAACTTGCTGGTCTATCTCTTCATGTTGCCATAACCAGAAGTTCTACCCTGAAAGAGACTTTTGGGAGAGAAGGTCACAGTCCACAATTCAATCTTCTGAGACAAATATGGATCCAGGCACCAGAAACTGTCAAGTTAGATTTCTAAAATTAAAATAAGATTAGAGCTGGGTGCAGTGGCTCATGTCTGTAATGCCACAACTTTGGGAGGCCAAGGTGGGTGGATTGCTTGAGCCCAGGAGTTCAAGACAAGCCTGGGTAACATGACAAAAACCCATCTCTACAAAAAACACAAAAATTAGCCAGGTGCGGTGGCACACAGCTGTAGTCCCGGCTACTTGGAAGGCTGAGGTGGGAGGATCACCTAAGCCTGGGGCGGTCGAGGCTGCAGTGAGTTGTGTTCGCACCATTGGACTCCAGCCTGGGCAAGAGAGTGAGACCATTGTTTGAAAAAATAAAGATTGAATGAATAATAAAAGAAGATTAGGCCTGGCATCTGTGACCCCAAGGTTCTATGGGAATCACTGACTTCATACAACCTACAATGATAAAGAAGGACACCCTACATATATATGACTGGCCTCTTTAGTATTGGAGAGAGCACATTCCATAGCTCATAACTTTCCGACAGTCTGTGAATCAAGTCACCAAAACTGCAGCTAAAGTTGAATGGAGGCCATGGAAGTAGTTCAGTGAAGTACAAAACAAGCACTGCTTTTGTTCTTGATTCTTTCCCCAAACAATGCACTCACATGTTTTTAATAAATTCTACAGCCGGTTGTAGCTATTGGCAATGAGACCTCCCATTATTGAGGCCCTGGTCTTTTTAACTTGAGGAATTCCAGCAAATCTAAGGAGTACAAGCTCTTTGAGAAATAACTGCATGATATTATTAAACTCTAATGAGGACAGATGATTTCACCAATGAAAAAGTATGACTTCATATCCTGCAAGGGTATTTCTCTAATCCAAAATCCTATGAGCTAGTACAAGTACAGAAACATTCCATAATAAATGGAAATGTCATTTTGATCCAGGCAAAAGTCAAGCATATCTGCCATTTGGCCCTAAATGCTTATTTGGATATTGTTGAGTGTGTGTGTGTGTGTGTGTGTGTGTGTGTGTGTGTGTGTGTGTGTTTGTGTGTGGCAGTCATAGGACTCATTGCCCAAGTTTCAGGGTTTGGGGAAAAAGTTCCATTCTTTTTCTGAATTTGAGTAATAGCTTCTGGCTTACTACTGGGCCCTGGTAGATTCTGAATTCTATGATCATGATACAGAAAATGACCAAGTGACTTGAGATGCCCATTATGACCTGAGTTTTATCGGGTCACTCATGCTCACCAGCCCTCAGTCTGCAAGGGGAAATGGTATACACAGCATCAGACTTTAGCAGGTTCCATAAGGCCAGGTAAGTTGCCTAATAATTTGTACTATACTCCTAATGTTCTTATTACCACTGGAGAGTCCACTCTCCCTTGTCTCATTATTGAGGTCTTGAGGAGTTCCCTAAGGACAACTGACTGTAGAAGGAAAAAAATTTGAGTATGCTTGGATACCCCAGAGTTAACTGTCAGGGCATTAGAGTCTCTTTCAGGAATCATCATTAAGAGTAATGGAAATAAAAATACTTCCAGTGAGAAGATGTTCAATTAGACCATCTGGAAGTGCAGTTTACCAAAAGGAGAAACGTCTTACTGTTGGGTCCTAATCAATGCACAGCAGTAGCTAGTAGTTTCCTTAGATAGTCAGTGACTTTAAAGGAATAAGATGGTAAGGTTTGTGATAAGGAGCGTTGGGGAGGAGATTTGAACCACTCACATGGCACATTTAGGTAAACATACCTACCCTCATGCTAACAAAAATGGATAGTGAAAAAATAAAACACAATGTAGAAGCATTGAGAGGCTTAAACTTTAATAAAAATTGTCAAATCCTAAATCACGGAATTGTGCATTTACTTTTTTTGCTGAGCTTATTTACTTAATGTAGGATAATTAAGGTTTAGTTTTCATGGCCTCCTAAGGCATTTGGAATAGAAGACAGAGTTCAGGTAGCACTCAGAGTGGGAAATTTAATAGAGTGTTCTCCTCATTTCACCAGGATCCCAAAGCCAGCTCCTCAGTATAAGGAAAACATCCTTGCTTGAAGGTCTCCCCAGAAAGTCACCTTGGTGCTGAGTGGAGAGGGGCAAAACCTTCTCCTGAGATTAAAGAGAAGTGGATTTGCAGCCCGAGTTCACACTCCCTGGGTGGTCTAAAAATCATCAAGGCATGAATTTATTTTAAAGTAGTGCAGACTCCAAGGAACCTTGGAAAATCAAGCAAAACTTCTCTGAAAAATTTCTACTGTCATTGGCACTCTGAAAATTCCAAAAAATCATTACACCAGCAAAAGGAGCACTTAACAGTTAAGAACAACAACAGAGAACAATGTTCATAAGAGACAAAGCACCGTGAAAGAACAAGAAAATACAACAGACAGCAGAATCATACAATCATATAACTGAGAAATCAGAATAATTGTATAGGATATAAAATTGCTAAATGGGCTATGATTAAAGAACAGATTGTTAAATACATTTAGTGACTATAAAACTATAAATAATCTTCAGAAAAATTTGAAGAGACAAACACATAACACTTAAGCATGAAAATATAATAATAAAATTTAAATCTCAATGAATTTTGAAGACAAACAATTTAACACAAACACACCTAGTAAAGTACAAGAAGTTCTAAAGAATGTACTTTAGTCACAAAAAGATATCCCAGGTAGAAAGTATGAGGTGAAAGAAAAAAACAAACAAAAAATAAAGGTAAATGGATGGTTAAATATAAATTGAGGTTTAAAAGGATAGTGTATATATTGAGAATCTATAAATATTGTTAAATGAAATACAAATTATTTTATCTTTTTCCAGGTCTAATGTTGGATTTCTTTTCTTCATATTCTGATTAAAATTTCAAGATAAACTTCTCACTCATAATGTGTCCCATTCTGGTTTTGTTTTGTACATTTCAGTATAATGCATATAAAAGAATATTCTGCGGGTCTTTTTATGGTATCTTTCCAAGCTATTGTTGGATTGTCCAGTACTTCACGTTCTCCAACCTTGTAAGTAATGAATGTACAAGTTCAACTGTACATTTTTACTAGTGGGCAGTTTTCCACAATATGAATGCCATTCATGTAGTTGGCGGGACCTGCCAGTGTATCTTTCAGAACCACGGACAGATCTACATGTTCTGGGATGTAGGGAGCTAGAGTGCTCTCTCAACTGGATGCAATGGAATGCCAGGGAGGAAAGTTTAAGATAAACTCTAGTCACCACGGAATTGTGATTTTTAAGCATAGTAAGCATAGTCTGAAATACCACATTCTTTCCAACCCCTCTCTGCACCCAATACGTCATTAGCCCTGTATTTTATACTCACTGTCATAAAAGAACCTGTTGGGGAAGGGGAGGTAGCTTTAGGTCAGTCTTGGTACAATCATACAGTGGCTAAATTAGTAGATCTAGTGTAAAATGGCCTGGAACTGAATTCTAGCCTCATATCTTCAAAATTATGGAACTTTGGGCAAGTAACTTAACATCTCTGTACCTAATTTTCTTGAACAAGTTACAGTTTACAGATTTCATTTATTTATTGTGGATAATAACATCCTTCTCATATGGTTGTGATAAATATTGAACAAAATAATCCATGTAGGTACAAAAACCAGTGCCTGAAATATAGCAAGAGCCTTTTAAATGCAGCCATTATTGTTATTATGGTTATTCTTATTGTCGTTTTTCACAGAATACCTTCTGGTTCCCACACAGGATCTCTGAGGACCTGTTGGATCAGCAGCTCTTTTGTAAGATTCGTTGATATTGTGAAAATTCTCTAATCACAGCCCAGCTACAATTTTACAGAAGTTCCCAATACCTTATCTGAAGGTTTCTTACAGTCAGATTATGAGTCTTGGTTGAAGGCATCTTCTGGAGTCATGGTAACACTCCGGGTATTCTGGGAAAACAGTGATTTCAAAATACAGTTTGTCTTGTTGAGACTAGGAATTTGGAAAATTCCAGTCTGTGAAGTGAAGGGAGAGGAGATACTTCCTTAGCAGGAGGAAGAGAATGTACCAAGTACAGGGCAGTTAAAGAAATGTTTGTTTGATTTTTTTGCCAGTGGTTATATCTGTGGTTTCATTAGTTAAATGCCTTATGTGGTACATTCTTCCCAATAAGTATTTTTAAAAGCCTCTGAAAGGAAGGAGCTCTTGCTACCACCATCCTCTCAGTCAAGTGGGAATAATCTGGTGAGCATAGCAGATGCCAATCAGTTCATAAAAAGCTCAATCTTCAAGTTTGCAGAATTAATTCTAAAAACGAGAAGAGTATTGGACATAGAATTTGACATATATGTTGCATGCAGAAGCTGATATTTTAGCTTTATAGTTTACAGGTCCCTCAGAATGTTTTATACTTTTTTATCATAACTGGGAAGCTGTCACTTTAATCTTTGAGTAGGACTAAGGTATGAAAAGAGCAATGATGGTGTGCTCAATGGCTATATTACTAAACACAAGAATGTTTTCAGCTCGATCTACCTGAGCTACATGGAGATTTGATAACTAAATATAAAGTGAATGGAGATAAATGCCTTACTTACCTTCTGCAGATGACACCTTCTAGTTAGCAAGTGGCAGATCCAGGACTACTGGGCTAGGAAGCTGCTTGGGCTGGAGTACAAGGGCAGTTTCAGGGATAGAGAAATTAACAGGCAGAGAGGGAATCTCTGAGACTAGGAAAGACTAACTGCAGCTGGGCCTAGATGATCTGAGATCCAAATGTAGCTGTTGATCTTAAATTATGCAAAGTAGCAATGGAACTGTCAGTCAGTCAGCATGTCTAGCTAGTCAGACAGATCAGGAGTTTAATCACTGACGTTATGGGAAATCAGAAAACTCTGGGATGGCTGGGAGAATATGTGCATATAGACATCTGTAGAGTGGGTGACAAATAAATGAAACCACCTAAATATTTACCCCAGGGGAGTAGGTGCATATAACATACTATGGAACAGCATTAAAATGATGAGTTAAACCATTTTTTCTGTGAAATTCAAAGGATGTTCATGATATAATAGAAATAAAAATATCAAATGGTAGGGCACTGTGAATACAATGTAATTTTTCAAAAGCTACAATGAGCAATAAGATGAAATAAAAGTCATCTAGATTAAAAAGCAAGAGGTAAAACTATCTCAATTGCAGATGATAAAATCTTATATAGAAATACGAAAGAATTCACTAAAAACAAGCTTAGCAACTACTAAACCACTAATACTAAATTAGTTTAGCACATTGGTAGGCTACAAGATCAAAATACAAAAATTGAGTGTGCTTCTATAGAGTATCAATGCATTAATACAAATGTTATTTAAAAATCCAACTTACAATAGCATTAAAAACAATGAAGTCAGAAGAAAATTGAGGGCCCAGCAATACTCTTCACTTATATGGTTAATTGGTTTTATAAAACAGTGCTAATATAATTCAGTGAGGGGAAGAAATTATCTTTTCATCAAACAGTGCAGAAACAACAGGCTATCCCTATGCAAAAGAATAAAGCTGGATCCCTACTTCACACCACATATAAAAATTACCTCAGTGTATCAAAGACCTAAATGTGAGACTTAATATTAGAGAACTCTTAGAAGAAAACATAAGCATAAATCTTCATGACTTTGGATTAGGTAAAAATACCTGATCTTAAATGATACCAAAGGCACAAGCAAAAAGAGGAAATAAAAGATAAATTGAACATCATCAAAATTAAAAATGTGTGAGTCTAAGGACACCATCAAGAAAGTGAAAAGAAACTCATTGAATGGGAGAAAAGTTTTGCAAATCTTATATCTGGCAAGGAAAGGACTTGTATCTAGAATATATAAAGAATGGTTGTAACTCAATATAATAATATTAATAATAAGATAATAATAAACAATAAATAATAATAATAATAAGACAAATAATATACAAAAGGCCCATAAGCACATAGAAACATGTTCAACATCATTAAGCATCAGGGAAATGCACATCAACCCAAAAATGAGATACTATTTCCCACCCACTAGAATGGCTATAATTAAAAAGATAATAATTAGTGTTGATGAGAATGTGGAGATACTAGAATACTCACACTTTGCTGGTGGGGATTTAAGAGACATAGCCCCTTTAGAAAGCAGGCTAGCAGTAGCTCAAATTTGTGAACATTAAGTTATTACATGACCCAGCAATCCCCTCCTATGATACAGTATACCCAAGAGAAATGAAAACATGAGTTCACATAAAAACCTATATGCCATGTTTATAGCAGCATTATTAATCACAATCCAAATGAGAAGGACAAAAATGTCACCAACTAATAAATAAATTGTGATATATCCATACAATGGAATGTAATTCAGCGATGAAAAAGATGTGAAGTACTGATACAAGCTACGACCCACACAAACTTTGAAAATGTTCCGGTAAGTAAAAGAAGACAGACACAAAAAGCCACATGTTGTATAATTTCATTACATAAAATGTTCAGAATAGGTAAATCTGTAGAGTTAAAACATAGGTTGGTAGTTTCTTAGGGCTGGGGTTTGGATATGGATTTTTCTGCAGGGCTGGGAGGAGATAAAAGGATCTGTAATTGATTGTGGTAATGGAGGCACAACTGTGAATATTCTAAAAGCCACTGAATTGTATATTTTGAATGTGCGGATTTTATACTATTTAAATTATATCTCAAGTTGCCCTGAAAATGATTAAATTACATATAAAACTTATAGTCATTACAGCTCAACAAAAGCTACCAGATAAAAACACTCACTATGGTTTGCGTGCAAGTGAAGAAAGTAGACATGCAGAGAGTAGGCTGATACAATAGTAATCACCTTAGTTAAGTGGGTTTGGATTTAGTGAAAGGAGAGATTTAAAAGTATATTTATGCATATTTTGATTGTTTCATTTCCTACTGTGAGCAAGAATTATTTTTACACTAAAATTTAAAAAATAGAAAGTTACAAATCTTCAAAGCTCTGCAGTCAAATAAACATAGTAACAAGTGATAATGAGCTGTCTGGAATGTCTTCCTAGAGAACTGGCTGAAGCACATGCATGCAAAAGGAAGGCAATGGCTGAAGAATCAAGGCAGAACTACAGTGGTAGAAGAGAAGAAAAATGTAAACATGGAGATATAAGACAAGAAGATGACTGATGAAGGAAGTGGACATGAATACTGTGAAAACCTCTTGGGGAGTCAGAAATGACCGGGTCTACGTGGGAGGGAAACTGGATTACAGCCCAAGATGGCCAGCCATCAGGGACAGTGTCCCGAATCAGATTCTGTCCCGAATCAGAAGGGCTGTCTAATCATTCCCTTTCTTTTCCTTCCAACACCCCAGCAAGATTATTGCCTAATTTACAGCCATGCACGTTGAAGAATCAGTACAATTTGGAGACTTTGAGACAACAGACAGAAAATTTTTGAGCTCCTCTGGGCATTAGTGAGCTGTTTTCAGAAAAACAGACTCACTCTGGTATTTCAGGAATAAATAGAAATAAGAGCATACACTAATGTTTGGAAACCACGGGTAGCAAATATTGGTGAAGTCATGTGACAGGCAGAATAACAGTCTCCTAAATATGTCTGTGTCCTAATCCCTGGAACTTATAAAAATGTCTCCTAATAGGGCAAAAGGAAATTTTCAGATGTGATTAAGCTGAGGCTCTTGAGATGGGAAGATTATCCTGGATTATCTGGGCAGGTTCGATGTAATCACAATAGTCCTTATAAGTGAAAGGAGTAGAAAGCAGCATCAGAGTTAGAGCTGTGACAACAGAATCAGAGGTCAAAGTGATGTGACTGCTGACTTGGAAGATGGAGGAAGAGACCACAAGCCAAAGAATGCAGGCAGCCCCAAGAAGCTGGAAAGGGTGAGGAAACAGATTTTCCTTTAGAGCCTCAGAAGAAATGCAGCTCTGACGACATGTTAATTTTAGCCCATAGTGACACATTTTTGACTTCTTACCTCCAGAACTATAAGAGAATACATTGGTGTTGTTTTAAGCCACATAGTTGTGGTAATTTGTTATAGCAGCAGCAGGATACTATAATAATACCAGTCACCATTGGAGCTCCTGGAAGCTGCAGTAGGGAGGTCAGGGAAGCATATACTGAAGACTTCAGCTTGAAGCATGGATGGGAGGTTCTCAGAATCCTGCTGCGAGATTGCTATATTCTCCAGAACCTATGAGAAAGCTCTTATCACTCATCTTAGTCCACACAAGCAAAGCAGGTGGGTCTCTAGCCTAGCAGGGAAGCCACTGAGAACCTGACATCTGCCTGCTCCTCTACCTGCAGCCACCACTGATGGGTACAGGTCTGTCCCACCATCTCTCCAGGGCCCCATTTCTTAGGCAAGTCTCTCTCACTGGAAAATGTAAACTGGAACTATACAGGGAAGGGGATCCTGGGAGATATAGTGCCTGGCTTCTCCTCTGCAGAGAAGATGCTAGAGGGGAGATGAGGTGATACTGGGTTTTTAACAATGCAACACATGAGTTACTAACAGTGAATGAAGGGGGACTGGCTGACCTCAGTTTGACAAGCAAATGTGCCATTAGATGATGCAAACCATTGGTATATCTATGAGATTTAGTAGTTTTAGCAAGCTATTTATTGGAGCAAGGATGTATCAAAAACTATGAAAAGTGCAGGTTTAAAAAATGTACAAAAAATTTAATGGACTACACAAATGAAATAAATTCTTTTTTTAATTATACTTTTAAGTTCTGGGATATATGTGCAGAATGTACAGGTTGGTTATATAGGTACACATGTGCCATTGTGGTTTGCTGCATCCATCAACCCGTCATCTAGGTTTTAAGCCCCGCATGCATTAGGTATTTCTCCTAATGGTATCCCTCCCCTTGCCCCCATCCCCTGACAGACCCCAGTATGTGATGTTTCCCTCCTTGTGTCCACATGTTCTCATTGTTCAACTCCTGCTTATAAGTGAGAACATGCGGTGTTTGGTTTTCTGTTTCTGTGTTAGTTTGCTAAGAATGATTGTTTCCAGCTTCATCCATGTCTCTGCAAAGCACATGAACTCATTCTTTTTTATGGCTGCATAACATTCCATGGTGTATATGTGCCACATTTTCTTTATCCAGTCTATCATTGATGGGCATTTGGATTGGTTCCAAGTCTTTGCTATTGCAAATAGTGCTGCAGTGAACATATGTGTGCATGTGTCTTTATAGTAGAATGATTTATAATCCTTTGGGTATATGCCCAGTAATGGGATAAATAAATTATTAACTATGCTGCTATTTTATTTATTTAAAAATGTGAGTTCGTGGTCTGAGTAATTTACCTCAGTATGACTCAAGAAGGGCACTGGAAGTCCGTTGATCTGGCCAGAACAGAACCACATATATGAATGGAAAAAGTGGTCTTGTGTCTGCCAATCCCAGGGGCTTACAGGATGCTGTCTAGAATAGGCTGGCTACAGCAACTCCTAGTTAAGCCAGAAGTTTGGAATGAGTTCAATTTTGGGGGATTAAATTCTAATGAGAGGCAGAAAACAGGAAAGTTTATGCTTTTCCATGCTAATCAATGGCCCCATAAACATTTTCTTGTATATATTTTTGTAATTTCAAAAAACTCAAGTGTTTTATCAGTAATTTCTTAGAGGTGCACACAGAGAGAGATGAGTATAATTGTGAAGCTAAGTTTTGTAAAGCACAGGGATGGCTAAGAATGGGAAGGAACTGATCCCAGAATCCCACAGAGTTAACCAGTAACCCTCAGCCCAAGTACGTGATGACCACTGTTGAGCTTCAAAGGAAAAGCGGCCATCTGAGGAGCAAACAGAATTGCATGAAGAATAAGAGTGCAGACGGTGTCCTAAATACAGTGCTGAGATTCATGTAGAAGCACAGGAGGAAGCAACTGTGTAAGTATCCAGAGTCCTATGAAGTAGGGATTTCAATCCTCCAAGCCACCCTCTCCCATCTGCTAACAAGGATCAAGGCTTTTGTGGATGTAACTGGCTGTGGTTGATGGGAACCCCTGTGATCCCTATGGGGTTACACATAGCTTCGGAGAGGGGAATGAACACACACACAGCAAAGGGAAACCATCTGGGCCTTTACTGAAACCACTGGCTGACCCCTGGGTTAAAGTATGTATGTTCTGAGTACTGATGTTAATTACATACAGACATTGCTCAGACCCCATGTCACCTCACACTGCTGGAAATTTGCCTTGACCTCGACTCTCACCAATGACCTTATGGGTAGTTTCTATGACCAGCTGACTTAAGAGGAAAATTCTGAGCTTCTTCATAAACATGCCAGCTTAGTGTGTTGGTGTGAGGCAGCAGTAGAGTGTGTCTGCAGTGTGGGCAACTCAGGAATGAGCAGAGACAGTGCTGAAGAGGGTCCTGCCAATAGGCAGGTGGGGCTCTGATTTGCCCACTTTGTGTAGACAGAAGTGGCCTGAGGTGAGAACATGCACAGACTCATAGGCAACGGCAAATGGCTTAAATAGCGGGTCCGGGGCCTGGAAGGAGCAAGATAGGAAGATCAGGAACAGGAATATCTGGAAAGAGGCATACAGTAGATACAAAGTGCTTGGATCTTTTGTATCAGATGTTAATACTCAGCAAAAATTACCCTCTATACAAGTAGTCTAAACAACCAGGTGTACAGGATGAATCATTTGGTACACATCAGCCAGCCTCTGTCCTTAACCATCCCAGTGCTCATGAAACAGGCTCTTGAAAGCAGTATCTATGGTGGAAGAGATGCACTGTGGGTGGGTCCCAAGGCTTGGGCTCCCTTCAGCATGGCTGACGTGGTTATTGTCACAACCTACCTTCCAACGATAAATAAACTCCAACAGATTACCTTTGCTTATGGAGGCCAATGAGCAATTTGATGGCAAATTGATTCTACTCTTACTTTTTCACAATGAAAAAGGCAGGGGTTCTGTCAGATTTAGCTTGCCTTGTATTAGCGGTATGAGTTTGTTCTTTCTTCCCATAGTGCCACACTCAGAAACGTTATCTAAGGGCTCACATATGTATGATCTTCTAATAGGGGAACCACATAACATTGCCCCAGACTAAGGGACCTACTTTATAGCGAACGCTGTCTGGTAGTGGGCACACGACCATGAGATCTCCTGGTTCTACCCCATACTGCATCACACACGCTGCCAGCTGATAGAGCAGTGGAATGGTCTCTTGAGGGTGCAGCTGGGTTTTATCTTGAAGATCACATCCTATCAGGATGGGTAATGTCCTTCAGGATGAAGCATACACTTAGGCTATGGCAGCAGCTGTTACATAGTGCCAAGTCTCCAACAGGTAGAGTAAGTAAGTCTCTAACCACCAGTGCTGGAAGAAGGAATGACTATACTCACCAGCACTTCCGGTAACCCGCGTGGGGTGTTGGTGCTTCCCATCCCCTCAACGTACTCAGCTGGTCTAGGAGTTTGGGATCCCAGAGAAGGAAGTTCCTACCATGGAACAGAGTACAAGTTACATTACGTTTAGGGGTATGTTTGTTACCTGTTCAATTTGGGTTCCTCATGCTAGGAGGCTGTTGGGAAAAGGAGGGGTTACTGTATAAGCAGGGATAATTGATCGTGATTATTATGAGGAGCAGAACTTTAATTTCTGTCTTAATTTCTTGCTGAAACTGGTAACAGTGGTTGCATCCAGGCAAGGAATTTGGAAGAATTGTGGATGGGGTGGAGAACGAAATTTGCTTTGCACACTATACACATTTTTATTATTATAATCTTTTAAATATTGTTCTTGTATTAGCTATTCAAAATAAATTTTAAATTACAAATCAACCCCACATTTATCTAAAAAATTTTTTTATTTCAATAGTTTTTGGGGGACAGGTAGTTTTTGGTTATGTGTGTGAGTTCTTTAGTAGTGAATTCTGAGATTTTGGTGCACCATCACCCGAGCAGTGTACTCTGTACCCAGTGTTGCCTTTTATCCCTCACCCTATTCCCAACCTCCACCAACAAGCCCCTAGAGTCCATTATGTCATTTTGTATGTTTTTGTGTCCTCATAGCTTAGCTCTCATTTATAAGTGAGAACATTCAGTATTTGGTTTTTCCATTCCTGAGTTACTCCACTTAGGATAATGGCCTCCAGCTCCATCCAAGTTGCTACATAAGGCATTATTTCATTCCTTTTTATGGCTGAGTAGTAATCCATGGTGTACATACACCACACTTTCTTTAGCCACTGGTTGGTCAATGAGCACTTAGGCTGGTTCCACATCCCTGCAATTATGAATTGTGTTGCTATAAACATGCGTGTGCATGTGTCTTTTTCATATAATGACTTATTTTCCTTTGGGTAGATACCCAGTAGTGGGATTGCTGGATCAAATGATAGATCTAGTTTTAGTTCTTTAAGGAATCTCCATACTGTTTTCCATAGTAGTTGTACTAATTTACATTCTCACAACCAGCAGTGTAATCCATCCATGCCAACATCTATTGTTTTTTGACTTTTTAATTAATGCCATTTTTTTTTTTTTGAGACAGAATCTCACTCTGTCTCCCAGGCTGGAGTGCAGTGGTATGATCTTGGTTCCCTGCAACCTCCACCTCCCAGGTTCCAGCAATTCTCCTGCCTCAGCCTCCCGAGTAGCTGGGACTACAGGTGCATGCCACCACGCCCAGATAATTTTTTGTATTTCTGGTAGAGACAGGGTTTCACCGTGTTAGCCAGGATGGTTTCGATCTCCTGATCTCGTGATCTGCCTGCTTTGGCCTCCCAAAGTGCTGGGATTACAGACTTGAGCCACCGCGCCCAGCCAAATTAATGCCATTCTTGCATGTATAACGTGGTATCTCATGGTGAACCCCACATTTATTTAGCAAACATTTATTAGGCAGTTACTATGTGTCAGGGTCTCCTAGGCCTCAATGAGTGAAACATCAAAGATTCCACAAGGGGACTAAAAAAACAGCTAAATGCAGGCTACTATAATTAGTGCGGGAAAACTGCTTCCAAGAGGATGCAATGTCTAAACAGAGAACTGGATGAGGAACACAGTTAATCCAGGTGAATGGCAGGAGAAATCTTTTAGGGAATCAGTATCACAAACAAAGGCTCAGAAGAAAGAACACACAGGGAGTCTGGGGGAACTGTCAGCAGTTCAGGGTAGAGATTAGAGAAAGAGGAGCACAGGGGCAAAAAGCAAGCTTGGAGCAGTGAGCAGATTCAATGACTAAGGCTTGTGGGGTTGGGGAGAACCTTTGGCTTTTATCCGAGGACAATGTGCAGCACTGGCAGCACTGAAGTCAGGAAGAACCTTGATCAGATCTGCATTCCAGAATATCACTTTGGTGAAGTGTGAAGAATGAACTGAGAGATGCTAGACTGAATACATGGAGAAGAAGAGGTTCGGGGAAACCCTGGCAGGAACTGTAGGGAGAATGTTAGGATGGAGGAAAAGGTAGAAAGGACCCTGAGAGATCTGAGTAATCAAGACCCAGTGTTTCACACATGGAAAATGAGGTGGAAAAGGAGAAAGGTCCCCATGTGAACAGCACTCCATCTGGAAAAATGACATAAAACAAGGGAATTTGGCCCATGACATAAGAGGTCCTTGGGCTCACATGGTATTGAGTGATCAGGGAGGAGTTTAGTTGAGTTCACCTCTACAGACAGGTATTGAGTGCCAGGTATGCTGTCATCAGGGTCATAAGGAAATCAAAGGTATCTGCCTCATATCTTTGTGACTTACATGTCTGATCCTGCTTAAGAACTATGCCAATCCCCGACTTTCCAGGACCCCCAGTAATTTTGTCGTGTCCATGTGGGAAGTGAGCTGAGGCTTGGCAAGAGGATCTTAGCCCATATGGTCCAAAAAATAGTAGAAATATTTCTTTAGAAGACACAAATTCCCTAATTAAATGGACTAATTTATCCATACAAGAGAAATAAAATCACTAAAAAATAAACTGAGTGAAGGAAAAGAAATCAATAAAGTGTAATTACCAGAAGTTCGTGGGATTCTGCATGAAAACAAGCTTGAAGAAATAGTGAAAGCAGAAGATTTGCCTAACAGTATGACACTCGAATGAAAAAAAAACCAGATAGGTTTAGTGGTGCTGCTTCTTTACAGATGCAGGAGGTTTGAAAAGTAATAGAGAAAAACATTTGGAGAGAACGCCATCTTAGCTTTCACACAGAATGCAAGACCAGCCTTTCCAGTGGGCGTCTCTTGATTTTTGTTTCCAGGGATTCGATTTCATAAACACAGCTCAGCTCTGCAGATCATCTGGCCCAGTCCAGGACCCGGGTTTGTAATGATCTTGTTCAGTCATGGTCCAGCCTGTGTATAGAGACCCTAAGATGATGCCCGGTGATCCTGTCTCTTGGCATCTCATCCAGCTGAGAACCGATGGGGCCTAAACTTGCTTCTAACCAATAGAAAGTGACAAAAATGATGTCACTTCCGTGATGAGGTCATATTACAGCCGCACTTCTGTATTACTAGATGACTCTGTCTTCTACCTTCTTTGTTTGCAAGTTTTGATGAAGCAGAAAGGCCCATGTGGCAAGGAACTGAAGTCAGCCTCTGGCCACCAGCCAGTAAGGAACTGAGGCTGTCAGTCTAACAGGCATGGAGGAATGAATCCTGCCAACAATTGCTTGAGCTTGGAAGTGGATCCTTCCCCAGTTCAGCCTCCAGATAAGACCCAGCCATGGCACTCTGATGAAAATCATGTGAGAAAGCTGCATAGCTGTGTCTGGATTCCTGACCCATAGAAATGTGGGATAATACATGTGTGTTGTTGTAAGCTGCTAAGTTTGTGGCAATTTCTTACATAGCAATGGATAGCTGAAAACACCTCCCACAGCTTTCACTGAGTTAAGCGACCCTTGGGGCCAGTTAGAACTTATCTCATCCCCTTCCCTGTGGCAGCCCTTATCTTTCTCATAGGTTGACATCCCACTTTCTCTTTACCAGTGTGAATGTCAAGTTCTCTTACTATCTCCGTCACTCTCCTCTCACACCATCCAGGAGGCCCCACTAGGGAGTGGCAGGCAGAGAGGAGGAAGTGTGGGGTGTGGGTAGACTCCTCCTCATGGTTCAACCTTGAGTGCAGGTATTACCAGTTGGAAGAAGAGAGGTCAGGAACCAGTAGGGATTGGATGGAGATGAGTGAACACCCCACCACTCTCAGGCCCATGCAGGCTGTGAAATAAAACCGTGATGAATAGACTCTGCATGGCCCCTGCTGGTCTTTACCCTTCAGCATTCTAGATAGTGCACCTCATATGCCATGATGCAAACACCATTGACTCCCTCCAGGGCAGATATAAATCTCCCTTTCCCCCGCATCCAGCAAGCACACTCCATCAGCCTATGGGTCACTTCAACCCCATGACTCCCCAGTCGGGACTGTGGCAAATGCAATAGACTTCAGTCCAGTCTCTGTGCCTGGAGAAGAAAGGGAAGCTGGTCAGAGCCCACAGGAGGAGGTGACCCACAGGGAGCCAGTAGTAGGTGGGTGTGAGGGTGAGTATGACAGAGCAGTTACTTGGGCTCAGCAGTCAGACTGTCTCCTTAGAGTCATGAGTCAGCCCATTGACAGTTACTAAACTTCCTAGTGACCTCAGTTTCCTTGTCTGTAAAATGGGGCTGATAGCTGTCTCTAGGTCATAGGGCTCTTGTGAGGTTTAAATGATTTAATTCATGTAAATCCCTTAGGAACGTGACTGACACTTTTTTTAAGGTACAATTCTGTAAAAGAGTGGGACCCATCCATTTAGGTCCTGTTTCCTTATTCCAGGTGTGATGAAACCAGCTCTCCCCAACACTTATCCTGACCCCCGTTCTATGCCTGCAGGTGGAGCGCTGTTCTGTCCCCTACAACCTATGGTGTGGGGGGCAACCAGGAAAAGGCCAGGGTGGTGCCAAGTATGAGGAAGTCACAGAGTAACACACACACATACACACATACATACCCATACCTGCTTATATACATAAATATGTACAGATACATACATATACGCACTTATAAACACGCACATACACATAGATGCCCATACCTGTTTATACATCCACATGTGCACAGACAGACACACACACATTACACAGTCCCAATTCCTTGATTCAGTTTGGGGCCTGGGTAATTCCAGTTCAATCTCTTTTAAGAAATTTAAGAATCTGAAAGAGAAAGACCTGAGAATTTTTGTCCCACAAGAGACAGACCCACTTCCTAGGCACTGTGGGACTTTCTGAGCCCCATGTGGCCCTGCTCCTGGAAGCTCATGGAGGAGCGGGAAAATCTGACTTAACATCAAGGTTCTGAAGTCCAGAGGCAGCCCTAGGAACTGGCCTTCCCTGGGTACCAGGCCTCCGGGAGTCCAGCAGGTCCCCTTCCTCCTATCTCACCTATGACGTCTCAGCCTGCCTTCCACAGCCAAGGGCCCCTCCCAGGCTTTGCTGCACAGCAGGAATCTCCACGGGGCTCTAGAAGGAACAGGGACAGAGTTTAACTTAACCCCCTCGGGTGATGCACCCTCAGGTCCAGTTTTTTGGTTCTAACATTGGTGATACCACTTTTCAGTCTTAAAATGTCTTTTTCGGCCAGGCGCGGTGGCTCACGCCTGTAATCCCAGCACTCTGGGAGGCCGAGGCGGGCGGATCATGAGGTCAGGAGATCGAGACCATCCTGGCTAACACAGTGAAACCCCGTCTCTACTAAAAATACAAAAAATTAGCCGGGCGTAGTGGCGGGCGCCTGTAGTCCCAGCTACTCGGGAGGCTGAGGCAGGAGAATGGCGTGAACCTGGGAGGCGGAGCTTGCAGTGAGCTGAGATCGCGCCACTGCACTCCAGCCTGGGTGACAGAGAGAGACTCCGTCTCAAAAAAAAAAAAAAAAAAAAAAAAAAAAAAAAAAAGTCTGTTTCTTTTCTGATTTGCAAAAAGGTTTATAACTTTTGATACTCACATCTGCTACTTTCTATTAGAACCTAGCAGTCCTTCGTGGTACTTTCATCTACTGTGTCTCTGCCGATTCCGTTTCCTGGTGTTTTATCTTCTGGTTGGGTTAAAGATTATATGTAATTGTTGGGCACAGAGGGCCAGGAAAGAAAAAGATTCCCGGTGAAGCTAGACCCAAGTACATCACTGTTGACAAGGGTAACTACTGTCCTTTCCTATTTACCTCCCTGCACTCCTTCTTCTCTGTCCTCCCTCCCCACCCACCCATGGGAGAGCCTCAGGAGCCTGGGCCAGAATCCCCAACCCCGCAGTAGGGAGGAGGAGGAGGAGGCGGCGACGGAGGAGGAGAAGGAGGAGGAGGAGGAGACGGAGACTGTTCGGTCTCCTCTTTCCTCAAATATGGATGCCTCCAAGGAACATAATTCCAGCTCCAAGAGGTCCTGACGTGGGGCCTGGAGGACCCCAGTACCTGCCGGCAGCATCATCTCCTTGCCATGCTCCAGGTGTCTGAGCAGCCACCTAGTGCAGTGACCCATCGGGGCTTCCCTTGTGGCCTCCGCGGTCCAGAACCTCTCCCAGGTGTGATGGATCCTCCAAGCCGCTCTTTGAGCCGCTGTCCAGGTCTGCAGGTCCTCGTTCAGGGACATGAAATCTCCTTGTCGTAGGCGGACTTAAAGTGTCCTTCGAGGAAGCTCCTGTCCGGAGCCACCACCCAGCCAGACAGCAGCATCTGCAGGTGCGGTGCCCTGGACCTGCCCCAGGGTGAGCCGGAGGCGGGGCCAGGGAGGGGAGGGAGGTCGCCCCGCCCACCCCAGCTCCTTCCTCCCTCTGTCATTGGTCACAGAACAAGTCAGTCATGATCCAGATTGAAGGAGAAACCTGGAGCAAAATGGCCCCAGCGCTTCCCCACCTGAGAGGGATCAGCTGAGGCCCCGCCCCCCCATCCCTGGGAGAACCGGGCTGGTCACTCTGGGGTCGGGGCGGGGCACACCTGTGCCCGGAGTCTGAGGTCACTCACCGGCTGACCCTGGTGGTGGTGCGGGCCCAGGAACCTCAGGCCCCTCAGTAACACATTCCCTGCGGTCTTCGAGAACTTTCCTCAGGGCGCCCACAGCCCTGTGCCATCTTCTCCACCCGCGCTTCACGCTCTGATTCTCGCCGCGGCTGTGGAAGCTCAGGAATCGCGTGTCGCCCACGAAGGCGCCGCGGAGGAACTCAGGGCCCACGTGGTGAAGGCGGAGCCCGGCGGCCTTCAAGTACCCGGGGTGCGGGCCTGGGCTCCGGGAACCCGCACATTGCGGGCGGGAGAGGCGCAGGGTGCCTGGGACGCCGCCCCGCTCGCCTCTCTCCTGGACGCCGTCGCCCTGCCTCCCCGCGGGGACACAGCCTCCCTCCCACGTCCCGCCCGGCACCGGAGCCGCTCACTTGGGAGCTTCTTACTGTGTGGGGGGAGCTGGGGAGGGGACAGAGGGACGGGAACCAGGGGAGGGTGGCTTGGGGCGGCGGCTCTGGGAGAAGTGACCTGAGGAGTCTGCAGATCCCAGCCCGGGACGGAGGCGCCGCGAGAGGAGCTACTAAGCCCTCCAAGCCGCCCTTTCCCTCTTGCCTCCCCAGCCCAGTTCATCCTGATCTTCTCACCAGCCCAGTTCTCCCTAAGGTCAGGGCCCACAAAGGAACAGGAAGGGGGTTCCGGGACACAGGATCCGGCTTCTCTGGGTATCTTGGAGTCCAGGAAGGATCCTGGAGATCTCCCACTTTATGAAGCTCATCCTCCACTGACTCTGATGGCTTCTCTAGAACCCGAGACCAACTGATAAAGGCGTCCCATCTGGACGCCCTTATCAGTCCTGGGGGAAAAACAAGAGCCAAGGGTGAGAGGTGGCCATGAGGTCAGGGAAACCCCTGCAGAATTCTCAGGAGAGGGAAATCTTCAGAGCTGTGGCTTTGGCTTAGTTTGTCTTCCCACCAGCCACCTGTCCTGGAGCTGGAGATGCTTAAGTTTAAACCAGAGACTTTGGATATTTTCCCTGAGTGACATAATCCTTGTCTTTCTCTCCTGGAATCGTGGGTCCAGACCATCACAGTGATCCAGTCGGCCCCCTCTCCTTCTTCTCTCACTCCAATCTCTCTCCCTGAGCTGGACTCTCCGCCCACCCTCACATTCTGGAAAAGTGCAGTGGTGTGAGCATGGCCCTGGGGCAGAATTGTCTGGGTGCAAACCCGGCTCCATCCCTACTTTTGTGTGATCTTCATTCCTATGGCATTAACTATGAAAGGGAAAAATAACAGGCACAAGCCATGGATGTGTAGTCAGAATAAAATGAATTGGCATTTTTAAAGTGCGAAGACCACTATTTGACACATAGCACAATAAAAGTGTAAAATGCTATCATTCTTGTCATTTCTTTAGGTCCTTTTTCTTGAGGTCTTCCTCTTCTCTTTGGGTTCCCATGAAAATTTACCCTGTTGGAAGTTGATGTCAGCAAGAGACCTCCTCTTGGGAAATGCTGGCTCAGTGTGGGGCCTCCCTTTTAGTAAAGGGAAAAACCGATGGTGGACCAGTAGCTAGTGAGTCAGAGTCCATTTTATTTAAACAAGATCACCTACCTAGAATTAACTCCATTTTGATAAGGACATGCATCTCACAGATAAGCCCAGTGTAATTTATGAGGAGATTGCTTTATTTGTGTAGAACTTACTCTAGTGCTTTTCATAGTCTTGCAACACATTTTGAATCCCTGGTTCTCATTTCACACTGACTGCCTCACAGAGTGAAGACGATGAGAAGTATCTTCATACTATATTCCCACGTTCGTCTATCGGAGTCACAGTCATATATTACATATGCAGATATTTTTCCTAGAAGTTTGAATTTATTGATATAGATTTTAATCTGGAATAGATAGATATTACCTAACATTTTTGTTTTTATTACCTCTAAGTTACACATGCTTAAGTAGTCACTACTGATACCTATGCATTTTCTCCCTTGGCATGTGACATTGACATAAAAATTGTACATTGTACTTTAGTTTTCAGCAATTATTAATTATGTAATTTGGATCATCCCTCCCATTGAGTACTACTGGACAAGTGGGAAAAGGGTACATATTTGAAAAATCTGATGGAAAGTATGAAGGGGCTAACCAAGCAGTAAAGATTTGCCAGGCCAGGAACCAGGAGAAGGCAGAAATCTAGAAGAGCAAGTTGAGCTGCAGGGTTGCTTTTGTCCTGGGTGATGTTGGCTGCTCTGGGCAGTGTCTGAGACCTTTGAGGGCTAGGTGGATAAAGCCTACATCTAAAGGCTGTGGGTGCATATGTGGCACTGTAAATCCCTGGGATAAGGATGGGTCCCAAAGGGCTGACCCATAAGAGCAACACAGTCAGTTCTCAGGAGTGGCAGCTCAATTTTTGTTTGAGTGGTCCAGCAGTTTTCACTGCTCTTATTAAAAATTTTAATTGAGGATCTTCCCAGTGTCATAAAGAAGAAAAGAAATACACTTAAAAAGGTTTGAAAAGAAGGCACAAAACTCTTATAATTTGCAAATGGTAATATGCTGAATGCAGAAAATACAAATGATTAGAACACTCTTGAAGTTAATAAGATGCATATATATATAAATATATATATATATATATATATATATATATATTTTTTTTTTTTTTTTTTTTTTGAGATGGAGTCTCGCTCTGTCGCCCAGGCTGGAGTGCAGTGGCGAGATCTCGGCTCACTGCAAGCTCCGCCTCCCAGATTTACTTAGGCCATTCTCCTGCCTCAGCCTCCCGAGTAGCTGGGATTACAGGCGCCCGCCACCATGCCCGGCTAATTTTTTGTATTTTTAGTAGAGATGGGGTTTCACCATGTTAGCCAGGATGGTCTTGATCTCCTGACCTCGTGATCCGGAAGTTAATAAGATATTTTTGCTTGGTAGGTAGAAGAAATTATAGAGCTGTTTTGCACAGATATAAAATGAAAATTTAAAAAAATTGATTCAGCAAAAGTGCGTACATATAAACTTCTAAAACTAAACCTAACAAATTCTGTACAAGATATCAATTGGGATATTTAAAAAACCCTACTGAGTAATAATAGAAGACAGTAATTAAAGAAGACAGTGAATTAACTGAATCAATTTACCAGGATCCTGGCTTGGATGGTTCAATATAATAATGACATTAATTTCCTACAGGACTCTTAAGAACTCAAACACATCTCAATCAAATGTTTATCAAGCATTTTTGCAACACATAGTAAGCCAATTTTAAGCCTTATATTGAAATATGAAAGAGAAAAAGTAGCTATGACACTCTAAATAAGAATAATAAGCAGAGAGAATTTCCTTAGCAGATATTAAGACTTATGTTAGAGTTATTTTAATTAAGAGAGTCGAGATGTTGAGACAGGGTAGTAAACTAGAACTTGGGAACAGAATAGAAAGCCCTGAACGTATGTAGAGCAGAGGCAACATTACAGATCAGTGGGTAAAGGAAAACGATTTAGAAAATAATTTAACAACAATTGGTTATCTATCTGGAAAAATGCAATTGTACTCATCTCTTGTAAAAAAATGTGATTGTACTCATCTCTTTACAGTAATATAGTAGAATATCTTCATTACTTTAGTGTAGGGAAAGATTTTTATGCAGGTTACAACAAAGTATTAACCCCAGGGTAATCTTTGACAGGATTAAAGACATTAAAGTTGAGCTCCCAGATTATTTGGGGTTTTCCATTCCCCAGTGGACAGCGATAAATGACTAAATGTTCCTCTGGGAAAGTCCTGTAAAAAGAATTTATCTCGGAGTGAATTATAGGGTCCTTTCTCAAGGGCACCAGCCTTCTGCTTATATGAGGGGCTCTGACATATCAGCTGGCTTTGGTGTAGCTACTGGATAAGAATTTCTGAATATCCAGGACTCAAGGTTGGTGACTGCTCAGCAGACCTAGCAGTTTTTATACCTGTATGTGTCACGTGGCACCTTAATACCTTGGTAAGGGGGGCATCCTCTCAGCCCTCCCGGGAGATGTGGTTAGGAGATGTTAAGTAGGTTGCACATAATGGATACATTCCCACTTTTCCGTCTCTCTGAGCTGTGTTCAGACACTTTCCTCTGCAGTATGCCTGTGATAGGGATTCTGTTGATATAGGCTAGTGGTTTTCACAAACTGTTGCATATAGCAAAATCTGGAGAGATGATTTGTTTTAATAAACTCAAGGCTCTAGCCTGTTAAATTAGAATAATATCTGGGCCTGTGTAGTTTTGCTACAATTCCCAGATGATTTTGATACATACCAAATATTGAGAACCACTGCTTTGAGCTACTAGTTTTTAACTTGGCTGTTGATTGGAGTCAAACCTGGAGAGTTTTAGGAACAATACTGTTTCCAGGATCCTACTTTTGATGAATTAGATTTCATTGGTTTTACATGTTGATCTAGACCTGGGGCTATTTAAAATCTCCCACGTGATGGAAAGCGCAGTCAAATTTGAGAAACACTGTGCTAGGCCACAGTTGAATTCGGGTTTTAATTAGCTAACCTGGCTGACTATTAACATCACTCTTAGGTGTTCAAAATAACACATTTAATCTAAGATACTGGGTGAAGATCCCATATTGATGAATCCAGGCCAATCACATCTCATTTCTCCCTATGTCAATACTGAAAGCTATGGGGAGAAATCCCTCCAACCAGTGCTCCTCATCACTCTCTCCGTGATGATGCTCCCATTTAGCCGATCCCAAATAAAAGCCAGAAAGCAAGGCTGCCTTTTGTGGTCCAGCAGGCCATGCAGCACAGTGTCCAGGACACGGAGCAGGGAGAGTACATGGAGCGTGGATCAGGAGTGCACAGAGAAGATACCAGCAGACCTGCCCTCTCCATTGCACTCAAAATCACACTGGATTTCCTAGCTAGTGCAATCAGGCAACAGAATATATCAACTACATGAATTAATAAAAGCTTTAAGCAAAGTCATTGAATTAAAACTATATAAAATTATTTATATTTATACATACCACAACCAACACTGAAATTCAACAAAGAAAGAGATACTGTGAACACTAGCACCATATTTCAAGATCTTTGGAATAAATCTACTAAAAGATGCACAAGTAAAACCAACAATACTTTATTTAAGAGTATTTAATAAGTAAACATTACATGTTCATGAATTATAAGTCTCAATGTGGCAAAATTTGTCAGTGCTCTCCAAATCTGATTACTGAATGAAATCTCTATTAAAAATAAAATTGTTAAAGGTACTTGGAAAGGTGCCTGTCAAGCTAGGAAAGTTGCCAATGATAGAAAAAACACTCCTGAAGTGAAAACTCAAAATTTATGGATTTACTTCATTGTATAGAGAGACATATTATAAAGCCGTGGATTATCTTGGGATGATGAAAATGTTCTAAAATTAAATATGCAGATTTAAAACTCTGAATATGTGAAAAACCATTGAATTGTATACTTTAGATGGGTGAGTAGTATGTGATTTATATCTCAATAAAGTTTAATGAGGAAAACATAATGAGATATTTTGAAAAATGCACTAGAATTTCTATATTAAAATTATTGAGTTTTCCAAACACTGATGAGAATACAGACCATCAAGATCTACCACACATTGCTTGCCACAGCCACTTTATCTAGCAGTGTGGCATCATCTCTTTGAGTGGGATATCATACACATATACCAGTAACTCCACTCCTAGGTGTATAATTTTGACAGATATGTGCCCATTGTGCCAACAGACTAGTGCTAGAAGGCTTGTAACAGCATTGCTTGTAATTTTAAAAAATCTGACAACAAATGAAATGACCATAAACGAGAGAAGGGTTAATTTAATATATGATGTATTTATTCAATGAAATGTTACAAATAATAAACATGAATACTCTACAGACACCTATAAAAACTTAGCAAACATACATTTGATCTAAAATGAGGTCTTGTAAGAATATACACAGCATGATTCCATTTGTATGAAAAATTCAAAATTTATATAAAGTTTGAGATAACCTGTGTTGTTTTAGAAATATATGCATGGGGTAAAGCTTTAAAGAAAGACATGAACAGGATTACTATGAAATCAGAATGAGGGTGAACTCTAACGACAGAAAAGGGATTGTTATTGCTATGGGAATTGGTATGAAAACTTCTGGGTTTTTTTTCTGAGTTTTGTTTCTTTTTCACACGGATCTTCCCTTTAAAACCATGTGTTAAAATGTAAATGTAATTCAAGCCCTTCACTTTTGGTTGTAACTTAACAGTGTAAAACTGGTTTTAAAAAAAGTAATGTTAATTATTTATCTGTAGTTGGAAAAATTAACCTTTACTCACAAAAGAGATGGGTTTCCCCCTACACCACTCATCAGAGAAGAGACCATGAATTGGAATGGGAACTCGGAATTGTCATCATCCTATAATTCTACTCAGGATTCTGTCCTTAAAACATTGGCACACTGCTGTCCAGCTCCCTTCTGTAGTGATGGAATGCCTATATCTGTGCTGTTCATTACGTCAGTCACTGGCCACCCATGAATTCTGAGTATTTGAAATGTGGCTAGTACAAATGAGAAACTGGGAAAACTGACTTTTAAAATTAATATAATTTTAATTGATTTAAGTGTAAATAGTGTCTTGTGGACAAGGCAACATTACAAAAACAAAATGCAGCACCCGCTGTCTCTGTCTTTTTGTTCAGCCATGCATCGTGTGAATGACAGCTTCATTGTTACTAACTTTGAAAAGACCCCATTTCGAAGAAAAATGGAATTTCAGCTTCTTCAGGGGTGAGACTTTCTTGAACTCAGCATCTAATAAAATACCCAAACCACACGAAAGGACCCTGTTTATCTCTGTTCTCTCTGGGTATAGAAAAACATGCTGAATTCTTATTTGTATGCGAAATAAAGGGGTTTTCAATGGGAAATTTTTCTGTAAGGTGAGAAATTTATTCTAAATATAGTTCTCTAATTTCAAATGTTTTATCCAAGTTGCTTATAATTATTACTGTTTGGCTACTATAGTGTAAATATTTTTCAAATCATCTGAAATTTAAAAATATAGCAATATAATTCTATGCTGTGTGTGAAAAGGATTAAAAACAAGGTGAGCCTGTGTTAGCTTGGTAAATTATCACAATATAAGAGTGTTGTACAATGTACCAAGTTTAATGTAAAAGATGATGAACACCTCACACAGCCTGTTAAATTAATCAGAAACATTTCACTGTGAATGTGGAAGGGAAGATGAACAGAATTTTAAACACATTGGGTGTGTACAGAGGATCAGAATCTTGAATTTAGCATCACTTTTATATATTTTTTATTTACTTAGAGAGACTTTAGCACTTACTATGTCTCAGGCACTTTTCTAGATGCTTTTGATGCATTAAAACACATTTAATCCTTGTATCAACTTTAAGAAGTAGCCACCATGCTAATCCCAATTTACGGGTGAGTAGTAACTTTGCGTAACTCCAGCCAAGGGCGTGATAAGCTTTTACAGTTCTTTTGTAGTTTTTATTCCTAAAACATGTCTTTCATTCATCTTTTTTCTAATTAATGTTCAAATGTATCTAGCAACTGGTTATGTTTTGTAGGATAATTTTTTTGTCATTCATTCTACAATGATTTAGCTTAGCATTAAAAGTTTATGGAATTTCCTTTTAGTTTGTAAACTAGAAACAAGGTAGGCATTTACTTCTTGTTGATATTCCCCAAACTTCATTGTACACAACAGCTTCTCTCAAATAGGATCTCACAGAATCAGTTCAAGGTTGAACTCCTAACACTAAAATTTTACATTAAAATTGTATTCTCTGTTGCCCAGGCTGGAGTGCAGTGGCACCATCATAGCTTGCTGCAGCCTTGAACTCCTGGGCTGAAGGAACCTCCTGCCTCAGGCTCTTGAGTAGCTGGGACTACAAGGCATGCATCACCATGCCTGGCTTGGTATTTTCTTTTATCAGATAGCAGAGTGAAGCACTTGCATTACAAAAATAAAATGCATAAAAATTACGATGACTTTGCCAATCTAACATATGACTTCAAATGGTAGTGGTTAAATTAGGAGCCAGTCAGCCACTTTCAAACATGTTTTTCAAAATGAAATTTTAAAGACAGTGTCATTGTTTACTTCTACTACTACTCATAGGTTTAGCTGTGGTCCTGCTATAGAGTTTGTTAAGAAAACTTCCCTGAGTTGTTTTAAATGGTCTTTTGAAAGCCAGACACTGCAATCCTATAATCATTGGAATTGGGAACAAACGATACGTTTCTAGGCTTTATTTTATTATAACTTAAAATCTTAGTGATGGTAGGATTATTTTTCCTTATTGATTTTTTCTAATATATTTAAAGCATTGATAATTGTGTTCAGTCAGTTGTATTTTATGCTGAATCATTTGACCATGTGAGGAAAGCAGATTTTTAGACTTTTAGCCCATCTTGACCAGAGGGATCAGCAAAAACCTGGAATGAAGAATTTCTTCCTGTGCACACCTTTTTTCTTGTGTGCATTGCCCCTCATTCACACTTCTGCACGTTCATACATTTGTGATTGCACTTTTTTGTATTAATTTGGAATCATTTATTAATTCCACAGTCAAGTTAATAAAATGGTTAAAAATAAATTTTACATGAATTTTCTCAAAATTCATTACTTGATCCATTTATTCATTCTAAACCCATGTCAAATACCATTCTTTAAACCTCATCGTGTATTAAAGTTGCTTTCATTTATTAATTCAATCAAATGGCATTGAAATTTGTAGCAAGAGGCATCTAAGAAGGCAGAATGTTTCTATCTGTTCTGGGATTAACAGGGGTAGAAAGATGTGAAAGGCAGATGGAAAAGAGGCCTCAGAGAGGCAGCCCAGATATAATGACACCTGCCTCCCTGGCCAGAAGCCAACTTCCAGGATTCAGGATTCAGGAATAAAGTGTCCCAATATTCAGAAGGTTTCCTGGTCTCTCTTGAATTCAGTGCTCATTTGGCCAGGGCTAAGACCCTCACACACTTTGGTTTGAGGATCCAAGCACAGAATGTGGCTGTCTCTGGGACATTTCATGCTAAAGAAGCCCAGCACGTATAGACAAAGGGTCTAGAGGGCACCAGCCACCTTCCATGGAGCTCTGTTCAAGGCACCTCCCCGTGCTCCATTACTTATGTTGGCCACGTCCTCAGGAGTTTAGAGAAATGGCCGTGTTGTCTCTGAGTGGAAGTGAGGGGAGGACACTAGGATAGTCAGGATTTTGAATCCCTGTGTCCTTTCCCTCCATCTCTACCAGAGACCACTTGTGGAAAAAAAAGACACGAATGTCAGAGGTGAATCCAGGCCCATGGATCCATTGTGGTCAGGGGACTGAAGCCAAGTGGCCCAACAGTGATGAAGTCTATGAGGCCTTGGTCACCCCAAAGCTTCCCCCATTAGGAGCTGCCTCTTACTGCCATCAGGGACCCCAGGAGCTGGACATGGCATTCTTTGTCATTTTTCATGAGGAGCTGGAGAGGTCCCAGAGCATATAGACCTTGATTGAATTGGAACCAGAGAGAAGTCAGGTAAAACTCTCCATTGGGCAGTATAATATGTTTGTTTTAATTTGCTAGAGCTGCCATAACAAAGTACCACACGCTGGGTGACTTAAACAACAGAAATTCATTGTCTCACAGTTCTGGAGGCTGGAAGTTCAAGATCATGGTGTTGGCAGTGCTGATTTCTTCTAAGGCTTCTTTCCTTGGCTTGTAGATATGTTCTCTCTATGTCTTCACATGGTCATTCCTCCGTATCTGTCTGTGTCTAATCTTCTCTTTTTATAAAGACACTAGTCACATTGAATTAGGGCACACTCATATGACCTCATTTTACCTTAATGACCTCCTTAAAGACCTCTCCATATGCAGTCACTTTCTCAGGTACTGGGGGTTAGGACATCAACATGCCAATTTTGGGGGGATACAATTTAGCCCATAACAGTCTGATTATCCTTGAGATTGCATTTTCTAAAGAATAAAATAGAGTAAATCTCTTTGGCTCTTGATACTCTGAAATTTTGTTCTTGCAATGAGAATAAAAAAACGGAGAGCCAAAGGTTGGTGTCACCCAGAAGGTGAGCCCTCCCTAACTCTGGCTGCCCCAAGACCTGGTGCTGTGTCATACCAGAAAGCCTTGCTCCATTCTAGTGATTCCGGTACCAGCCTTTCAACTGGAAAGAGGATGCTTTCCCAGGGGAACAACTTCTCCTGCTGTGCTGGCTTATTTTCTTTGTATTTGGAGGACAAAAAAGTTGATGTAATAAAAAGAACATATTTGTCAAATTTTGGTGGTAATCATTTTGATATCCTTATCAATACCCCATATTGTAATGAATATGTTGGCTTCATTTTGGTGGAAGGGACATGACACTGGTCCTTTTGAGCCAGAATGTTCTAGGCCTTTCCATGGGATTCAGTTTCTGCCATGGTGGATAAGGGGAGAGCTCTTGGTGTAGGGTTTGGTCTTTATAATGAACCATGCTGTTTGGGCAGCGGGTTTATCTCTGGAAGCGTGAAGGTTAGGCAGGAGTGCGATCCTCCTCCCCATTCGAAAGGACAAGGTAGAGCAGGTTCTTGTTCAGGGTGCAGTGAGTGAGAGAAGGGAAAGTGACAGAGCATTCTTTCACCTTTTTGTGACATGCATGCATCCAAGTCTCTGGTGTTTTAAATAATTGAAACTGAGATCTAGTTCCACTTATCTATAAAGTAGAACTGTGGAGAGGGAAGTGTACCATCCCCGCCACTGGAGAGATCCCTGAAGAGAGATTTGTGAGCCCCCATTTTATCGAAAATGACACAAAATTTCATCAAAATAAAGTGAAATTGTGGCTGTAGATGGGGCTTTATTTAGAGCTTCGACTCCCCACCTGCTTCCTAAGACATGATCCTTCCCCAGGATACTATAGAATCACAGGCTTAGACTGGAGGGGTAAGGCGTGATGGTGTTCTTCCTTTCTGGCAGACAGGATGTTTTGGATTGCATGTATTTTCCAAAGATAGCTGCAAAAATATCTAAATATCTTCCATCACACTTGCTTTTCTTTAGTTTGACCCACCACTCCCTCATCAAGAGGTAAGGTCTCTCCACTCTTTAAACATAAGCAGATCTGATATTTGCGCTACCCAATAAAATATGGCAGAAGTATGCTTGTGTCAGTTCTGGGCACTGCTGTTAACCATCCTGCCTGCATCTGGTTCCTTCCATTTCAATCCCTGGACCATGTAACACTCTCAGGCCATCATCTGAACCCAGCCAACACATAGAACCCTATGAGAGATCATTAAAAATTCTTAGTTACTATTTTCATGAATATCCTTCTCTATCCTTCCAATTTCAACTTCCGAGTGTCGTTAGATCCAAAGTGAGAATCTTTTTTTTTTGAGACGGAGTCTCACTCTGTTTCCCAAGCTGGAGTGCAGTGGTATGATCTCAGCTCACTGAAACCTCTGCCTCCCCAGTTCCAGCAATTCTCCTGCCTTAGCCTCCCTTGTAACTGGGATTACAGGCACCTGCCACTATGCCCGGCTAATTTTTTTCTATTTTTAGTAGAGACAGGGGTTTCATCATGTTGGCCAGGCTGGTCTCAAACTCCTGACCTCGTGATCCACCCGCCACAGCCTCCCAAAGTGCTGGGATTACAAGTGTGAGCCACTGTGCCCAGCCAGATTCTTTTTATTCTATCCATTGTGATAATCTCTGAATTCTGATTGGGGAGTTTAATCCATTTACGTTTACATTTAAAGTAATTACTGATAAGGAAGGATTTACTTCTGTAATTGTGATGTTGGTTTTATGCATGTCTTATAGCTGTTTTGTCCCTCATCTCCTTCATTCAAACCTTCTTTTGTTTTTAGTCATTTTTCATTTAGTCGATTTTTTTCTAGTGATATGTTTTAACTGCCTTCTCATTTTCTTTTGTGTATATTTTATGTATTTTTTTGTGATTACTGTGGTATTATATATAACAATACAGTTATAACAATCTTGAACTGAAATCAATATGAAACTCTGCTTCTTTACATCTTTTCCCACCCCTCATTTTACGTTATTGATGTCACAAATTACACCTCAGCAGGCTGGAAGGCTGGAAAGTCATAATGTTGCAGCCTTCAATCTAAAATTTGTAGACCAGGCTGGCAGATTGGAAACCTAAAGTGTAGTTGCTACTGTCATCTTGAGGCAGAATTTTTTCTTCTCTGGGAAGACTCACATTTCGCCCAAAGGCCTTCAAGTGATTCAAAAAGTCCCACCCACATTTTTTAGGGTAATTTCCTTTTCATGAAATCAACTGATATCAGATTTTAATCACAACTGCAAAACACCATCATATCAACATATAAATTTAGTGTTTGATTAAATAACTAGGTGCTATGGTTTGGTAAAATTGACACATAAGACCCACCATCCCAGTCCATGCTTGTGAACTTGGCACCCATTAACATTTTCCTTAAACCTTACTTCGTCTCCAAATAAAAACAGCTATAAAGTCTTACTTTTGCCAAAGATGATACAATTAACTTGCATCCAACTAGAAACACACTAACCCTTTCCACAGAAAAAGATTCTCTTTGATATACTGTAACCTAAATACCATGCGTAATAAAAGTTAACTTTTATTAATAAAAGGGAATTATTGTTAGCACATCTTATGTTTTATTACAGATGATCAGGAAAGATGAAAAGAAAGGTATTTGCTCAATACATGTAAGGATACATACACACAGACATAAATATCATTATAAAAACATAAAGAAGTAATGCTGATAACGTTTACTGTCTTTATTTCTGTAAGTTCTCACATGGTTACAGCTGGTTATTTATTTATTTATTTATTTATTTATTTATTTATTTATTTGAGACAGGGTCTTGTTCTGTTGCCCAGGCTGGAGTGCAGTGGCATTACCTTGGCTCACTGCAAACTCTACCTCTTGGGCACAAGTGATCCTCCTACCTCAACCTCCTAAGTAGCTGGGACTACAAGCACACCACCAAGTCTAACTAATTTTTTGTATTTATTTTCAGTAGAGATGCAGTTTCAGCATTTTGCTCAGGTTGGTCTCACATTCCTAGACTTAAGCAATCCACCTGCCTCAGCCTCCCAAAGTACTGGGATTACAGGCATGAGCCACTGTGCTGGCCACAACTAGTATTTATAAATACTTTTTTGTTGTTTTTCACTAACCATCCCATATTCCCATTGCTTTCAGCAAGTCCCTCAGCTGATCAGGTTTCTTTTCCTGCTTGAATGACTTAAACCTTCATTCCTGAAGGGTATGGGTCATTAGTAGTCCTACCTGACCTGGGTTGTTGTAGTTTTTATTGACTTTAGTTATAGGGCAGAGTATTACTAAGAGATGCTCTAAAAGACCTCCTGTGTTCCAGACATAGTCCTATTTACCGCCATTGTGTAGTAGCTGACCAATTCCCCCTGATGACCAAGACCAATCACCCCAGACAGTGCAGTAACTCCTTCCTTTGTTGATTCAGAATCATGAGGAGCTGAAGGGCCCAGGTGGCTGTCTTAGCTTCCACCTGAATGGTTCATTTCTGTGTCTCCTGTAGGAGCATTCCTCCTTTTGTAAACCTCTAGATCCTGATCCTGTTCCTCTTGACTGGGCAAGATCTCCCAACCAGGGTCTCCAGCACCTCCTACAGGTGTGTTCAGGCTAGCAACAGGTCTGTACTTTTCCTGGAACAGACCTCCCAGAAGAAGGGGCAGACTGCCATCTTTCCTGTTACATAGCCTTCACTGGTGATACCTTCAAGTACTGGAAAATCTGAGGCAACTAGGGACTGGAGCAGGCCCCCAGCAAACTGTAGCAGCCCTGCAGAAAAGTGGCCAGACTGTTAAAAGAGAAAACAAAAGAAGAGAAAAAAAAATCCACTCAAAGGTCAGCAACCTCAAACATTGAGGGTAGATAAGCCCACAAAGATGAGAAGAAATCAGCAAAAGAATTTGATAACCAACCTGACAGAGCTGAAAAACACACTATAAGAATTTCATAGTGCACTCACAAGTATTAATAGCAGAATAGAGCAAGTGGAGAAAAGAATCTCAGTGCGTGAAGACTGGCTTTCTGAAATAAGACAAGAAGACGAGACTAGAGAAAAAAGAATGAAAAGGAATGAACAAAACATCTGAAAAACATGGGATTATGTAAAGAAACTGAATATATGAATGATTGGTGTACCTGAAAGAGATGGGGAGAATGGAACCAATTTGGAAAACATTTCAGGATATGATCCATGAGAACTTCCCCAACCTAGCTAGACAGGCCAACACTCAAATTCAGAAATGCAGAGGACCCCAGTAAGTTACTCCATGAGAAGATCATCCCCAAGATAAATAATCATCAGATGCTCCAAGGTTAAAATGAAAGAAAAAATATGAAGGGTATCCAGAGAGAAAGGCCAGATCACCTACAAAGGGAAGCCCATCAGACTAACAGTGGATCTCTCAGTGGAAATCCTATAAGCCAGAAGAGATTGAGGGCCAATATTCAACATTCTTAAAGAAAAGAGTTTCCAACCCAGAATTTCATATCCAACCAAACTAAGCTTCATAAGCAAAGGAGAAATCAGATTCTTTTCAGGCAAACAAATGCCAAGGGAATTCATGACTACCAGACCTGCATTACAAGAACTCCTGAAGGAAGCACTAAACATGGAAAGACAGTTACCAGTCACTACAAAAACACAATGAAGTACACAGACTAGTGACACAATAAAACAACCACATAAGCAAGTCTGCAAAGTAACTAGTTAACATCATGATGACAGGATCAAATCCATACATATCAATACTAACCTTAAATGTAAATTGGCTAAATGCCCCATTTAAAAGACATAGAGTGGCAAGCTGGATAAAGAACCAAGACTTATCAGTATGCTGTCTTCCATATACCCATTTCACACGCAATGACGTACATAGGCTCAAAATAAAAAGATGGAAGAAAATTTACCAAGCAAATGGAAAGCAGAAAAAAAGCCAGGGTTGCAACCCTTGTTTCTGACAAAACAGTTGTTAAACCAAAAAAGATAGAAAAAGACAAAGAAGGGCATTACATAATGGTAAAGGGTTCAATTCAACAAGGAGATCTAACTATCTGAAATATATATGCATCCTGTACAGGAATACCCAGATTCATAAAGTAGGTTCCTAGAGACCTTCAAAGAGACTTAGAATCTCACACAATAGTAGTAAGAGATTTTAATACTCCACTGACAATATTAGACAGATCATCAAGACAGAAAATTAACAAAGATATTCAGGACCTGAACTCAGCCCTGGATCAAATGGACCTGATAAATATCTACAGAAGTCTTCACCCCAAAGCAACAGAATATACATTTTTCACATTGTCACATGGCACTTACTCTAAAATCGATCACACAATTGGAAGTAAAACACTCCTCAGCAAATGCAAAAGAACTGAAATCATAACACTTGGACCACAGTGCAATCAAATTCAAAATAAAGACTAAGAAATTCACTCAAACCATACGATTACATAGAAATTGAATAACCTGTTCTTGAATGACTTTTGGGTAAATAATGAAATTAAGGCACAAATCAAGAAGTTCTTTGAAGATAATAAGAACAAAGATACAACGTACCAGAATCTCTGGGAAACAGTGAAGGCAGTGTTAAGAGAGAAATTTATAGCATTAAATGCCCACATCAAAAAGTTAGAAAGATTTCAAGTTAACAACCTAAAATCACAACCAAAAGAACTTGAGAACAAAGAGCAAACATATCCCAAAGCTAGCAGAAGACAAGACGTAATAATAAAAAATTAACAAAGGTATTGTCTCCTGAAGGAGACAGAGACATGAAAAACCACTCAAAAGATCTACGAATTCAGGAGTTTTTGTTCTGTTTTGTTTTGGTTTTGTTTTTGTTTGTTTGTTTGTTTTTGTTTTTGTTTTTGTTTTTTTTGAGATGGAGTTTCACTCTTGTTACCCAGGCAGGAGTGCAGTGGTGCGAGCTCAGCTCACTGCAACCTCTGCTTCCCAGGCTCAAGTGATTCTCCTGCCTCAGCCTCTCGAGTAGCTTGGATTATAGGCATGTGTCACCATGCCCGGTTAATTTTTTTGTATTTTTAATAGAGATGAGGTTTCTCCATGTTGGTCAGGCTGGTCTTGAACTCCTGACCTCAGGTGATCTGCCTGCTTCAGCCTCCCAAATTGCTGGGATTATAGGCGTGAGGCCACCGCTCCTCGCCTAGGTTTTTTTTAAATTAATAAAATCAATAGACCCCTAGCTAGGCTAGTAAAGAAGAAAAGAGAGAAGATTCCAGTAAACACAATTAGAAACAATAAGAGGGACATTACCATTGACCCCACAGAAATTCAAGCAACCACCAGAAAATATTATGAACACCTCTATGCAAATAAACTAGAAAATCTAGAAGACAAGGATCAATTCCTGGATACATACACCTGCCCCCTCCATGACTGAACCAGGAAGAAATTGAATCACTGAACAGACTAATAATGAGTTCTGAAATTAAGGCAGTAATAAACAGCCTACCAACCAAAAAAAACCCAGAACCAGATGATTGACAGGCAAATTCTATTAGATGTACAAAGAAGAGCTGGTACCATTGCTACTGAAACTATTCCAAAAAAAAAAAAAAATGAGGAGGAGAGACTTCTCCCTAACTCATTCTATTAGGCCAGCAACATCCTGATACCAAAATGTGGCAGAGATACCACAACAACAAAAAAGAAAACCTCAAGCCAATATTCTTGATGAACATCGATGCAAAAATCTTTGACAAAATGCCGGCAAGCCGAATCCAGCAGCACATCAAAAAGCTTATCCACTACAATCAAGTAGACTTCACCCCCAGTATGCAAGGTTTGTTCAACAAGTGTAAATTTAAAAATGTGCCTCGTTATACAAACAGAACTAAAGACCAAAACCACATGATTATCTCAGTAGATGCAGAAAGGGCTTTTGATAAAATGCAACATCTATTCATGTTTTAAAAAACTCTCAATAACCTAGATAGTGAAGGAACACACTTCAAAATAATAAAAGCCAATTATGACAAACCCACAGCGAGCATCATACTGATGGGCAAAGGCTGGAAGCATTTCCCTTGAAAACTGACACAAGACAAGGATGCCTTCTCTCACTACTGGTATTCAACATAGTATTGGAAGTTCTGGTCAGGACAATCAGGCAAGAGAAATAAATGAAGGTATTCAAATAGGAAGATAGGAAGTCAAACTATTCCTGTTTGCAGATTACATGATTCTATAACTAGAAAAACCCAGTCTCAGCCCAAAAGCTTTTAAAGCTGATAAACAACTTCAGCAAAGTCTCAGGATACAAAATCAATGTGAGAAAATTACTAGCATTTCTACACACCAACAACAGGCAAACTGAGAGCCAAATCAGGAAAGAACTCCCATTCACAAATGCCACAAAAAGAATACAATACCTAGGAACACAGCTAACTTGGGAGGTAAAAGGTCTCTATAAGAAGAACTATAAACCACTGTTCAAAGAAATCAGAGATGATGCAAACAAATGGAAAAACTTCCTATGCCCATGGATAGGAAGAATCTATATTGTGAAAAAGGCCATACTGCCCAAAGCAATGTATAGATTCAATGCTATTCCTGTCAAACTGCCACTGACATTCTTTTTTTTTTTTTTTTGAGATAGAGTCTTGCTCTGTCGCCCAGGCTGGAGGGCAGTGGCGCGATCTCGGCTCACTGCAAGCTCTGCCTCCTGGGTTCACGGCATTCTCCTGCCTCAGCCTCCCAAGTAGCTGGGACTACAGGTGCCAGCCACCACGCCCAGCTAATTTTTTGTACTTTTAGTAGAGACAGGGTTTCATCCTGTTAGCCAGGATGGTCTCGATCTCCTGACCTCGTGATCTGCCTGCCTCGGCCTCCCAAAGCGCTGGGATTACAGGTGTGAGCCACCGCGCCCGGCCACTACCACTGACATTCTTCACAGAACTAGAAAAAACTATTTTAAAATTCACCTGAAGCCAAAAAAGAGCCTGAATAGCCAAGGCAATCCTAAACAAAAGGAACAAAGCTGGAGGTATTACACTACCTGATTTTTTTTTTTTGAGACGGAGTCTCTACCCTGTTGTCCAGGCTGGGATGCAATGGTGTGATCTCAGCTCACTGCAACCTCCGCCTCCTGGGTTCAAGTGATTCTCCTTTTCTCAGCCTCCTGAGTAGCTGGGATTACAGGCACGTGCCACCACGCCCAGCTAATTTTTTGTATCTTTAGTAGAGATGGGTTTCACCTTGTTGACCAGACTGGTCTCAAACTCCTGACCTCATGATCCACCTGCCTCTACCTCCCAAAGTGCTGGGATTACAGGTGAGAGCCACCATGTCCAGCCTATGCTACCTGATTTCAACTATACTTCAAGGCTACAGTAACCAAAACAGCATGGTACTGGTACAAAAACAGACATATAGAGCAATGGAACAGAATAGAGAACCCAAAAATAAGACCACACACCTACAACTATGATCTTTGACAAACCTGACAAAAACAAGCAATGGGGAAAGGGTTCCCTATTCATAAATAGTGCTGGGATAACTGGCTAGCCATATGCAGAAGATTAAAACTGAACCCCTTTCTTACACCATATACCAAAATCACCTCAAAATGAATTAAAGACTTAAATGTAAGATCCAAAACTGTAAAAACCCTAACACAACCTAGGCAATACCATTCAGGACATAGGCATGGGCAACGATTTCATGACAAAGACGCCAAAAGCAAGTGCAACGAAAGCAAAAATTGTCAAATGGGATCTAATTCAACTAAAGAGCTCTGAACAGCAAAAGAAACTATCAACAGAGTAAACAACCTACAGAGTGGGAGAAAACTTTTTGCAAACTATGCATCCAACAAAAGTCTAATATCTATAAGGAACTTAAACAAATTTACAAGAAAAAACAAAACAACCCCATTAAAAAGTGGGCAAAGCATAAGAACAGATACTTCTCAAAAGAAGACATACATGCAGCCAACAAACATGAAAAAATGCTCAACATCACTGATAATTAGAGAAATGCAAATCAAAACCACAGTGAGATGCCATTTCACACCAGTCAGAATGACTATTATTAAAAAGTCAAAAAATAACAGATGCTGGCAAAGTTGTGGAGAAAAAGGAATACTTATACACTGTTGGTGGGAGTGCAAATTAGGTCAGCCATTGTGGAAGACAGTGTGGTGATTTCTCGAAGACCTAAAGACAGAAATACCATTATACCCAAAGGAATATAAATCATTCTATTATAAAAACATAGGCACACATATGTTCATTGCAGCACTATTCACAATAGCAAAGACATGGAATCAACTTAAATGCTCATCAATTATAGACTGGATAAAGAAAATGTGATACATGTATACCATGGAATACTATGCAGCCAGAAAAAGGAATGTGATCATGTCCTTTGTAGGGACATGGATGGAGCTGGAAGCCGTTATCCTTAGCAAACTAATGCAGAAACAGAAAACCAAATACTGCATGTTCTCACTTATAAGTGGGAGCTAAATGATGAGAATGCATAGAGACATAGAGGGGAATAGCACACACTGGAGCCTTTCAGAAGGTGGAGGGTGGGAGAAAGAAGAGGATCAGGAAAAATAAGTAACGGGTACTAGGCTTAAAACCTGGGTGATTAAATAATCTGTGTACCAAACACCCACAACACAAGTTTACCTGTAAAACAGCCTGCACTTGTACCCCTGAACTGAAAATAAAAGTTAAAAAAAGGAACTGATCTGTGGATTTTGCCTGTTGCTGAGTAGGTCTGTTTCAATTATGCAAACCAGCACTGAGAAAATAATCACAGAGTGGTCAGGGGCCCACTGGAACCACTGTGAGAATGGTTCATGGATGTTAGGGCTTCAGGTTTTCTATTCTTCCTAGTTTAATCTTGGTAGGTTGTTTGTTTCCAGGAATTTATCCATTTCCTCCAGGTTTTCCAGTTTGTCAGTACAGAATTGTTCATAATAGTCTCTGACAGTCTTTTGTATTTTTGCAATATCAGTTGTAATGTTTCTCTTGTTTCTGATTTTGAGTCTGTTAGAAATTAAGCTTGAAGTCGCAAAGAAAACGAACACTTGAACAAAGGATTTCTCAGCAAGGCAGTTTTTACTTCTGTGGAAGGGTGCTACCTGTAAGCCTGATTGCCATGAGAGCACCCAGAACAAGGGAAAGCAGGGGTTTTTATTCCTAACGCAAGTTGTTTCTACTATTGTTTCCTGTCTGCATTGGCTGGAGCTGGACTGCGCAGTCTAAACTGATCCCGGTTGACTAAAAACTTTAACTTTCCTAAAAAAGGTAAAGGTACAATGGAGAACAAAGGAAAGGAGGGGGTCGCTTATGGGAAACCAGGAAGACAATAATATTTCTAAATAAGGAAAGGGCATAGGCTGCAAGCTGGGACATGTTTGGGCATGTCTGGTCAGATCCAGGCAGACTACGAGTTAGGCCTTGGTTCAAGTACAAGAACATAGAATGTGTTTATTTATTTACTGTATGTAACAACTACTTGGAGCACAATAAAGAGTCATTAGTAAATTAGAAGATTTGTTAGTATGAAGAGTGAGGGAAACTTAAAGAAAGCTTTTAAGAGGAACTATCTTCTTAACACTTATGTTAAACCAAAAAGGAAAACTTTGGAGAGGAACTTTTATTCTTTACAGCTTCCCCCTCTTGATTTTACAGTTCTTCCTCTTCAAATCTCCTTAACATATCTTTAGTTTGTTACTCTTCTTAATCAGTTAGAAGGGACAACTTATCCGAGTAAGGGGAGGAGAATTGAAAGGGGTTTTGGTAAGAGCCTTTTCTATAAGCCTTTGCACTAATCCACGAATGCAAGGTATAATACAACATTCTACAAGGATAAGTACACTGATTATGAGAGCCAGTGAGGTGAGAACTGAGGACATGAGTCCTTTCCACTTACCAAACCACCTTTCCATTAAGCTAGTGAAAGGATCATTTATTCCAGAGTTTTTAGCTAGTTCATTTGATAAAGCAGTAAGACCTTGTCATGCTTTTGTTATAGTTCAATCAGGGGCAGTATTATCAGGGATAAAAGTACAACATTGAGTTCCAATCATAACACAAACCCTGCCTTTTTCTGCTAGTATCATGTCTAGTGCTATTCTATTTTCCCAAGTCATCTGTCTGGTGGGTCCTAGTTGCTCAGCTATTCCCTCATAGCATCCCTTGTGCAATTAATGAATTATTGCTGATTGTAGTAAATATAATTTATCCAATCTACATTTTTTTTTTTGAGATGGAGTCTCAGTCTGTCACCCAGGCTGGAGTGCAGTGGTGCGATCTCGGCTCACTGCAACCTCCGCCTCCCAGGTTCAAGTGACTCTCCTGAGTAGCTGGGATTACAGTTGCATGCCACCACGCCCGGCTAATTTTTGTATTTTTATTAGAGAAAGGGTTTCACTATGTTGGTCAGGCTGGTCTCAAACTCCTGACCTCGTGATCCACCCGCCTTGGCCTCCCAAAGTGCTGGGATTACAGACGTGAGCCACTGCACATGGCTATCCAGTCTACATTTTTATTGATAGTCACCCACCTGAATAATGACTTAAATCCCGCAGCTATTTGGTTTCAAGCTTTAAATTCATCTGGTACTCCAATAGCATCTATATAAACGCTGGGATCAAAAGACTCACAAGAACACTTCTTGTACTACGATGCCTGGTTGTTAATTCTTTTGGCGAATGAAATGCCAGGGTGAAAGAGATAGCCAATTGAATCAGAGCACAAGTACCACTCCAGTTATTTGGCAGAGTGTCCCACAAAGGTCCACCACAATACCACCATACATCTGCTTGGGGATGGATAAGGGCAGACTGATCGGTTAGCTCTTGGAAGTGCTTGACCTCCCTGCATCCCATGAGGTTTCCAAGGAAAGCCAAATTTTCTCCCTGTTGTGAGAGACACGAAGCAAATTTGGTCCCAGAAGATGGAGGCTGAATGGCCTTCGGGGGCTGACCTACGTGCTGGACCACAGGGAATAGCAGAGAAAGTGTTTGACATGATTTATTACCCCAGGCTGTGGGGTCTTGGAGCAGAGCTACCATGCGGTCCGTATCTGGTCTATTACAAGACCATCTCAGTGGAAAGGGGATAATTTGGGCCTCTGATCTGCTGTGTGCCCAAGCATAACAATCTCTCTTATTTTGACTGTGGATGGAATATTTAATCCATTCCACCCAGGCATTTGCATCCTGAGACCCTGTTTCAATGGCTAGAGTTTGCCTCAGGTCTTTTACTTCTACTACAGCTACTTTGGCTTTGTCACTGAGTATAGGTGGGGTGATGGTTTGAGGAAGATGTGATAGAGAGGTGGAAGGGGCAACTTTCCCGAGATGTTGGCCCCTATGCCATAAATACGACTTAATGAAGGGGAAGAGTTTTGGGATGTTGCAATAGTAATAGTAAGCCAAATAGGATTACATTGGTTATATGGACAATTAGAAGAGGCAATCCCTTTTGTAAGATGGATATATGGCTTTAAGGACTGGCAAAGACTGGTGGGAGCAGTCCAGCCTGGACCTTTGGTGTTCCGTAGGACATTAGACCAAGTATAGCATATGGACTCTGTTTTAAGGGGACAAGAGTCCCATTCCCACCAGTTAATACAACTACTTTTTGGAGTTATCATGATCTTTACAAGAATTTGCTATATCTTTCCAATCTGAGGAAGTCCAAGACGGACGAAGATATTTAAATGAGGCAGTAAGCTCTTTGGTCCTGTAAATTTCCACAAGGCATGACTAGACAAGCATCAAAGGTAATAATTTTGGGCAAACTTGATCTAGTTACATTAATGATGAGATGGGGGCAGTTAAGGGAAAGAAAAGAAGAAAAAAGATAGATATATTAAGTTTTTCTTTTTATCGTTACTCTGGTGGGAGTTGACGGAATAACGGTCCATGTCTCCGGAGAAGGTGATGCCTTCTTGACTTGAGTATAATGAGTCCACCCTTTTTCAGTGGTCTGAACTGCTGTTTCAGTTGTTGTGAGCACCAGATAGGGTCCTTCCCAGGTAGGCTCAAGCTTTCCCTCTTTTCAGCCTTTGATAAGGACGTGATCTCTGGGTTGATGTTGGTGGGCCAGGAATTCAAGGAGTGGAGTCTGTGCTAGGAGACCTTGAGTCCTGAGGGAAGAAAGAGTGGAAGACAGACCAAATACATAATTTCTAAGGAACTGATCTTTTGTTTCGATCATAGGAAGGTCAGTAGTAGTGTTTAGATAAGGTAACCCACAAAGCATTTCATAAGGAGACAGGCCAAGATCCCTCCGAGGGAAAGTTTGGATTGTTAGTAAAGCAATGGGAAGAGATTTTGTCCATGGTAGCCAAGTTTCTAAGATTAATTTGGTTAGATGACTCTTTAAAGTTTGATTCATTCTTTCTACTCTCCCTGATGAAGGTGGAGACCAGGAAGTATGATATTCCCATTTTATCTCTAATACTTGGATTAGGCCTTTAATAATGTGCATGGTAAATTAGGTCCCATTATCTGAATCAATGTTCTCTATTATTCCAAACCTGGGTATGATATGTTCTAACAGAGTTTTGACCACGTTACTGGCTGTTGCACTTGGAAAAGGGATGGCTTCTACCCAGTGGGTAAGATGATCTACTATTACTGGTAAATACTTAAGGCGGCCTATTGGGGGCATTTCAGTAGAGTCAACTTGGACACTTTGAAATAGCCTTAACCTAGGATTTCTTCCTCCAGGAGGTTGTTTTTTTAGGGTCTGCTTATTAGATTTTCTGCACACTATACAACTTTCCACCATTTGCTTGGCGAGGGTGTATATTCCTATGCACCCATAAACCCTAAGGACTGCATCACACATGGTTTGAGGACCCCAGTGAGATCCTTGATGAAGCTGTGACAATATTTCCCTCATAAGAGGTTTGGATAACATTTCTCTTCCATCTGGTAATACCCACTTTCCTTCTGAGTTTTCCTCAGCTCCTATTTTTTTTAGTTTTTCCTGATCTGCTTGAGAGAAGATAGGGAGTGCAGCTGAAGATGGAAGACAAGGGGTTAGTCAAAAAATGGGTTCTGCTGGAGAAGAGGCAGCTTGCTTAGCTATTTGGTCAGTGGGATTATTTCCCTCGCCTTCAAATGAAGGATTCGTTTGATGTCGTGGGACATGTACAACAGCTATTTCTTTTGGCAATTGTAAATTTTCTAGTACTTGTATTATTAGGTCCCCATGGTCTAAAATTTGACCTTTGCTGTTAATGAGGCCCCACTCAGTCCAAATTTTTCCAAAAGTATGGACTACTCCAAAGGCATACCTGGAGTCTGTATAGATTTTTCCTTCTTGATTTGCAGAAATTTTAAGGCCTGATTTAATGTGAACAACTCATATGTTTGTGCAGACCACTCATTTGGTAACCTTTCAGACTCTATTTCTGTGAGGGTATCTCCATCTATCATTGAATACCCGTTATGCATTTTTCCTTTGATTACTCAGGAGGAACCATCTATAAACAGGTGTTTCCCAGTCTGAAAGGGTGTTTCATTTAAAACAGGTCTAACTTCTGTTTGATAACTAATTAAATCTAAACATCTGTGCTCTGGGCAAAGATCAGGGGTCTGTGGGTTGGGGTTTCCTGTTAAGAAAACAGCTGGATTAATTGAGTCATCAGTGGTTAAGGTTAGATCATCTCTTTCTAACAAGATGGCTTCATACTTTAAAATTCTTGAATCAGTAAGCCACCTTCCCGCCTTCTGATTGAGAATTGTTCTCACTTGGTGAGGAGCACTAATGATAAGATTTCCCCAAAGGTTAATTGTCTGCTGTCCTCTGTGAGCAAGGCTGTTGCTGCCACTGATTGGACACACTCGGGCCATCCATGGGCTACTGGGTCAAGAATTTTTGACAAGAAGGCTGTGGGTTGCCAATGGCCTCCATGTGTTTGAGTAAGTACCCCTAAGGCTACTCATTACCTACATTAACAAAAAGATGAAAGGGCAATTCTAAAGAGGGTAAGGCTAGAACATGGGCTGTCACTAGTAACTCTTAATTTTTTTACCTGCTGTATTTCTGGTAAAAACCATATAAGGGGGTCCAATTCATCCTGTGTAAGTTTTTTTATATAGAGGTTTGGTTACTAAAGCATAAGAGTCTATCCATAAGCGACAATACCCTACTAACCCTAAAAATTTTCTAAGTTCCTTCTTTGTCTCAGGCAGAGGTAAGGATATGATGCCTTCAATCCATTCAAATCCAATTCTCTATTTGCCCTTACTGATTAAGTGCCCTAAATACTTGACTTCAGGTTCTACAAACTGAAGTTTGCTTTTTTGACACTTGTAACCCCTCCAGTTGTAAATTATTTTTAAAAAACCTATTGAAAATCCTTCTACTTTTTGTCTATCCTCCCCTGAAATAAGGATATTATCCATGCATTGGAGCAGGCATATATATGGTGGTTTGTAAAACTTTTCTATGATCTGTTCTAGTATTTGACCAAACAAATTTGGAGATTCTGTAAATCCCTGGGGCAAAACTGTCCATCGATACTGTTATTTTCAACCAGAGTGAGGGTCCTCCCATTCAAAGACTATCTTTGCTAGTGGGCAAGCCCAGAAGGCATCCTTTCGATCTATTACTGTGAACCACTCATGGTTGTATGGAATGTTACTAATAATAGTATAAGGATTAGGAACAACAGGGTGAGTTGTTCGAACTATTTGGTTAATAGATCGAAGATCTTGCACTAGCCGATATGACCCATCTGGCTTTTTCACAGGTAGTGTGGGAGTGTTATAAGGAGACATACAGGGTTCAATGAGTCCACGATGGAGAAGGCTTTCTATTATGGGCTTTAAATTGATCTTAGCTTCTAAGGGAATTGGATATTGTTTTCTTTTTACCACTTCCCCCAGCTTTTTCAATTTAACTTGGATTGGGGAAATTCGTAATTTTCCTCGGTTTCCTTCCTTTGACCATACATCTGAATGGATGTATCCCTCATTTAGAGTAGCAAGCAAATTTAAGGAAGGGAGGAGATTTCCTTGATTAACTTAAAGGCCTAGGTTTAATTTTAGCATTAAATCTCTTCCTAATAGGTTTGTTCCTGCCTCCAGGATTAACAGAAGTTTAATAGTTACTGAGTGATTCTGATATTTAATTTTTGTTTCTTCTAAGACTTTTGCTTTAAACCCCTCCCCTTTTGCTCCCAAAATAAAAAGTTCTTCTTGTGACCAAGTTACACCAGGGGGAAGATAACAAACTGAGGAATCAGCAGCTCCTGAGTCAGTTAAAAAGGTTTGGGTCCCACCTCTAAATTTATCAAGGGCTCTTGGTGGGACTCAAGGTAAAAAGAGTAGAGCCCCTGGCCCCCCATTCCTCTTCAAAGATCATAAGTGGGTGATTTCTTTTTCTTTTTTCCATTCAGGGCATTCTCTTTAAAGTGACCTTCCTTCCCACACTTGAAGCATTTATTCTGCCCTATTCCTCTTTTTATTCCCTTGTTCCCTGGTTTGATTCCTTTACCTCCATTATAGAGTCTGACAGTCGGGTACCTAAAAGATTTACCAGTGACATTTCTTTGAGCTGTCTATTGGGGAGTTCCCTGCTGTAAGAACAGCATAATCTTTGCCTTGTCCTTTTACTTTTCTTCATCTCTTCGTACATACACCTTTTGGGCCTCCCTTAAGAGTTCCTTTATGGGACAGTCCTTCCAATTTTCTGTCTTTTGTAATTTCTTGGTAACATCTGGCCAGCTATTTGTGACGAAGTGAAGCTTTAACATTCCTTGTCCAAGTGGGTCTCCTCCATCTAAACCAGCATATTTCCTCATTTGTTCCTTAAGCCTGTTAAAAAATTCCATAAGCCCCTCATCTTTTCCTTGCTGTATATTAAAAGCTTTGGTCATATTCTGGGTGCAGGGTAACGATTCTCTAATTCCTTTTATTATTATTTCTTGCAGGTCTCTCATATTCCTCCTATGAGCTATGTTGTTATTATCCCACTGGGAATCTTGAGTAGGAAATTTCTGTTTGGCTGCAGGGACGTTTTGACCAGGAGGATGCTCACACTCCCAAATGGTCATAGCAGCCCTATGCGTCATGCTCCTTTCTTCCCCTGAAAAAAGAATGCCTATGATGGACATTAACTCAGCCCAGTATACAACTGGAGTCCTAAAAATTGATGAATTTGATCTGTCACTACATAGAGATCATCTAAGAGTGGCTTGAGTTCCCTCTTCAAGCTCCAGACTTCTGAACTGGTCAGGGGAGCATTTACAAAGGCAATGCCCCCTCCTCCTAGAGACACTTCCCTCAATGGGAAGTGGTTTGTAGCTGAACCCCTAGAAGAAGGGAGAAAATGGAAGTTTTGGATATCATTTTTACATTGTTCTAACTCACGTTGAAGTCTTCCTGAGGGAGGGCATTCAAGCTGGGGATGACCCCAAGAATCAGGGTTATAAGGAGGGAAAGAAAATCTGAGTAGGGGAAAGGTCTGGGACTGTTATATCTACTGGAGTGGGAGGTGGGGGATGTTGGTCTACTGGTTGGGGGGAAGAAGGTTTGGTAGGGGAAGGTGGTCTAAGGGGTCCCATGTGTTGGTGGGGTTCTTGGCGTAAGGGGTATTAATTTCATGAGAAGTAGTTTCTGGCTTCTCTCCTTTAGTTTTTAGATGACAAAGGAGGATGGGCCTTTGCCACCAACACAGAGCATAATGTATTTCCTCCTGGGAAACAGGACTTTTATCATTTACATATTGTATTAAAAGCTGGCAGTCCAATCCTCATTTGACCCGAATTTTGGCCAGAAAACTGAAGGCTTTAGAATAGGTTCCTTGGTCCAAATGAAACAATAATACTTTATCATCTGTTGCTTTTTCTTATGTTTAGTCCTCTCGTATACTTCCAATATTTTAACATGAGTCCTAAAGGACTATCAGAGGTGATTTCACTGTCTGCCTTTTCCTTTTTACCTTCTGTCTTACTCAGGGTATTTCCCATGTTGAATACTGGTTAGGCTCAGTCCCTTGAACTAGAGATTTTTCACCTATCCTTCCCTGGAGGTTTAACCCCTATCCTGGAGGTTCCTTGCAATCTTCTCCTTCTGCTTCGTCCACTCTGGCTGCTTTCCCAGAGGAAATTAGGCTCCCCTTAGCATCAGCGGGACTGTATAAACCCCAATGTCAGGATCCCTACAAGAGGGCCACCATAAGCCGTATGAGGTGACCACAGAACCACAGATTGGACTCACTCACTCTGCACAGCAGTAGTGCTTGTTACCTTTCACACCCTTTAACCTCCAGAATATCCCGACCACCAAGGAAATACTGTTGCCCTTGTGACTTTTTTTACCTCAGTCTGTGCACAGTTACCTGGTCATTGCGGTACTTGCAGGCCTTCTCCTTCCACATTGCTGAGAGCCTGGATTTATTCGTCACAATGGGTAGTCTCAGTCTCCCGTCCCTGGGGCCACTGCAGTGGGGCAGTGGGGTGCACCTCCCCTAGATGGGGTGACCAAAGACCCCTTCCCAAAGAAGAATGGGAATAGTGGATGAGCCCCCAGAAAATTGTTAGAAATAAAGCTCGGAGTCACAAAGAAAACAAACACTTGAACAAAGGATTTCTCAGCAAGGCAATTTTTACTTCTGCAGAAGGGTGCTACCCATAAGCCTGATTGCCATGAGAGCACCCAGAACAAAGGAAAACAGGGGTTTTTATTCCTAACGCAAGTTGTTTCTACTATTGTGTCCTGTCTCCATTGGCTGGAACTGGACCACACAATCTAAACTGATCCCAGTTGGCTAAAAACTTAAACTTTCCCAAATAAGGTAAAGGTGCAATGGGGAACAAAGGAAAGGAGGGGGTCACTTATGGGAAACCAGGAAGACAATAATATTTCCAAATAAGGAAAGAGCATAATCTGCGAGCTGGGACATGTCTGGGCATGTCCAGGCAGATCCAGGCAGACTAGGGGACAAAGGAGTTAGGCCTTGGTTCAAGTACAAGAACATAGAATGTGTTTATTTCTTTACTGTATGTAACAACTCCTTGGGGGCACAATAAAGAATCATTAGTAAAATAGAAGATTTGTTAGTATGAAGAGCAAGGGAAACTTAAAGGAAGCTTTTAAGAGGAACTATCTTCTTAACACTTATCATTCTAAACCAAAAAGGAAAACTTTGAAGAGGAACTTTTATTCTTAACAAATTTTCTCTCTTTTTTTCTAGGTTTGTTTAGCTAGTGGTTTATCAATTTTGTTTATGTTTTTGAAGAACAAACTTTTCACTTTGTTGATCATTTACATGGTTTTTAAAAGTCTTTATTTAGTTCTACTATGATCTTTATTATTTCTTTTCTGCTAATTTTTGATGTGTTTTTTTCTTGCTTTTCCAGTTCCTTGAGGTTCATTGTTATATTGTTAATTTGTAATGTTTCTACTTTTCTTAGGTAGGTATTTATTCCTATAAACCTCCCTTTTAGCCCTGTTTAGCTGTATCCCACAGGTTTTGGTATGTTGTGTTTCCATTTTCATTTGTTTCAAGAAACTTTTTAATTTACATCTTAATTTCTCTGTTGACTCAATGGTTATTCAGGAGCATGTTGTTTAATTTCCATGTATTGGTCTTGTTGCCAACATTTCTCTTGGTGTATATTTCTAGTTTTATTCCATTGTGGCCAGAGAAGATATTTAATGATTTCAATTTTTGAAAATTTGTTCAGACTTGTTTTGTGGCTTAACATAGGCTCTCTCCCTGAAAACGTTCCATGTGTTCATGAAAGGAGTGTACATTCTGTAGTGTTAGATAGAATGCTCTATAAATATCTGTTAGCTTTATTTGGTGTAAAATTCTGTTTAAATCCAATGTTTCTTTCTTGATTTTCTATGTAGATGATCTGTCTCATGCTGAGGTTGGGATGTTGAAGTCCCCTACTATTATTGTATTGGAGTCTATCTTTCTTGTTAGATGTAGTAATATTTGTTTTATGAGTCTAGGTTCTCCAGTGTTTAGTGCATATATATTTAGAATTGTTCTATTCTCTTCTTGGAAGGATCTCTTTATGATTACGTGATGGCCTTCCTTATCTTTTAAAAAAGTTGTTCTTGACTTACAGTTTATTTTATCTGCTATAAGTATAGCTACTCCTGCTCACTTTTGGTTTCCATAGATAACCTCTTGCCATTCTTTTACCTTCTGTCTCTATGGATTGTGGTGAGGTGGTATTACCGGTGAGTTTTTCTGTAAGCAGAATGTAGTTAGATCATGTTTTCTACCCATTCAGCCATTCTAAATCTTATAAGTGGAGAATTTAATCTGTTTACATTCCAGATTTTTATTAATATGTGAGGCTTTGTGCCGAGACTAGCTCAGTTGGGAAGACCCTAACCCAGTGGCACTAGAGGAATCAAAGACACACACACAGAAATATAGAGGTGTGAAGTGGGAAATCAGGGATCTCACAGCCTTCAGAGCTGACAGCCTTGAACAGAGATTTACCCCCATATTTATTAACTCAAGCCAGTGATAAGCATTGTTTCTATAGATTATAGATTAACTAAAAGTATTCCTTATGGGAAACAAACGGATGGGCCAAAATAAAGGGATGGGTTTGGCTAGTTATCTGCAGCAGGAGCATGTCCTTAAGGCACAGATCACTCATGCTATTGTTTGTGGTTTAAGAACGACTTTAAGCAGTTTTCCGCCCTGGGTGGGCCAGGTGTTCCTTGCCCTCATTCCGGTAAACCCACAACCTTCCAGCGTGGGCATCATGGCCATCATGAGCATGTCACAGTGCTGCAGAGATTTTGTTTATGGCCAGTTTTGGGGCCAGTTTACGGCCAGATTTTTGGAGGCCTGTTCCCAACAGCTTTGTTCCTATCACATTGTTGTTTTCGGGTTGTTTTATATGTCCTTTATTACTGTCTTTTTCTCTTATTGCTTGTCATTATGGTTTGGTGGATTTCTGTAGTAGGACCATTTGAGACCTTTCTCTTCCTCTTTTGTGTGATTGCTTTACCAGTGAGTTTTATACTTGTGTATGTTTTCATGGTGATAATGTGGAAATGTTGAAAATGTCGTTTCAATTCCAGGTTTAGGACTTTCTTGAGCATTTCCTGTAGGCCCTGTCTAGTGGTAATGAAGCCTTTCAGCATTTGCTTGTCTTGGAAAGATAATTTCTTTTTTCAATTATGAAGAATACTTATGTTTTGTTTATTACTCTTGGCTTGGCAGTTCTTTTCCTTCAGGACTTTGATTATACTATCCTATTCTCTTCTGGCCTGTAAGATTTCTGCTAAGAAATCTGCTGTTAGAGCTGGGCACAGTGGCTCACACCTGTAATCCCAGCACTTTGGGAGGCTGAGGTGGGTGGATCATGATGTCAAGAGATTGAGACCATCCTGGCCAACTTGGTGAAATCCCGTCTCTACTAAAAATACAAAAAAAAAAAAAAAAATTAGCTGTGTGTGGTGGCGTGTGCCTGTCATCCCAGCTACTTGGCAGGCTGGGGGAGGAGAATCACCTGAACCCAGGAGGCAGAGGTTGCAGTGAACCGAGATCATGCCACTGCACCCCAGCCTGGCAGCACAGCGAGACTCCATCTCAAAAAAAAAAGAAAGAAAAAAGAAAAAGAAATCTGCTGTTAGTCTGATGGGGTTTCCTTTATAGGTGACTAAACACTTTCCTCTTGCTATTTTTAGGATTTGCGTTTTACCTTATACTATAGAAAGTCTGATTATATGCCATGGTGAGGAACTTTTTGCATTGTATTTTTCTCAGAATTATTGAACATTTTGTATCTGAATGTCTAAATCACTTGCTAGAGTTGGGAATTATTCATCTATTCTTTCATTAAATAGGTTTTCTAATCTGTTCTTTGTCTCTTTGCTCTTGAGAATACCAATAATTTGAATATTTGGTTGTTTATATTGTACCAAATGTCACAAAGGCTTTGCTCATTCTTTTTTTGTGTGTGTTTTTGTCTTATTGAATTATTTCACTATGTATATCTTCAAGTTTTGGAATTCTTCCTTCTGCCTGACCTAGTATGTTGTTGAAGCTTTCAAATGTATTTGGAATTTCATGTCATGAATTCTTTAATTCCAGAATTTCTGTTTTTTTTTTTAAATCTATATCTTTTGTAAACTTCTTATTTGTATCCTGAATTATTTTTATGTTTTCTTTGTATTTTTTTCAGAATTCTTTTGTATCTCACTGAACTTCTGTAAAATGAATGTTTTGAGTCCTTTATCTAGAATCTTGAAAATTTCTTTTTGATTAAGATCTATTGTCTTCCTTTGCGGCTTTTTTTTTCTTTTTTGCTTTTTCATGTTTCTGTGTCCTAACGTTAATATTTTTGCATCTGATATAACAGTCAGTTCTTCCTATTTTTGAATTTTGTTTCATAGTGGAGAGCATTTTCCTGAAGATGAGTCTATGGTGTTGGTTGCGTGGGGTACTTTGGATTTGATTCTGGGTGTAGTACATAGTAGAGTACTATGGCCTCTGTATAATTTCTTTGGCTGTAGACAGTGTTAATGGTATCTGTGATTTCTTCTGTGCATTAGGGTGTGGTTATTAGTGAGGCTGTGGTGAAAATGTGCTGGGGACTGAGATGCCACATGAGACAGTCTTCAGGCTCCAGTGGTGGCAGTGGTGTGCTGAGTGTTCCTATCTTTGTGCCCCAAGGTGGTATATACTGGCATTTGTGTTGGTGGTTACTGGTGGGCTGATTCCTGGGCTTCCAGGTGGCTTGCTTGGATGGCAGTAGTGGCAGTGGTTGACTGGGTAGGTGCTGGGGACTTCGGCTCCTGGGCAGCCAGCTTGGCAGTGGCAGTGGTGGGCTGCTTCTCTGGGTCCCAAGCAGTGTGCACTGTTAGCGGCAGATGCGATAGGCTGGGTGGGATGCCCATAGGTGGTGTTTGCAGGTAGGTGACAGCTAAGGTGATTGCATCCAACCTCAGGTACCCAGGAGGAGTGCACAGGTGCCCAAGGTGGTGGATTGGGTTGAGGAATTCCCAGGCCCTGGGGCTGTGTTCTCTGTCTCAGTGGGAGGGGGCGATGAAGTTGTCTCTTCATCATTAAATGCTGTGCCAACTAGTCCCTTAATTTTCTTTTTGCCTAGAGGACTGAAACATTTATTATAGTTTAGGTCTGCTGGTTATTTTTTCACTCCCTGTATGTCTAAAATCCATTTGTTTGTTTGTTTGTTTGTTTGTTTATTTTTGAGACAGAGTCTCACTCTATTGCCCAGGCTGGAGTGCAATGGTGTGATATTGGCCTACTGCAACCTCCGCCTCCCATTTTCAAGTGATTCTCCTGCCTCAGCCTCCTGAGTAGCTGGGAATTACAGGAGCATGCCACCATGCCTAGCTAATGTTTGCATTTTTAGTAGAGACGAGGTTTCACCATGTTGGTCAGGCTGGTCTTGACTCCTGACTTCGTGATCTACCTACCTCGGCCTCCCAAAGTGTTGGGATGACAGGCATGAGCCACCATGCCTGGCCTAAAATCCCTTTATTTTTTGATAGATATATTCAAGGTGTGTTAGCTTAATTTAATCATTACATAGGGTACACATATATCAATACATTAAACAATATCTCACGAATGTATTATACTTTGTCAATTAAAACTATACATATATATTTGAAAAAGGCATTATTTTCTGGGAATAGAATCTAGTTTCACAGCATTTTCCTTTTAGGACTCTAAAGATGTTGCTCATCTGTCTCCTCATTTGCATTGTTTCCAATGAAATAACTGCTGTCATCTTTATTATTATTCTTATTTTTTCACTTTCGCTTTTTCAATTTTCTCTTCTTCTGTGGTTTTCAACAAATACGTGCTTTTTTTTTAACCCAGAATTATAGAGTGAACGTGAGAAACAATCTCTAGGGAGGGCTTTTTGACTATTGCTTGTAAATTTTTAGAAACAGTTGTTTGCTCCTTGTTTTATTAGATCACAGGCTAATTTCCTCAGAGTATTCTTATATTGAAGAATGTCATAATTAATTTTACTGATCATCCCTAAAACCATAAAAACCCTAGAAGAAAACCTAGGCAATACCTTTCAGGCCATAGGCATGGGCAAGGACTTCGTGACTAAAACACCAAAAGCAATGGCATCAAAAACCAAAATTGACAAATGGGATCTAATTAAACTAAAGAGCTTCTGCACTGCAAAAGAAACTACCATCAGAGTGAACAGGCAACCTACAAAATGGGAGAAAATATTTACAATCTACCCATCTAACAAAGGGCTAATATCCAGAATCTACAAGGAACTCAAACAAATTTACAAGAAAAAATCAAACAACCCCATCAAAAAGTGGGCAAAAGATATGAACAGACACTTCTCCAAAGAAGACATTTATGCAGCCAACAGACACATGAAAAAATGCTCATCATCACTGGCCATCAGAGAAATGCAAATCAAAACCACAGTGAGATCCCATCTCACACCAGTAAGAATGGCGATCATTAAAAAGTCAGGAAACAACAAGTGCTGGAGAGGATGTGGAGAAATAGGAACACTTTTACACTGTTGGTGGGACTGTAAACTAGTTCAACCATTGTGGAAGACAGTGTGGCAATTCCTCAAGGACCTAGAACTAGAAATACCATTTGACCCAGTGGTCCCATTACTTGGTATATACCCAAAGGATTATAAATCGTGCTGCTATAAAGACACATGCACATGTATGTTTATTGTGGCAGTATTCACAATAGCAAAGACTTGGAACCAACCCAAATGTCCATCAATGATAGATAGGATTGAGAAAATGTGGCACATATACATCATGGAATACTATGCAGCCATAAAGAAGGATGAGTTCATGTCCTTTGTAGGGACATGGATGAAGCTGGAAACCATCATTCTGAGCAAACTATCACAAGGACAGAAAACCAAACACCGCATGTTCTCACTCATAGGTGGGAATTGAACAATGAGAACACCTGGACACAGGGGGGAACATCACACACTGGGGCCTGTCGTGGGGTGGGGGCAGTGGGGAGGGATAGCACTAGGAGATATACCTAATGTAAATAATGAGTTAACAGGTGCAGCATACCAACATGGCACATGTATACATATGTAACAAACCTGCACGTTGTACACATGTACCCTAGAACTTAAAGTATAATAATAAAAAAAAATTTATTGGTCATCTTGGCTAAAGCGTCGTGCCTGGATAAGTGGTCAAGCATTATTCTGGATGATTTGTGAGGATGTTTGTTGGATGAGATTAACACATAAATAGCCAGACTTTGAATAAAGTAGATTAATGTCTATAATGTGGGTGGGCTTCATTCAATTCACTGAAGGTGTAAATTAAACAAAACACTGACCTCCCTTGAGCAAGATGGAACTCTATAGCAGACAGCCCTGGGATTTGAACTGCAGTATCAGTCAACTGACCCACTAACAGCTGGTTGGTTTGTGTACAGCATTTGCAAGATGAATGGACAACATAATGTTTGGAAATCCACCTCTTTGATCAAAGAAGGTAAAAACAGAAAAGCTGTTGTGGACTTAATTGCATGGTGTTTTCTTAGCAGTGGTGGAAGAATTGAACAATAATAAAGCTCCTACGTTTTAGTTTTTACTGACTTACAGGGAGTGACTAATGTCCTGGCCGTATGATTAATCAGGAGAGCAATGAAAAACTTGCCTATGAAAAGAATGCCCATGTGAGCCAAGTCCCAAGGAAATCACTATGGTAATTTGAGGGGTTCATTAATGTAAGATCTGTTGATACCTGATATAGATTGGATGTTGTTCTTGTGCAGATCTCATGTCGAGATGTGATCCCCAGCATTATAGGTGGGCCTGGAGGGAGGGAGGTGGTTGGATCACGAGGTCGGTTTCTCATGAATCGTTTAGCACCGTCCCCTCAGTGCTGTTCAGTGTCCCTCAGAATAACTCCCTTCCAGGTTTGGAAGGTGATTGAAATCAACAAGAATTTATCTCCAAGTGTTTGCCAGGTGCACTTGTAATTCCAGCTATGAGAGCGGCTGAGGCAGAAGGATATCTTGAGTCCAGGAGTTAGAGTTTAGCCTGAGCAACATTTGAGGCCAGCCAGGGAAACATATCAAGACCACATCTCAAAAATAACAACAAAAAAAAATCCAGGTTTGCTTGTGGTGATCACCTGAGTCCATGAAATAAGTAGACATTGGGGCTGTAGCAATGCAGAGATAGGTGGAATCAAGACATAGTCCTCTTGCATTCCACACATCACAGGCACAAAATACATATAAGAAGTCCTTTCTTTAACAAAAAAAAGAGAGATAGCATATGGCTATGTGGCAGATTCTTTTATGGGAGGGCCTTGAAAATACATAGCTGGCGAGTTAGACTGATACCAGTAGCCCCAGGAAGCAGCAAATGGGTCTTGGCAGGAATAGATCCTCACCCTGGAGTGGGCTTTGTTCAGCTGGTGGTAGGTGTGTTACCAAACTGAACTGGGGTCCACTCACCTGGGGCAGTAAAAGCAAACATCCACACTGAGATTGTAGTGGGACAAAGGAGGGCATTTACATGTAGGGCGCCAAACAAGGAGAATCAGGCAGCTCACGCTTAAGACCCAACCTTTTTGATGGCTCACAAGCAAGAATTTTTAAAGGCAGGGGCAAATTTCGGGAAAGCAGAGTTACAGGCAACATCATAAATCAATGCATAGCAGTTACACTGCTTTGGCCTTAAAAGGTAGAATATCCTGATGAGGGAGCTTACAGGTCTTAGGTAGATTTAAAGATTCTCTGATTTGTGATAGATAAGGAAGCAAAGCTTCTTTACACAGCTTCCTTACACAGTTGGGGGCAGTAGAGAGGAATGTTCAGGCCTGGCCTGTGGGCTTGACTCTCTCCAGGTCCCTCAGGAAGAAATTTAGAACAAAGAACGGCGGTCAGAGTTCAGTTCTCAGTTTCCCCTTTATAAGGTCTCCCTGTCAGTGGATCTATTAGGAGGGAATCCATGTTTCTGAAAAACAACTCAGGGACATATGTTAAGATGTTATTTTTAGTTTCTATAGAGAATGAAACATCTTGTGACTCTAACTTCCTTGGCTATTGTTTCAAGCTATCATTCCTTCTTGCTTATAAGGTCACTCACTTACTTTTTAGGGCTGGCTAGGTGCCTGGAATTTCTCTTGAAGGGACTGAAGGTTTTTCTTTATTTCTAGATTGGGAGGCCCCAGCAGGCTTCTAAAAGAGGTCCCTGCTTTATCTCAGATGCAAATGCTCGAGTGTTACAAAAGAACTTGAATGGGAGGTACTGCAACCATGTGGACCACCGAGTCATATTTCTTTACACCAGAAAATGCACCTGCTCAAAATGTCCAACAATGGTCACAGAGAGATATCCTCCTCAGAGGAAGAGTTCCATAGAGAATTAAAATAGTCAGTTGGATGTGTAAAGGAAAGAGTGGGGAAACAAGCACAAAGGGTGGGCTTATACACCTTCATGAGTGTGCTCACACTTGACATGAGAGTATCCTCTCTTTTCCTGGTGGATCAGGGGAAGGTGCTGGTGTGATCTACACATATTCCTTCCCAAGGTGGGAGGACACTGGAATGATGACTGTAATTCACCTCAACTTGCTTTTCTCATACCTGATGCAGTGGTCCCAGGACTAGGGATGCAAATAGAGTTCAGAAACAGGAATTATTCCTGAGCAAGAAACTGTAAATATATTTTATGTCCATTATGTAATAATTCCTAAGAGCCTGTAGAAGTAGGTTGTGCCTTCACTGCATCTGGCAAAGTTGGGGCTAACACTGAATGCAGCTGTATTGCCTGGGGTCAGATAGCCAACCAGTTCTCTACCTGCATAACCCTACCCTCTATGAACTGGAATGGATGACGGGAGACACTTGCTAGAACAGTATTGGTCCCTGCAGTCTCAGCCAGCACAGCAGCAGAACCTAGTGTTCCTTCCAAAATTATAAATGTTTAGTATAAATGAAGGGAAGGAGAAATAGTAGCTGAGGGTAAATGAATGAATAAATGGGTTATGTAATGAGGAAAATCCAATGTTACATGAACTACTTGAAAAAGGTAGAAGCAAGAGATGATATTGTCTCTTAGCTCAATTTTACCAGATGCCTGAAAGCGTTCAGTCATATGTTGCCGAAACTATTCCTGTTTATGGATTGCACTGGGATAATTGTTAATGACCAAAGAGGATTCTGGTAATGTGCCAGGATCTTTTCACTGTTATGATTCTTCTGGTGTAGGAGATCTGTGATTGGCCAGGCACAGTGGCTCACACTTATAATTCCATCAGTTTGGGAGGCAATGGTAGGAACATTGTTTAAGTCCAGGAGTTTGAGACCAGACTGGGCAGAATAGTGAGACCCATTCCTACAAAATATTTAAAAATTAGTTGGGCATGTTGGTGTGCACTTGTAATGCTATCTACTCAGGAGGCTGAGGCAGAAGGATCACTTGAGTCCAGGAATTCAAGGTTAGAGTGAGCTATGATTGTGCCACTGCATTCTACCCTGGGCAACAGAGCAAGAGATTATCTCTAAAATAAAATAATAAATATTATAAAAAGAGATAATGTGGTCAAAACCAGGGTGTGATCTGTGGTCCAATAAAAATATTTGGTCTTTTCCCTGTTTCCTGACAACCAGGTTCTAAAACATTTGCAATCTCCTCAGTGATAAACATGACTTCAACATGGCAATGAGATGACTATGGGGTGAGGGGCTCCTAGATAGCTTCAGGATGGGGACTGGTTGCCAGAAACACGAAGCTGTGATTAGAGGATTGGAACTGTTAGCCCCATCCCTAAAGTCTGGGAAGGAAAGAGAGGCTCGAGGTTGAGTTCAGTCACACAATGGCCGGTGATTTAATTAATCATGCTTACACAATGAAATTTCCATAGAAACCTCTGGAGATTGGGTTTCGGAGAGCACATCTGTGTGTCCACATGCTGGGAGGATGGTGAGCCCCATCTCCGTGGGGACAGAGGCTCTTGTGCTCAGAGCCCTTCCAGGCCTCACCCTGTGCACCTCTTCATCTGGCTGCTCATTTGTATCCTTTATAACTGCTATGGTTTGAATGTTTCCCCCAAAAAGCACCTGTTGGATATTTCATCCCGAATGCAACATTTTTAAGAAATAGGACTTTTGAGAGGTGATTGGACCATCAGAGCTCTGCCTTCATTAATGGATTAAGGCTCATCATAAAAGGACCTGAGGCTGTGAGTTTGACTTCCTTTCCCCCCACCTCTCATCCTCTCTTGTCCTTTTGTTTTCTACCAGATAGAGTCCCTTGATCTGGGAATTCTCATCGTCGACACCATGAACGAAACAAATTTCTGTTTGTTAAAAGTTATCCAGTCTCAGGAATTCTGCTCTAGTGGCATAATTTAAACCAGGGGTCCTTAACCCCCGGGCTGCGGACTGGTACAGGTTCCTGGCCTGGTAGGAACCAGACTGCACAGCAGGAGGTGATCAGTGGGTGAGAGAGCATGAGCATGACACCAGAGTTCCGCCTCCTGTCAGATCAGTGGCGGAATTAGATTCTCATAGAAGCATGAACCCTATTGTGAACTCTGCATGCAAGAGATCTAGGTTGCATGCTCCTTATGAAGCGCTAATGCCTGATCATCTGAGGTACAACAGTTTCATCCGAAACCATTTCCCTCTGCCCTCCACCACCTCCACTAGTCCATGGAAAAACTGTCTTCCATGAAACCAGTCCCAGGTGCCAAAAAGGTGGGGATTTAAGCTATAACAATAAAAAACTGCAATACTGAGTGTGAAAAGAAAATAAAATTTCAGGACTCCAAATTCACTATACCAAAAGGAAAAATTAAGTTTGGAGACTGATGGAAAAACTGCCTTTCTTTCGTTCCTAAACAAATAACTGCAAAGATAGAAGACCACATATCTCCCCAGGTGGCCTCCCTCACAAACTGCTCACAAGATAATTCCTTGTGGGCCCCAACGTGTTTACCCTAAAACAGTTTTGTTGAATTTTCCCCTGACAATGTAAATTAACAGCTTATCTTCACAGGTACAGGACAAAGACAAGACTAGAAATCATCCCTCCACCCACCCAGAGTCAAACGCATATTTGACTTTTCCACCCAATGTTTACTTTATCTTATTTAAAATGCAGATTTACTGAGCATGAGATGAATGCATAGTTGACTATTTTTTTCCTCTCCTGGCTGCTCTTTCCCCTGTACACATTGAAGTCCTCAAAAGCCTGTTAGGAAAAAGCATGGGCCACAGATGCTACAATGATTTGTGTCTCTGTTTCCAAGGTGCATCTTCAGCTTGGTGAAATAAACTTCTAAACTGACTGAGACCTGTCTCAGACGTTTTTTGGTTTACATGGCTATAGCAACTTCCTGAGTTCTTTGTGTTAGTTTAAGAATTCTCAATCCTTGGGAGGTGAGAAACCCCTGACTTTGCAGCCATGTTAGACAGAAGTGCAGGTAACCTGGGACGTGATACTTGTGACTTGCTTCTGAAGTGAGGACAGACTTGTAGGACTGAGCTGGTAAACCTGTGGAGTCTGAGGCGAACTCCAGGTAGTTAGTGTCAGAATTGAGTCAAGCTCTAGGACTCCCAGCTGCTGTTGGAGAATCAGAAAGTTATTTGGGTGGAAGAAAACCCCATCACCATCCCACAGAGAGAAACTTATAGTAAGAGTAAGCAAGTAAACCTCTACCTTCTTCGGTCCCAGAGGAAAAGATAAACAAATGTAAGCATTTGTTTCATGTCCCTAAACACAGGTTGCTACCAGCTGTTCATTGTCTAGACGTGGAGTGGTCCTACCTTTAATCTAGAAGTTAGGATTTTTTAGGCCTTTGAGGGTGTCACATAAAAACTAATAAATGTTAGAGATTCTCTCCCCAGAAATATTTCCACACACAAGAAAATATAAATATTAATAGAAAACATCGTGTGGACCCAGAACCTCTGAGATCTTACAAACCTGGGAGTTTTAATCCTAGTAAGAGTCATGCTGAGGGAAGATGTTTGAATAATCATTTCATCATTACAGAATGCCACTCCAATAATCTAGAGTATAAACTGGGATAGACAAAAACTTGATGTAAACCTATCCTCAAGGGAATGGGTGGAAATATGTTATTTATTAGTCACTGGTTCATTCAGCCACTCTTCGTGCCTACTGGGTACCAGATAAAGTTCTCGTCCTGGATCACTGCTCCAAGAATTAAAATTTGTCACTTTTCCCCACCCCTCACACTCCAGCACTTGAACCCGCTTACTACATCAGAATTCCACACTGTCAATGAAAAGAGTCAAACTCAGTAACATATTTAAAGAGATTTATTCTGAGCCAACAATGAGTGACCACAGCCCATGACACAGCCCTCAGGAGACCCTGAGAACATGTGCTCAAGGTGGTTGAGGCACAGGTTGGTTTTACACATTTAAGGAATATATGAAACATCAATCAAATACATTTAAGCTATACATTGGTTCGGTCCAGAAAGTTGGAACAATTTGAAGCAAGCAAGGGTTGCGGGGTAGTGCTTCTGGGTTATAAGTAGATTTTTAATTTTTCTGATTGGCAATTGGTTGAGTTATTGTCAATAGAAAGGAATGTCTGGGTTATGATAAAAGGTTGTGGAGTCCAAAATTCTCATGCAGATGATGCCTCCAGGTGCCAGGCTTCAGAGAGTATAGATTGTAAATGTTTCTGATCAGACTGAAGGTCTGTGTTGATGGTAAATGCTGGTCAACTTTTCCTGAATTCCAAGAGGGAAGAGGGCATAATAAGACATGTTCAATACCTGCTTCCCTTGGTGGCCTGAGCCAGTCTTTCAGGTTAACTTTTGAGCACCCTGGCTGAGGGTGTCCATTAAAATGATTGGGAAGGGGTGGCTTTGATGTTTATTTTTGGTTTACAACATGTAAAATGTTGAGAGGAGACAGACACCACCTCCCTCCCTGGAAGAGGACAACAACACTCCAGTCACCCCTGCAGTTGCTCATGGACATGAGTTTTAAGCTCCACCAGTCTGATGACCACCTGCTGAAGAGGTGTCATTGTCTCAGGTAAATACTAAGTGTTCGTCATCTCACGCCAAGAAGATTAAGGACACTGACACACGAGGAGTGAGTTAGGACCAAAGGGTTTAATAGGCAAAAGAAAGACAAAGGGAAACAGCTCCTTCTTGTGAGAGAGAGGGGCACCCAAAAGGGAATTCCGGCCTGGAATGGGAGTGCATCGGATTTTACAGGCAGGCTTGAGGAGATGGTGTCTGATTTATGTAGGGCCCACAGGTTGGTTGTACCAGGTGTGATATTTACATAGTGCGTGTGGAAGGCTGTTCACCCCACCCTCATCCTATTATGCAAATGGGCTTTCCACTTGGCTGGTGACATGTTGTCTGCTCCTTACTGTAAACGTGCCTGGCAAAGAGAAGGGAAGATGGAGCCGCCATTGTGAACATACCCAGTCCCAGGCGTCCTATTCCTATTGGACAGCTGCTGGCATTCACCCGTGCAAACTTCCAGCTTACTTGTCTATGTCTGAAGCTTGATATTACAGGCTGCTCCTTGTTAGAAAAGAAAATAATTTGGAGCCTGCTTTCCATTAAAAGCCTTGCGTACCCTCACTACCTGTCTAAATAATTTCTTCTTAACTCCTATATCACTGCCAGACTCAGCCAGAATGAGGTGACAGAGAGGCTAGGACTGTGCAGAAAGCATTTTAGTAAAGATGGCTGAGTGACAGTAGTGATGTCCAATTTCCATGTGCAGCAGTGACATCTGTCCTAGCCTCAGGGTCCAGTGTCCAGGACCAGGGTGTCAGAGGTGTGAGCAGTGGCGTCTGTGCTCAGCAGCAGGGGCAGTTGTTCCTAGGAGGGACCTGATCCAGGGTGGGCTGTGAATTCTGTTCCCGGATGTGTAGTTTCCAGCCTGCTTCTGTAGCCTTCCCCACAATAAAACTAGCCCCCAATACCAGATATACGACTTTCTGTGTACATTACAGAAATGTGGTTTCCATAGTTTTCTCCAAGAAGTGAGTGAGAAATGAGTCTGCGGGCGAGTGTCAGAGAGCGGCATTCAGAGGTGTTCTTTGTGCGAGAGCCACATCCTGAATTGTCTACCTGGCCTCTACCCCATGGTGGAGAGAACAACAGAGAATATCACCTCTCATAACTGATGATATACAGCCTCCCTTTTCTTTCTGTGAGAAAAATCCTCTTTTAAACAGGGTTTGAAAACCCACCCCACCCACCCACCCTGGGCACTCTCTGATCACTGATCTCAGTGGCTCCCAATCTGTCTGAGCAATAGGATTGCTGGCGGGGACTTAGAAAATACACAGGCCACTCCCCAGAACCCTTGTCTCAGAGTATTATGCACAAGACCAAGGAATCATTTATATGACAAGCCCTAGAGGCGAGGCTGATGCTCAGACATGTGGGATCCTGGTGCTCTTGCTACTCCAAGTGTGATCTGGAGACCAGCAACATGAGCTCCAGCCTTGTCATAAATCCAGAATCTCTTGCTCAACTCCAGACTTCCTGGATCTCAGCACCACATCCAGGTGATCCTGGTGCACATGGGGGTTCCTTGTCTGAGTGTCCTCTAGACGTGGGACCAGAACTGTGCAGTCTGCTCTGGGTGTGGTCTGATCACACCCCTTAGAACTGGTCCAGGGTTCAGTCCTTGTGCTCATTCTTTTCCATAGTCAGTCACTCCCTTGGTGCTTCATCCATGCCTGAGGTTTTAAGTCTCATATATATGGTGTGACCTCCTAAATCTATTTCTCCAGCCCAGTCCTTTCCCCTAAACTCTGGAGTTGTCTGTCCAAATTCCACCCCAGCTCCCCCACCTGCCTTCCTAGTAGACATCTCCTCCACTGAGTGCCTGTGATGCCCCCTCCTCAGGACGCTCCTGCCAGAGTCTCCCCATCTCCACTGACAGCAGCTCCATCCTTCTACTCACTCATTTTACAACTATGGGTGTCCTTGATTCGTCTTTCTCACACCACAGATACAATCCATTGGCAAATGCTGTGAGTCCATCTTCAAATGCATCCAGAATCCCCTCACGCCCCACTATTTCCCCTGCTCACGCCCCAGTCAAGGAAACCGACATCTCCAGCCTGGAATACTGCACTCGATTCCTACTGTTTTCCCTTCTGCCTCCCTCGTCCCTCGCCTCTCAATTCTGTTCTCAGCACAGCCGTCAGAGAGATCCTTTTAAAACAGAAGTCATATCATGGCTCTCTTCTGCTCAAAACTGTCCTCTAACTCCCCATCCCACTCAGAGCAAAGGCCAGATCCAACCCCACTCCCCTCAAGCCCACCTGTTCTGGCCGCACCTCTGACCTCACCTCAGTTTCTCTCCGTCCAGCCCTCCTGGCCTCCTTGTTCTTCTGGGAACACAAACACCTTCCTGCCATAGTGCATTTGGACTGGAGCTTCCTCTGCCTGGAAAGAACTTCCCCAGACATCCTCATGTCTCTCAAATCTTTCCTCAAAAGTCACCTTTGCAACAAGGCACACACTGACTACCCAGCACAACAGCCACCTTCCCTGTCCCCACTGCCCACATCCTGGATCACCTGCCTCACAGCACTTACCACCTTCTAGCACTTTCCTTCCTTACTCTGGTTATAATGTATCTATCGTCTGCCTCTTCCCACTGGAACATATGCTACAAAAGGCCAGAGATTTTTCTTTTACTTCAGTGGTGTTCCCCAGATGCAGAACCATTCTGTCCTATGTCTGGCCAATGACAAAGGTCAGTTGAATGAATGATCACTGTAGAGCACCTCCCTATTTTGAAGGCAGTATCTTTATTAACATAGCCTCAGGCCAAGTGCTGTTTTGTGGCAGCTACAGCACAAGGACCCCTCACACTGAGATAGAGGCCGCCTATGTTTTTCTCAGCAGTGCTGCTTGTGTGCCCTCCCTCCCCATCCCTCTTTCGACAGCAACCCCCTCCCCGCACCCCCTGCCCCAGCACACTGCAGCACACAATCAGGTTCTCTCTTCAGGAAAGAACAGTCCTTGATGACGGGTCCAATTTCACAGACAAATGTAAGTCTAAATTAGACTCTGCTTTACAGATTCATGAGTTGGGATTGGATTCAGCACCAAGATCACTAGAACCAGGGCAGGGAGAGAGGGCAGAAGAGCAGAGCAGAAAAGGAGCTCTAGAAGCAGAGCAGGAGGTGAATGGCTCTGAAAATTTGTCTCAGAATGCACAGAGACCCCCGTGTGCAGGGGCCGCCCTGGGCGATGTGTGAGCCTCTGTGGTCACAGCTCCCACTGGACAAGTTTCCACTGAAGGGACAAGGACAATGGAGCAGTGAAGGTGACCCAGCTGAGGACTAACCACATAAAGCCCATGATGGACTCAACACCAAATGGGCACAGGCCCCATCCACACTCGGCCCCCCACAGCCTTCTCCACACCCCACCTGCAACAGACTCAGCACAGCGAACATGCAGATTCTGGAAGGTTCTCAGGTCTTTATTTGCTCTCTCAAATTCCAGGAATTGACTTATTTAATTAATCCATCAACCTCTCATAGCAAATATTTGAGAAAACAAATTTATATTCAGATTCTTATTTTCAGTAGGGAAGTAAGAAGTTGCAGCTCAGTGCACGTAAAGTTGAGACAGAGATGGAGACATCCAGCCCCACCTCTCTGGAACAAGAAAGATGACTGGGGAGGAAACACAGGTCAGCATGGGAACAGGGGTCACAGTGGACACAAGGGTGGGCTGTCTCTCCACCTCCTCACATTATGCTAACAGGGACGCAGACACATTCAGGTGCCTTTGCAGAAAGAGATGCCAGAGGCTCTTGAAGTCACAAAGGGGAGGCGTGAAGAAATCCTGCATCTCAGTCCCTCACAAGACAGCTGTCTCAGGCTACAGAAAACAACAGTCATGAACAAATTCTGGTTAGTCATGGTAAGCGATGACACTCTAAACAGCCCACCACACACGCGAAACATCCCAATCAAAGAATCCCCATTACCCAGGCCTTTCCCCTCTGCCCCACCCACCCCCAGACCCGCCACCCCACCCACTCTAGACCCCAAGAATCTCACCTTTTCAAGCTGTGAGAGACACATCAGAGCCCTGGGCACTGTCGCTGCCTGGAGTAGAACAAAAACAGGACCTGGTCAGAGCCCGCAGGAGACGTGGGACAGGAGGAATTATGGGGTGGGTGAGCTCCTCCACACTCCCACCCCCACCACTTACACGCAGCCTGAGAGTAGCTCCCTCCTTTTCCACCTGTGGGAAGAAAATGTCCTGTGAGGGCACTGGGAGGAAGCAGGGCCATGAGATCTTAGAGGAACCTCCTAGTCTTGGACCCAAAAGGAATTTCCAGAAGTATGACTACAGACCCAGGGCAGGATCAGGAAACACGAGGAAAGCAAGTGTGGGTCCTGGACCAACTGCCCTCCTAAGGTCTGTCCTTAGCAGGGACCTTCCCCTGACTCATGAATGCTGGAATCAGGACCCCAACACCACAACCATCAAGGTGATACATCCATCCTTCATTGTCACATGTGCTGCACAAAAGAGTAAGTGCTGGCACACAGGGTCCCAGGCTGCGTTAGCCCCTGTGTGCATGCTGCTTCCCAGTAATGAGGCAGGGAACACTTCTACCTGGGGCTTGAAACCCCCAGTGGGACAAGAAAACCCAGACCCCACCCCTCACCCCTTCCCTACCTGAACTCTTCCTCCTACACATCACAGCAGCGACCACAGCTCCGATGACCACAACTGCTAGGACAGCCAGGCCAGCAACAATGCCCACGATGGGGACGGTGGACTGGGAAGACGGCTCTGGGAAAGGAGGGGAAGATGAGGGGCCCTGACCCTGCTGAAGGGCTCCTGCTTTCCCTGAGAAGAGATATGACCCCTCATCCCCCTCCTTACCCCATCTCAGGGTGAGGGGCTTCGGCAGCCCCTCATGCTGTACATGGCATGTGTATCTCTGCTCTTCTCCAGAAGGCACCACCACAGCTGCCCACTTCTGGAAGGTTCTATCTCCTGCTGGTCTGGTCTCCACAAGCTCAGTGTCCTGAGTTTGGTCCTCGCCATCCCGCTGCCAGGTCAGTGTGATCTCCGCAGGGTAGAAACCCAGGGCCCAGCACCTCAGGGTGGCCTCATGGTCAGAGATGGGGTGGTGGGTCACGTGTGTCTTTGGGGGGTCTGATGGGAAGAGTCAGAAAATTCAGGCGCTTTGCATCTTTCATGGGACACCCTAGGACCACCCATGTGACCAGCCTGAGAATGGACAGGACACCTGGGGTGGGGAAGGGGCACAGAACCCAGACACCAGCCTGGACGCAGGCACCTGGGATAATCTCCTATTCATTGGAAAGTTCGAGTCTCTGAGCGGGGAACAGGGACTTCTGCTCCTGATCTGAGTGGAGGTAAAGTGACTCAGAAGTGCTGGAATCAGAGCCCCAAACACACTGAGTGTGAGGCAGAGAACAAGGCCTGAGAGGAAAAGTCACGGTTCCCAAGGCTGCTGCAGGGGTCAAAGGGGACCCCTGATCAGTATTCTAGGGACTGTCTTCCCCTCCATTTCCTCAGAGACGTCATTCCTTAATTGTCTAGAGAGAAGAGGGGGCCCTCAGAGGAAACTCAGGAAAACTCATGCCATTCTCCATTCAACGGAGGGCGACATTCTAGCGCTGATCCCATTTTCCTCCTCTTCTCGTGGGAGGCCATCCCCGGCGACCTATAGGAGATGGGGAAGGCTCCCCACTGCCCCTGGTACCAGCGCGCTCCAGCTTGTCCTTCCCGTTCTCCAGGTATCTGCGGAGCCACTCCACGCACTCGCCCTCCAGGTAGGCTCTCCGCTGCTCCGCCTCACGGGCCGCCTCCCACTTGCGCTGGGTGATCTGAGCCGCCGTGTCCGCGGCGGTCCAGGAGCGCAGGTCCTCGTTCAGGGCGATGTAATCCTTGCCGTCGTAGGCGTACTGGTCATGCCCGCGGAGGAGGCGCCCGTCCGGCCCCACGTCGCAGCCGTACATGCTCTGGAGGGTGTGAGACCCTGGCCCCGGCCCCGCGGTCAGCCCAGTCCCCCGAGCCCCGCCCCGCCCCGACCAACCCGCGGGGATTTTGGCCTCAACTGAAAATGAAACCGGGTAAACGCGCCTGGGGCTCTCGCCGGTCGAGGGTCTGGGCGGGTCCCGCGGCCTCAGGGAGGCGGATCTCGGACCCGGAGACTCGGGGCGACCCGGGCCGTACGTGGGGGATGGGGAGTCGTGACCTGCGCCCCGGGCCGGGGTCACTCACCGGCCTCGCTCTGGTTGTAGTAGCCGCGCAGGTTCCGCAGGCTCTCTCGGTCAGTCTGTGCCTGGGCCTTGTAGATCTGTGTGTTCCGGTCCCAATACTCCGGCCCCTCCTGCTCTATCCACGGCGCCCGCGGCTCCTCTCTCGGACTCGCGGCGTCGCTGTCGAACCTCACGAACTGGGTGTCGTCCACGTAGCCCACTGAGATGAAGCGGGGCTCCCCGCGGCCGGGCCGGGACACGGAGGTGTAGAAATACCTCATGGAGTGGGAGCCTGGGGGTGAGGAGGGGCTGAGACCCGCCCGACCCTCCTCCCGGCGCGGCTCCTCAGGTCCTGCGCCCCCGCCTGCGGTCCCCTCGCTCCTCCCGGCAGAGGCCATTTCCCTCCCGACCCGCACTCACCGGCCCAGGTCTCGGTCAGGGCCAGGGCCGCCGAGAGCAGCAGGAGGACGGTTCGGGGCGCCATGACCAGCATCTCGGCGTCTGAGGAGACTCTGAGTCCGGGTGGGTGCGTGGGGACTTTAGAACTGGGACCGCGGCGACGCTGATTGGCTTCTCTAGATATCCAATACCCAATGGGAGTGGGAAGTGGGGACGCGTCACGAGTATCCTGGAAGAAGGACCCGACACAAGTTGGGAGAAGAAGTGAAACTCAGGGGAGTGGGGAATCCCCAACGCTGCGCCTCCCCATTGCAGACGCGGCCCTCGGAGCCTGAGACCCTGAGAGCCCCGTCCGGGACCTGGGACTTCGTCCTGATCCCTCTTCTCCTACACCAAGCCTCTTTGTCACACTGTCTGCCTGAGTCCTGGACAAGGATCTGTCTGTGGAAACCAGGGAGAGACCCCCAGGCTGCGCCCAGCCCCTTCCCCTTCACTTCTCGTCCTGGAATCCCTGTCCCTGAACTGGACTCCCTGCCTCCCACTCCTTACCTCTCCTCTTGGACTCTTGTGTAGGGAAACTGAGCACGGGGAACTTGATGCCAGAGAGTGAGCTCGCCCTGGGAATGGAGGTGTAGAGACAGGGGTTTTCTCTTTAAACCTGGTGAAGTTTTCTCTGAAGGCACCGCATAGGGATTCTCATAGAGACCAGTTTCCTTTTTGTTTGTTAATACAGTAGGTAGCACAATATTGGTAATCCCTGAATGATTAGAATTCCAATTTGTAAAAGACCTGTGTCAAAACAGCATTACAATTAAACTCTCAAAGCTCCTAAGTTTTACTTTCCCAGACTGTGGATCTGTAACTCTGGGTTGTTGCATTTAAAATTATCTTCATTCCCCACCCTGAGTTTCCCTGTGTGAGTCCAGAACATCTCCTGAATATAAAGAAGCAGGGTTTGTTACTGTCTATTGCAACCGGGAGCCTGTAGTCATCACCTCAAAGTTGCGAGTGCTCCATGCAGTCCCAATGCTCTTCACCGACGCTGAAGCACTGCCTGTTTTCCTGAACTCTGCACATCCAAGCAGTGTGCGTATTTTATCTGAACACTTGGTATTTTTGTAACTCTTTTTTTTTTTAATCATAAGGAGCCAATTAGTTTTTAGGAAGTCCAACAAAATGTATTAAATACCGAATGCAAAGAACCCTCTGCCAGGCTCTTCCACTGCTTTAGAATTCTTTCTCCTGCTCCTTTTCCTCACCTCCTGCCTCTCCAGCCCTTCTGTCTGCCCCTCTCATCCCTCACACCCCCGCTCCCCTTAGTCCCCGCCACCCTGTCACTCCTGAATTGTGGCACTAACACTGTCCCTCACCTCCTGCCCATATCTGTTCTCCCCACAGTGCTCAGCAGTCCTGCTAATGTGACTCAGGTCATGTCATTTCTTCACTTGCAATGGTTGGGTTTTGGTCTACCATTTTGCTATACGTTTTCAATTTGTCTCATATCTTTTTGTTTCTGTTCCTCCTTTACTACTTTCTTATGTGTCAAATAAACATTTTTTAGTTTATGGTTTTAATTCTCCTAGTGGCTTTTGGCTATATTTCTTTACACAATAGCAAAGAATGGAAACCCGATTCCTTGACTTTTCACAGTGAAGTTCAGGTTATATTAAGCTGCATCCAGCAAAATAAAGGACACTTCTAACAGTGTAGTTTCTTGTAACCTACCATTGTGCTATTATTGTTGTATATATTACATCAACCTATATTATAGACTCAGTGATACAGTGCAATACTTTTTGTTTTAAACAAGTAGCCATATGTCTTCAGGAAATTAAGAAAATGAGTGTGAATGTGACATGTGTATGTGCATCATTTCTGTTGTTAATTGTTCCTTTCTGTATATCTGGGTCACCATCTAGTATCATTTTCCTTCACCCTGAAGCACTTCCTTTAAAATTAAATGTAGTACAGGACCCCTAGGAAATTAATTTTATGGCTTTGATTATCTAAAAATGTCTTTATTTTTGCCTCCCCTCCCCCCCCCCTTTTTTTTTTTTTTTGCTTATTAGGGCATTTATGTGTAATAAAATTCACCAGTTTTAGCTGCGCTTTTTTGGCGAATATTGGTAATTATTTATAGTCATGTAACTACCACACTGCCCAGTAGAGAAACCCAGAATGCAAAGAATCCCCTGCTAGGCTCCTCCACTGCTTTAGAGTCCTTTCTCCTGCTCCTTGTCCTCACCTCCTGCTTCCCCAGCCCTTCTCTCTGTCCTCTTCCCTCACACCCTCCTCTCCCCTTAGTTCCCACCACCCAGTTACCTCTGAGTTGTGGCGCTGTAGAGAACCGTTTCTTTTCCCTAAAAACTTTCTTTCTGCCCCTTTCTATTTAATCCTTGCCTCCCACCCTCACCCCTTCCCTTCACTCAACCACCACTCTGTTTTCTGTCACTGCAATACTGAAATTTCTAGAATGTAATGGACGTGCAGTCGTATGTTATGTAGTCCTTCGTTTGGTCTCTCCTTTAGCATAACGATGTGTGAGATGATGCCATTCATTCATTTTTGTTGCTGAGCAGCTGCTGAGTATTGCTGGAATCCCAGCTTATTCATTGGTTTCTCTGCCTCCAGTTGATAGACATGTGGATTCCTCCAGTTAGGGTTTGTTATTAATGAAGCCACTATAAATAACTGCTTACAAGTGTGGCCTTACATTTTTATTTCTTTTGGATAAATACATATTTGTGGAATTGCTGGGCCATGTGGTAATAGATGGGTAACTGTATAAGAAACTGCCATACCACTTTACAAATTGGCTGCCACATTTTTTGCATTCCTACCAGCAATATCAGACATTCCTATTTTTTCCATATTCTTGACAGTATTTAGACTTATCCAATGTCTTTTTAACTTTATCTATTCTAGGTGATGTGTGATGGTTTCTCATTGTGGTTTTAACTTGCACTTCTTTGATGACTAGTATTGTTTGCTGTCTTTTCATGTTCATCTAAGTGACTTACTACATATATTTTATGAACTATTTTGCAAATTCAGTGATTAATTCCAGAGACTTTTTCAGAATTCCCTAGTGTTTTCTACATATGCAATGAAGTTGGTGACAAAGACTTTTGTTTCTTCCTTTCCTATCTATTGATCTTTTTTCTTTTAAAATTATTTTTATTTGGTAGAGATGAGGTCTCACTATCAGGCTGGTCTCAAACTCCTGAACTCAAGTGATCCTTCCACCTCAACCTCCCAAAATGCAGGGATTACAGGCATGAGCCACCATGCCTGGTCCTTCTATTGGTTTCTTATTTCATTTTCTTGCCATGTTGCACTGATTTGGATGCCTCTTAGGTGTTTAAACAAGAATGATGAGAGCTCACATGTATGTTTACAAGGAACTTAAACAAATTTACAAGAAAAAAAACAGCCCTATCAAAAATTGGCAAAGGGTATGAACAGACACTTCTCAGAAGAAAAAACATATGAAAAAAAAGCTCAATATCAATGATCATTAGAGAAAAGCAAATCAAAACCACAATGATGTACTATCTCCTGCGAGCCAGAATGGCGATTATTAAAAAGTGAGGAAACAATAGATGCTGGTGAGGCTGTGGAGAAATAGGAATGCTTTTTCACTGTTGGTGGGAATGTAAAATAGTTCAACCATTATGGAGGATGGTGTGACCATTCCTCAGAGATGTAGAACCAGAAATACTATTTGACCCAGCAATCCCTTTACTGGGTATATACCCAAAGGAATATCAATCATTCTACTATAAAGACACATGCACAGGTATGTTTATTGCAGCACTATTTTCAATAGCAAAGACATGGAACCAACCCACATGCCCATCAATGATAGTCTGGGTAAAGAAAATGTGGTAGATATACACCATGGAATACTACACGGCCATAAAAAGGAATGAGTTCATGTCCTTTGCAGGGACATGGATGAAGCTGGAAGTCATCGTCAGCAAACTAACATGGGAACAGAAAACCTAACACCACGTGTCCTCACTCTTAAGTGGGAGGTGAACAATGAGAACACATGGACACAGGGAGGGGAACAACACACACCAGGGCCTTTTGGGGAGTCGGGGGTAAGAGGAGGGAACTTAGAGGATGGGTGAATAGGTGCAGCAAACCACTATGGCAGACTATACGTATGTAACAAACCTGCACGTTCTGCACATGTATCTGGAACTTAAAGCAAAATAAAATAAATTAAATAAAAAGAGAAAGTGAGTGACTTACATGTACACATATGTTCATTGAAGCACTATTCACCATAGCAAAGACTTGGAATCAACCTAAATGCCCATCAATGGTAGACTGGATAAAGAAAATGTGGCACATATACACCATAGAATACTATACAGCCATAAAAAAGAATGAGATTACGTCCTTTGCAGGAACATGGATGGAGCTGGAGGCCATTATTCTTAGCAAACTAATGCAGGAACAGAAAACTATATACCACATGTTCTCACTTATAAGTGGGAGCTAAATGATGAGAACACATGGACATGCAGAGGGGAACAACACACACTGGGGTCCACTTGAGGGTGGAGGGTGGGAGGAGGGAGAGGATCAGGAAAAATAGCTAATGGGAACTAAGACTTAATACTTGGGTGGGTACTAATGGGCATAGAAATAATTTGTGAAACAAAACCCCATGACACAAGTTTACCTATATAACAAACCTGCACATGTACCCCTTAACTAAAAATAAAAGTTAAATTAAAAAAAAAAACAAAGAAAGTGCATGTCTGGAAAGAGCGTATGGTTGGGTTCCGTGTTTTTTTAAACCAAGTCACACAATCTCTGCCCTTCATTGGAGTGTTGATTCATATAGGTTTTTGTCATTATTGATATGATAAGTTTCACGTCTACCATGTTATTTTCCCGGTTTTTGTTTCTCTGTTCCTCTTGTCCTGATCAATGACTTTTTATTAGAAACCATAGAAACAAAAGAAAGTAGAATAACATCTTTAAAGTGCTGGAAGACAAAAAGATCAACTAAGAATTCTATATCCAGCATAGATGTCCTTCAAGGATAGGCAAATGAGATATTTCAGGTAAAAGAAAATTAAAAGAATTTGTCACCAGCAGATCTGTACAATTACAATTGGTAAAGAAAATTCTTCAGACTAGAGGCAAATGATACCAGGTGGAAAATGAGATTATCAAAAAAGATGAAGATGATCAAAAATGGTAAATATTGAGCTAAGTGCAAAAGGCTATCTTGCTCTCCTCATTTATTCTTACTTTATATACATAGAACTGTTTAAAGATAAGAAAAAGTTTTTTATCGTGGGACTTACAACCTATATAGATATATTACATATAATATCTATACCATAAAAGATGGACATTTTATAGAGGATAAATGGTTGCAATATTTCTATATTTATGGGCACTAGTACATTATTAACTGAAAGTAGTCTGTGAAATGTTAAGAATGAGTTAAGTTCTGAAGGAAATTGTGACACTAAAAACCATTCAAAAGATCGACAAGTCTCGGAGATGGTTTTTTGAAAACAAATCCTAGCCAGTCTTGAGTATCATCATCCTACGATTTCAGAACTATCGTGAATATAAAAGTAATCAAAGAACAGTCCTGCCCAGAAAGAGGAGTTATCCCTAAATATGGTGTCCCTGGGACAGCTGGCCCTCCCTGCTGGACCTCTTCCACATGTATGCTTTCTGCAGTGACTTTGTTGTCTTGCTCTTCCACTCTACCCAGTGTCCTGACCCAAGAGACAAGGGGCGTCTGCTGCTGTGTCCACACTTGGAGAAGGAAATCTTGAAGGTGTCAGTACATTACAAGCTGGGCATGACAGCTCACCCCTGTAATCCCAGCAATTCAGGACGCTAAGGCAAGAGGATTGCTTGAGATCAGGAGTTGGAGACCAGCTTGAACAACATTGTGAGAACCTCGTCTCTAAAAGATATAAAAATAAGTAAACTTAGCTGGGCACGGTGGTGGGCACTTGCATTCCCAGGTATTGGGGAGGCTGAGATGGGAAGATCCCTTGGGCTTATGGATTCAAGTCTGTAGTGAGCTGTGATCGCATCACTGGACTCCAGCCCAGACCACAGAGTGGGATCTTGACTCAAACAACAACAACAACAACAAACATTGTAAACCTTTGCTCACCATGGGTTATTTTATTTATTATTTATTCAGTGTGTATTTTGATTTTATTTTACTGGCAGCACAATAAACCAGGACCTGCTGAAACTAGAAATCACATCCACTTTCCAGTGTTAAAAAGCCCAGTCCAGGCAGGTGAGAAGGAGACAGTCCTCATTAGCACTGAGGATTCAGGGAGAATGAGATGGGCTGGGCAGGAAGGTTTTTTTGTTTGTTTGTTTGTTTGTTTGTTTGTTTTCTATGAACAAGTGTGACTTTTTATTATGATAGAGTTGTTTTTATTAAAGGAATACATGAAAATGGTTAAGTAAAATCAAATGGCTCCAAAAGTCTTACAATGAAAACAACAGTCCTGCCAGTTGTTCTCTCGAGAGGCAAACACTTTTCATTCTCTTAGTTTTTCCTCCTGGTAGTTACCTTCATGGGTTTTTCCAAATTATTATTTTTTTAGTTTTTCAAGTGGGTGCATATATTAATACATGTAATTTTAAAAAGCCTCTTCAGTTTATAATGCATCCTAACAGTCCCCTGCCCCATCCCTCCTAATTCTCCAGAGCAATGACTTTTAACTCTTTTAGCAATGTCTTCTATTTTTTTCTCACATAACTACTTAGTCATTTCTTGATTATTTTATACATTCTATAGTAATTTCTTGATATGACAGATGAGGATTTAGCTCTTACACCATCACTACCTTCACTTTTCCCCCCATATTGTCCCAAAGTAGTTACCAGATTTAGGGGCTAAGTAGTCACCACATCATTATGAGTATGTACATATTGCTCATTGTTGAGAAAAACAGAGTATTATGCTCTTGCTTCCTGCCTTGTGCTTCCTTCTGCCCTAGAATTAATGATTGCCTAACCACCCTTCCCCCTTGTTTTTTTTTTTTAACTTTTGCTTTATCTTCAATGAACTACTTTCCAAATGCCCCAAATCTGGCCATAACCTATTATTATTTTTAAGAGAAGGGAATCTTACTATGGTGGCCAGGCTGGTCTGGAAATCTTGGGCTCAAGCCAACCTCTTTGCTTAGCCTCCTGAGTAGCTGGAACTACAGGCATGGGCCATTCCACCCAGCTAACCTATTAATATTTTTACTGTTTCTTTTTAAAGCCAGCTCCATAGCTGGAATATTTCCTGTGTTGGATCCTATTTGCTGGATCCATGTCATTCTCTGGTTTGTCTACTCCTTCATTTTGCTGGAGTATTTTCTCCAATAGTTTCCCAACAAAAGATACATGGAGGTAACCCCTGAGTCTTTGCTTGCCTAAAAATGTATTATTTTACCTTCACCCTTGATTATTTGGCTGAATATAGATTTATTCGTTGAAAATAACTTTCTTTCTGGAATTCTGAAGGCATGGTTCCATTGTTTTCAGCTTCTTTTTCGAGACAAGGTCTCTTCTGTCACCCAGGCTGGAGTGCAGTGGCACAATCACAACTCACTGCAGCCTCGAACTCGCAGGCTCAATTGATCCTTCCATCTCAGCTCCCTGAGTAGATGGGACTACAGGTGTGCGCCACAATGCCCAGCTAACTTTTGTATTTTTTGTAGAGATGGGGCTTCACCATGTTGCCCAAGCTGATCTCAAGGTATCTGCCTGTCTCTGCCTCCCAAAATGCTGAGCCACTGTATTACAGGCATGAGCCACTGTGCCTGGCCAGTTTTTCTTTTATTCTCTCTCTACTTTCTTCATTTCTCAAAGGCATCTCAAACTCAGTGGGCCCAAACCCAGGGCAAACTCCATCAGAATATCCTGCTACTTCTGACTTTAAAATATATCTTAAATCACAGTTTCTTACTACATGCAACCCTTTGGTTCAAACTACCATCATCCCTCACTTGAACTTAGAATTGGTTTTCCTGCTTCTGTATTTTTTTAAAACATAAAATATTTCAAATAAACCATGCGTGGCTTTATACTTTTTACTACATAAAAAGAATAAAGATCTGGGGTGGCTCAAGCCTATAATCCCAGCACTTTGGGAGGCCGAGGCAGGCGGATCACTTTAGGTCAGGAGTTTGAGACCAGCCTGACCAACATTGTGAAACCCCGTCTTCACCAAAAACACAAAATTAGCCAGGCGTCGTGGCACGTGCCTGTAGTCCCAGCTACATGGGAGCCTGAGGCAGGAGAATCATTTGAACCTGGGAAGTCAGAGGTTGCAGTGAGCTGAAGTTGTGCCATTGCACTCCGTCAGGGTAACAAGAGCGAAACTCTGTCAAAAAAAAAAAAAAGATATGAAGAGCTTATATACTTAAACATGAAATTGCTTTAAGTGTTTGCCATTCACTGTTCACATGCATGCCAGCAGCTTCTTACTGCAAACACCTGGGACTTGCTATAGAGCAGCTGGAGTACATTCTGCCCACACACAGGACAGGGAGCTGACAACCAAGGAGTGGGGGATCAATATGCCAGCTTTCTCCCCTCCGTTTCCCTGTATCTCAGCAGTATGGAGTTTGTTACCAGTGAGAACCTGCTCACTGGCTTTAAACTGGTTTTCTTACCTTCTCAGTTCCATTTCTCCGTACCTCAATTGATGATTTCTGGTAAGACCTAGAAAATAAACTGCTTTCACTGAAATTGCAGTCTTGGAACCTGCTTTGGGTTCCCCAAAAGACAGAAATATATTCATTTTCCCATCACTGGACTTCCAGGTTGTTTTCAATTTTTCACTGTTACAAACAAGGCTGCAACATTTGCGTGCAAACCTCTGGGTATACACGTAAGGAGCTTTCGGTATTTCCCACTAGTGAAACTTCTCAGTTGGAGGGTATGTGCATCTTCATCTTTAAGAAATACTACCAACATTTGAAAAGCCCGACAATGTCAAGGACTGGCAAGAGTCCCATATGCGATGGGTGTGGAATGGCAGCTCACTGTAGCAGGTGCTGGGGACTCAGTCAGGGTCTTGGAGAGGCACTTAATTATAGCAAGAATATTTCATAAGTGGTATCTGATATAGTCAAGATTAGTGGGGAGTAAAAACATGTTGCTTAGAAATAATTATCCAAAGATCTAAAGTCAACAAAAGTCTTTTTTTCTAATGTAAAAATATAAACTTTTTTTCAGAGGGAGGGGGAACAACTTAAAATAAACCAGAAAACACCTTCATATTAATCATTCTTCTCATATACTTGAAATTTGTACTTAATACATCCGAGAGAACGCCTGGATATTCTGGCAGAATTTTATATTTCTCCAAATCAATTTCTGGAAAAAACGTGTCACTTTCAAAGTCCTGCATGATCTTTGTCACAAATAGTTTAAGATGGCCTGGGCGACTCATGGCTTCCTTATAAACAGAACTGCCACCAACTATCCAAATCATGTCTACTCTATTTGCTAATTCTGGTTGTTAAGTAAGTTTTAAGATCTCAACCAGACTTCTGGCAAGAAAATGAGCTCGTTGTGGAGGTTCCTTGAGTTCTCTGCTGAGAACTAAATTAATTCTATCCTTTGAAGGTCGATTCTTCCCAGGAATGGAGAACCAGGTCTTCCTACACAAAATCACCAGATTCTGTTTACCTTCTACTGAAGAGATTGTGTCATTCTCTGGAAATACCTAAATTCATTCCTGAGCGGCGGTCAGGGCAGGTCCCCGTTCTTGCCGATGCCCATGTTCTGAGACACAGCGACGATGCAGTTTAGCAAACGAACCATGACAGCAGCGGTGAGCTCCTCCAAGCCCGCTCGCTACACCAGGACGCGCGGCCAAGATTGGCCGGAAGGTTTTTACTTGGAAACTGGAGGATGAGCCATGACATCCCTCTCTCCACCTCAAAGCTCGTCCTGGGCATCCACCTCCAGGGAGCAGAAGCAGCGCAGCAGCGCCACCTGGTGGTCGATGCGCTTCCTTTGCAGATCACGCACAGCCCTGAGATCCACCTCTCCTTCCTACGCACCACGCATTTCTTCACTGGACACCAGCCTGCGTCAATCTTCCTGTAAAGCAAAAGAAGCGTGAGGTTGGTGGGGGAGGAATGGTGTTATCTCCACCTTTGGCGAGATCCATGTCACCGTGTTCAGGGGAAGGGCCAGGCCTTACTCCCCATGCAGAGAGGAGGCTCTGGCCGTGAAGGCGCCTGTGGAGAGGTGAGGACCCGCTCCCTCTACACTGATGGCCAAGAGCCTGCAGATGGCAGGGAAGGCTTCCCTTCAGCTGTGTCCTATCAGGTTCTTCCAGGAGTCCAGGAGTAGACCTGCATATTGCCTCTGGTGATGTGAGCTGCATGCACACCTAGAAGTGAGGTCACCCCTTCTGGGGGTCCTGGGGCTGCTGGTTGTCCTGGGTGCTCAGAGGGAAGATGGGGAGGGGGCTTCGTGCAAAACAGTAACCATACTCTATAAATTATTTTTTCATTAGCCTTTGTGTCATAAAATAAAATCTAGGACTCCAAAAGGAAAAAAAGAAGGTCTAAAATTTGTGTCCTTTAATAAAAAGTAAACACCCATTAACCACCAAGGATAGACGTTTGCGGAGCAAACCAGAAGCCCCATCATTTGCCCCAGCTCAGCAATAAACTCTTTCCTCCCCCAAATAAAAATACATCCTGACTTTTACGATCATAACTTCTTTGTTCTATTTTATATTTTTATCATCCAAAACTATGATTTAGTTTTACCTTTAGAAATATGCTTTTGTTCTCTTTTATTCTATAGATTCTTTCTTGAAATTTATATTGTGTGGTAGAACTTCCCATAGTGTGCATTTTGCTGATTGCTCCCCAAGCCATTGTTTGAATATGTGTTTTTATTATCTGTATTGCCTCTAAATTGGTAATTGGCTATGGAGGTTAGCTTCTATTCAGGCTTGATTTCTTTCTCACTTGTATTTGTTTGATGGTGCTGTATTGTGTTCTTCCATCAAGAGGAAGAACCTCACATTAGTTTTTTTTATTGTGTTGTTAATCGCCATTGCTGTTCAATGGTTAAATCTGTTAATTCTTGATGGGTTGCAAAAGAGTTATTATAGTCTCAGTCTCTCATTCCTTCCTCATTTATTATCTGAATAATTTCTAAGTAAGAGATTCACCCTCCTGTACTGTTTGTTTACTACTAGAAACTTGCTTTTTGAGAGACTAAGCCAAGCATCTACTCACCTATGACCCAGCAATAGCAGTCTTAGTTATCAACCAATAGAAATGCATGTATGTGTGTGCCAAAATATATGAAAATATTATTCATAGCATCACGATTTGTAAAATCTGGATATAACACAATTGTCTATCAACAGCAAAGGGACAAGAAATGTGAGCTATTTATAAAGTGGAGCATTGGACAGCCATGGGAGTGAATAGGCTATGACCACACACAGCAGGATGATGAGACCCAGGAGCATGATGGTGACTGTATAATGCCATTCAACTGGAACTGGCAGAACTTATCTGTGTTAGAAATCAGGAGTGGCTACTCTAGGGTTGGGGAGGGTGGTTTGTGACTGAGTAAGATCCAGTGATGTTTCTGGGAGGCTGTGATTGGTGTACTTTGATGTGGGTGTTGTTTACCTGAGTGTTCACTATGTGAAACTCCACTGCCCACTTGTGGATTGTCCTTCTTTCTCCACGCATGCTGTCCTTCACTCAAATATACTTTGCTGATGTTTTGAAGCAATTCTATCTACGCTAAGAAGAATCGCTCCTACTGCACATCCTTGGAAATGCTGGATTGAAAAAATTAGTGCAATTGTTTTTAATTCCAGGAAACAAATACATATAAAGAGGAAAATCTACAACAAGAGCAGTAGGTTTGGGAGCTGACACCAGAACAGCTTTGGAAATGGCTCTCGAGCCAGGAACTAGGGATCAAACCCAAACAAACCCATAGGAGGTGGGGGGTGTGAAATGATGTCCAATAGCGCATGAATGAACGAGTCATGGGCAGTCGCTCATGGCTTGGCTGGCCAGTCACAAACGAGGAAAATAGAGTTGGAAAACTGGGAGGTAGAGGAGAGAGGTACGCATAGACCTCTTGCTATAGGCCGAGTGTGTGACGATAGTGGTTGTGTGTGGATGCCTACCAGAGGGTCTTTAAGGGGATGGGGCTCCCTGTAACCAGGTGGGTGAGATGGCTTGATGGACGATGCCACTCAGCCACACAGGCCTTGCTCATGGAGTCCCTGCACAAAGTGGCCATGGTGGCTGTGATGGACACTACATGGGCACAGCAATTGCGTCGCCACTCACCAAGGCTGAGCTGGCAGCTGCCACTGCTGAGGGCCCAGCCCACCAAAAGCAGCTGTTTTTTTGACGGAGAAATAAAACAGGCAGTGGTAATTAAGAATAAAATAACATTATGATAGATAAATATGCCACTAAAGATATAGTAGAGGTTTAAATAATTTTGAGACTATGAACAAGATTATGGCAATGGGGAGAACTTACTACAAGTAAAGAAGTTAAAACAGTTGTAAAACTTTTTTTCCGTTCAGGCATATCCAGACTGTTTTACACATAAGTTCTACCAAAACTTTGAAGAAGGTTACTGAACTTATACGTAATATTCAAGAGAATGAGGAAACATAGAGAAAGCCAGTAAACTCATTATTGTTTATGTATAAATAACATTGATTCTAAAGCCAGCTAGGGAATACATAAGAGAAAAGCATGATAAGATAATCACTTCTAAGCAATTAGAGGTAAAAATACTGAGAAAAATAATACTAGATTGTGTCCACCAATGAGCTATAAATAAATTAAATATCCTGCCCAGGTTATTCATCCCCAGAATACAAGAATATTTAAACTTCAAATCTGTAATGCATTTTACCACTTAATTAAAGAATAAAAGACGGAGATAATGACATTTTATTAGATGCAGAAATTACTGCAGATGAAATTCAACACTCCATCTCACCCACATTTCTTCAGTTATCTCCACTTCTAAGAACTTGTGATCAGTACTCGCTTTGGCAGCACATATATTAAAATAGGAATGATACAGAGAAGATCAGCACGGCCCCTGCACAAGGGTGACATGCAAATTCATGAAGCATTCCATATTTTTAAACTCTCAATAAACTAGGTATTGAAGGAACATACCTCAAAATAATAAAAGTCATCTATGACAAACCCACAACCAATATCATACTGAATGGGCAAAAGCTGGAAGCATCCCCCTTTAACACCAGCACAAGGCGAGGATGCCTTCTCTCACTATTCCTGTTCAACATAGTATTGGAAGTTCTGGCCAGGACAATCAGGTAAGAGAAAGAAAGGATATTCAAATAGGAAGAGAGGAAGTCAAATTGTCTTTGTTTGCAAGTGACATGATCCTATATCTAGAAAACCCTATTGTTTCGGCTGAAAAGCTTCTTAAGCTGAAAGGCAACTTCAGTTAAGTCTCAGGGTACAAAATCAGTGTGCAGAAGCCATAAGCATTCCTATACACCAACAATAGACAAGCAGAGTCAAATCGTGAATAAACTTCTATTCACAATTGCTACAAACAGAATAAGATGCCTAGGAATACAGCTCACAAGGGAATTGAAGGATCTCTTCAAGGAGAACTACAAACCGCTTCTTAAGTAACTCAGAGAGGACACAGACAAATGGAAAAACACTCCATGCTCAGGGATAGAAAGAATCAATATTGTGAAAACGGTCATACTGCCCGAAGTAATTTATAGATTCAGTGCTATTCTCATTGAACTACCATTGACATTTCTCACAGAATTAGAAGAAACTATTTTAAAATTCATATAGATGATTGACATTAAAGGTAAAATTAAAATTAATATATAAAATAAAGCTCAAAATTTTCAAGCCATTTGGAGCTTGTCTTGAGCTAATGAGATTAAGCTCATGTCCTCAAGAAAAATGTTTTACTCTGCTGTTTTTAAGGGTGCTTCTATAGAAAGAGTTTGAGAATCATTAATATGGATTATAGAAAATTAATCATGCTTCATTTAAAAATAAATGTATTTAATCCTAAAGATAGCTTTACTTAAAATGTTTATTGTTGCAGACAAGAAATCTATCTTATTTGAAAAATCAGAAATTGGACATGTCAGTGATTATAGGTTTTTTTTAAAATCTGAACATGAAAAAGTTTTCCCCAGTTTTAAGATAATTTGCCATGCTATTCAAGTCAGCCTAAAATTTTAAAAAGCTACTACATAATAAGGTAGGGGTTGAAAAAAGAAATATTTCAGATTCAGAGAATTGTCTTTTTTTAGTACTAACTAAAACATTTAAAAAACTACATTTAATGATGTCATTCTAAATTGACTCAGTAATATTAAATGAGTTATTTATGTTCCAGCAAACAGTGGATGAATGTGACTATGGAGAGCATTGTTTCAAAATGTTTTAACAAATATATCATTGAAGTTCTTGCTATTTTATTCAATTTCAGCCACTATTCTTTTTAGTTGATTTTTTTGTCAATCTTAAATTTTCAAAAGAAATATTGTTTTCAAATTATTTTATATTTAATGAATAAAGTTATACATTACTGATTATTTAAATTGAAAAAAAATAAAAATAAAATTCATATAGAACCAAAAAGAACTTGTATAGCCAAGACAATCCTAAGCAAAAAGAACAAAGCTGGAGGCATCATGCTACTTGACTTCAAACTATACTACAAGGCTACAGTAACCAAAACAGCATGGTACTGGTACAAAAACAGACACATAGACCAATGGAATAGAATAGAGAACTCAGAAATAAGACCACACATCTACAACTATGAGACTTCAGTGGCCACATACAATAAAGAATACAGTCTATACAAAAATAGTTTAGAAAATGTAATTTTCACAGTTACCACATTATAATATTGAAAATGTCTAGTTTTCAACTTCAAAAAACATGGTTATGCATGTATGAAAGTATGACTCATTCACAGGAAAAGCAGTAGAAAGAAATTGTTCCTGAAGAACAATGGACTGACTTACTAGACAAAGACTTTGAATCAACTGTCTTAAACATAGTCAAAGAGCTAAAGGAAACCATGGACAAATAACTAAAGAAAATCAGGAGGACTATGTTTCACTAAATAGCAGAAATCAATAAATAATTGTGAAAAGGAAGCAAATGGAAATCTGGAGCTGAAATGTACGGGAAGCAAAATGGAAAATTGACTGGAGGGCTTCAAGAGCAGATTTTAGTTTGCAGAATGAAGAATCAGTAAACGCAAACATAGGCCAATTGAAATTGCCCATTTGAGGAGCAGAAGGGAAAAAGTATGAAGAAAAATGAACAGAAGAGGTCTAAGAGACAACATCAAGTATATGCATTTTGGGAGTTCCCAAAAGAGAGAAGGAAGAAGGGGGGAGAAAGAGTATTTGAAGAAATAATGACCCCAAACTTCTGAAATTTTTTTGAAAACATGAATCTGGGTATCCAAAACACTCAAACATTTAAAGTAGCAGTAATTCAAAGATGTCCACACTGACAGACATTATATTGAAACTGTCGAAAGTCAAAGACAAACAGAGCATCTTGAAAACAACAAGAGAAGGGACTCATTGGGTACAAGGATCCTCCATGAGATTAACTGCCAAGTGTTCTTCAGAAACCATGGAGTTCAGAAGACATTGGCCTGACAAACTTAAAGTTCAGAAAGAAAAAAAAACCTGTCTCAACTGACAGTTGCATATTTGACAAAACTCTCCATGAGAAATAATGGAGAAATTCAGACATGCACAGGTAAATAAAAGCTGATGGCATTCGTCTCTGGTAAACCTATTCTACAATTAATGCTAAAAGGAGTGCTTCACACTGAAATAAAAGGACATTAGATGGCAACTTGAAGTCATATGAAGCAAAGAAGTACACAGCTAAAAGTAACTTCATAGGTAAATAGAAAAGCAAGTATTTTTTGGGGGGTGGTAATTTGTAACTCCTCTTTTGTTTTCTCTATTTAATTTAAAAGAAAATGCCCATCAACCGATGAACGGATAAACAACATGTAATCTATTCTGCAATGGAATATTATTTGACCACAAAAGGAATAATGTACTGATACATGCTACAACTTGGATGAACCTTGAAAACATGTCAAATGAAAGAAGCCAGTCACAAAAGGCCATATATTGTATGACTCCATTTTAATAAAATATTCAGAAGAAGAAAATCTAGAGAGACAGAAACTGGGTTAATGGTGCCAGGTGCTGGTGGCAGGGGAGAGTGGAAGGTGACTGCTTAACGGGTACAGAGTTTCCTTCTAGGGTGGTGAAAATGCTCTGGAACTTGATAGTGATGATGGCTGCATAATGTTGTGCACCTACTAAATGCTACTGCATTGTACACTTAAATGGTCACAATGGCAAATTTTGTATTTACGTGCATTTTACCACAACTAAAAAGAGGCTGGCAAATATATTCCAAGTTTGCTTGGGAATCTGCCCATCTGTCTTTTCCCCTCAGGATTTCATCTCTTATTCAGAGCTCACCCTTGCTCTTCTGCAAGTAGAAAGCCTCCTTTCATGCAGGGACCAGCCCCACAGGGTCAGTGGGTCTCTCCCTTTGTGTGGTGATGAGAGAGTGTAGAAATAAAGACACAAGACAAAGAGATAAAAGAAAAGACAGCTGGGCCCGGGGGACCACTACCACAAATGCGCGGAGACCAGTAGTGGCCCCGAATGTCTGGCTGCTCTGTTATTTATTGGATACAAAGCAAAAAGGGCAGGGTAAAGAGTGTGAGTCATCTCCAATGATAGGTAAGGACACATGGATCATGTGTCCACTGGACAGGGGGCCCTTCCCTGCCTGGCAGCCAAGGCAGAGAGAGAGAGGAGACAAAGAGAAAGACGGCTTATGCCATTATTTCTGCATATCAGAGACTTTTAGTACTTTCACTAATTTTCTACTGCTATCTAGAAGGCAGAGCCAGGTGTGCAGGATGGAACATGAAGGCAGACTAGGAGCGTGACCACTGAAGCACAGCATCACAGGGAGATGGTTAGGCCTCCGGATAGCTGCAGGCAAGCCTGACTGATGTCAGGCCTTCCACAAGAGGTGGAGGAGCAGAGTCTTCTCTAAACTCTAAGTCTGCTAAGTAGTGGGTGTTGTTCCTTGACACTTTTCGCTACCGCTAGACCACGGTTCGCCTGGCAACAGGCGTCTTCCCAGACGCTGGCATCACCGCTAGACCAAGGAGCCCTCTGGTGGCCCTGTCTGGGCATAACAGAAGGCTCTCACTCTTGTCTTCTGGTCACACCTCACTATGTCCCCTCATCTCCTATCTCTGTATGGCCTGGTTTTTCTTAGGTTATGATTATAGAGTGAGGATTATTATAATATTGGAATAAAGAGTAATTGCTACCAACTAATGATTAATGATATTCATATATAATCATATCTAAGCTCTATATCTGGTACAACTATTCTTGTTTTATATTTTATTATACTAGAACAGCTCGTGTCCTCGGTCTCTTGCCTCGGCACCTGGGTGGCTTGCCGCCCACACTTTCAGAACACGGTCCAAGATCAGCCAGGTCCAAACCCCAAAATGACTTTCTGTCTCGCTTCCAAATGCTCAGATGCAACTCTGGGGCTAACTTCAGGGGAAGTTAGGAGATTATCCAAATAAGATGGTTCACTGGGAGAAAGAATGTTTGGCTTTAATGTTAGGGAAGTTATGTTTGCATTTCTAAAAAGGATCCTGCTCACTAGTGAATATATGGTTTTTGTCTGTGCAGAATGGAGTTCTCAGCAGAGGAATGAAAGACAGCCCTAGGAACATGATACACCTCATGGGTAGCTGACTGACCCACCCATCTGCCACCCCCAGCTGAAGGAAGCAGCTAGACTGTACCCTTCACCCATCCTTCAGTTGTATTCCACTGGACGTGGACCCTCTACAAGTGTGGACATTCCTGGATCTCAGTTGCTCTTCCTGCTGTTGAGGAGTCTCCACTGGTGTGGCTCATGCCTAGATGGGCTCTGCAGGAGGCTTAGTGTCTCCCAGTTCTCAAGGCTAATATTCAGTGAACCCAGACCAAGCCTCAAAGTACACAGGGGCTCAGATTTTCATCTATGAAATGGAAGAATCCATCTCCCTCTTTCAGGTGTAGTGGTAATTATATATATACATATATATAGACACACACATTTATACACGAACACATACATGACAATCAGTAATCTATATATTGATGGTGTTCTTAGTGTTGCCTTTATTGCTCAGCTGAACTCTATAACCAAAAATTGGATCATGGATTGTGAAGGAAGAACTCATTTCTTTTCTCTGGTGGAGCACTCGGTAGGCATTTCTGCCCTTTGGGTTCAAATGAGAAAGTAGCTTTAGCCTGAGGGAGAAAGAAGATTATGACTATTATTATTATTATTATAATAGAGATAAGGTCTTGCTATGTTGCCCAGGCTGGGGTGCAGTGACTATTCACAGCTGTGATCATAGTGGACTACGTCCTTGAACTTCAGGGCTCCAGCAATGTTCCAGCCTCAGCCTCCTGAGTAGCTGGGACTACAGGTGCATGCCACCATGTCTGGCCTCATTTCATTGTTATTTTACTTCAAATGCTTTATTTTAAATGTTAAAATATATGTTTTTATATTCAAAAGTGAAACCCTATTTGATCACAGAAGACTTTAAGATGCACAGACAGTTAGAAACATCACCTAGACCTTTCTTTAAAAAATCACTGCTATTATATTGTTGAACCTTTGTAGACTGCAGTGCAAATGGTGGTCCCTGGAGCTGTCTTGTGCAGTGGTGCTGATTTTCATTTTGTTATTTTCTATATATGTATTTTTATATATGCTGTCATTTTACAAAGTTGCATTCATATGTTAAGGGTTATCTTGGATGTTGCTTTTGGAATGTATTATTATACAAGTAGTTTTCCATGTTATAAGCTCTGCATAAAGTTTATACACTTTTTCAAGCCATATCCCATTTCAGATAAGAAGATGTAACCCAACTTCTTTTTTTGGATCCGTCTGCCTTCATTTCGTCTTGTTGTAAATAATGTTTTGACAAGCATCTTTATATAGAAAGATTCTTCTATGTTTGGAATTTTAGAAAATTCATAGAATACTCAAGTGATAAACATTAGGACACAGACTTTTAAACATTTTTAATTATTTTCATCACATTGTCACATTGGTTCTCTAAATCGTCATACTGACATATTCCACCTCACCTTTCAGGACATGCTAGGACTCAAGGCTATTTACGCATCTGGAATCACAGAGGGGTGTTGGGGGTGAATGTTGAGTGGAATCACAGGGTCTTGAGGGCAACTCCCTCAGAGAAGACCATTACCTTTTCCTTAGGGAAAGCTGGATTAACTTCGCCAAATGTGGTTGAATGTAACTGGCAAATAATTCTCAGAGGAATTTAGGAGTTCAGTGTCTTTAGCTTCATTAGGATCTGCCCAGATGTCCCCATTCTGATTTTCAGGATCCCATTTATTCCCAATCAATGCCTTCACTTAAATAACAGATATTCTTTAAGTTTGGGATTTGTTTTGTGTTGTAATTTAGCTACCCACAGAATGAGACGCTGCGTTTATTTTTCAGAAATTTCAGCCCTGCAGCTACAGGAGATTAGGATTTCATTCAAAGGAAACATAGAAACTTTTAGGTGATTTATGTGACTCATGAGCTGGAAGTTTGCAGCCCTGAGTTCATCTTTTTCTTTCCGCATTTTGTCCAGCACAATTGGCAAAAATTAGCTAATCACCTTACAATAGCTAGTTTAACAAAGTCTTCTAAGGTCTCAAATACATAGTCACCCAGATCTTATAAGTATTTGATTAGGTCTATCCAATGGTGATATTCTGAGTATTCACACTCTCTGTACTAATGGAAATAGAGTCATTTGTGCCTTTAAATCCAAATAGATTAGAGAAACAATTCAAGAAACCCCCCCCCCCCCCGCACCAAATTCAGTACATTCATTCTTAAAATTCTGTTCCAGTGTCCCTATGCCCCAGTAAGCTAGGCTGGGCATGGTCTGAGGCTTGGTGGGCCAAGGACAGCTGGCTCAGCTGGGGTGCACTATGCACTGGTGGGTCAGCAGCCCAGAATGGTGCTGGGTTTATGGGCACCAAGCCTATTCGGGAGTTGCACACACTGAGTCGGGCTCCAGTGGCCCCTAGGCTTCTAAGGGGCACTCTCCTCCTGCTAGTGCCAAGCTAAGCTGTGGGGAGCAGCATGCCTCTGCATGCTGCCTGACAAACTGCAGCCCCAGCCGCTGCCACAGACACCCTGGCCTGTACCCTAGTGCTTTGTATGGCTGTGGCTGTTCAGCCCCTACTTCTGATCCCCTAGGACTGGGAGCAGCCCGCCTGGGGGAGACCATCAGGATGTCTATGGAAGGCTGCTTCATGCTACAAGGGCAGAGTTAAGTCTTTGGTATAGAGACTGGTTGGCAAAGTTGAAAATGTTGCCCCAGGTCCTTTTGGGGATTATTTACCAGCCCCTGGTTTGAGTGTTGTCTGGCAGGACCCAGGCTCTGGGAGCTGATCCTCCCTCACTCAAGGCCTGCTGCAGCCTCCCGCTGAGGTCTTGAAACCATCAGGAGCAGTTGTTCTTTGGCCTCCGGGACACCGCAGGGCTGAGTTGCTCCCTGCCTGGAGGTGGTCCCATGGGGCCCACTGTCTGGGTCAAGGATGGTGCAGAGCTGGTGTCCTCAAAATGCATCCTGGTGGAGCCCCAGCAGCTGCAGGTGCTGACTGCCTCTCACGAGGACCCTGGGGGCCTGCAGCTGCAGCGACTCACCCAGCATGAGCGGTGCCACTCAGTGTGCACATGACAGATGCTCCATCCTCAGGAGATGACAAAGACGGGAGGACAAGGTGAAGACACAGGTGCATCATCTCCTACTCACCTCATCTGGCACATTAGAAACCTGTCCTCGGCTCATGCACAAATCCACCTTTGGGTGGCCACAGGCTCCAGCTTACTACAGAGGCCATGTGTACTCTGTGTAATCAACACACCCCAGCTTCTTCCCACCTCCAGTCATCTCACTGTATCTGACATGATGCCAGCAGATTGTCTCAGCTCAAATTCCAGCTCCATTACTTACTGCTGTGTGACCTTGACCAAGTCACTTAACCTCTCTGTGCTTCACGAGCTTCCATTGTAAATGTGTGTGTTTACATATGCCAAGTACCCAGAAAGATGTCTGGAACATGGCAACACCCACCACAGAAGTAGTAGCTGCAATTATTGCCTCCTTAAAACAGTGGAGATGTCACCCATCGGGGCTAGAGAGAATTTGGGAAATCCTGATCTGCTTCTGGTTTCAGGTGGGGAATCCTGTAGGACCAGCAGGAACACGGCTGCCTCAGTGCAGCTGGCACAGGGCACTGCCAGCCCAGAGCAACTCAGAGCTCAGAACACTCTGGGGTCCGAAGTCCGAACTGCTGGGGCTCAACTGTGGCGTCAGTTATGGAATGTGGACCCCTCCCTAGGGAGTCTCCCAGGCTCAAAGTCTTCCCTCAACTCCAGAAATGCAAACCCAACACTGACCTCACGGAGTTCTGAAGGTTAAGGAGGAGACACGTGAAAAGTGCCTGGTGGACACCAGGGATGCCAGTGAGATGGGGGACAATGGTGAGGCAGAGTGGAGGGGCAGGTGCCCCCTCCTCAGTATGTCTCCCCCAGGTGCTGTGAGGACAGGTGGAGGCTGTCTCCAGGCTCTCACCCGGCCACACACCAGCACGTCTCCAGGTTCCTCTCAGCCCCGGTTACCCCCAGCCCTGCAGTTAATCCCTGAGCTGGGAAGGAGCCCTTGAATCCACCCTGTCCTGTGTCACAGTGTCGTCCACTTGGGCTCACATTGCCACTAGGCCACTTGGCAGCCAAGGGATGGAGCCACGTTTTGTACTTTCTGAAACATGGCTTCACCTTCAAGTGCGGGTGATGACAGTGCCACAAAGAACAAATGTTACTGTCTATCCTCATCAACCATAATTTTCCAGTTTTCCAACCCTCAGTGAGCAAGGAAGAGCATGGCTTCCACCAAAGGGCGTGAGGTCAGCAGTCACAGGGGCAACCAACAGGCAAAGACCCCTGAAAATAGACCCCGCAGGGAAGCACAAGTATTCACTGACGGTGGGAACCCCACAGATCTGGCCGTCTTCAAGCACATCAGAGAGATTGCCATGAGGAGCAACTTAGCCAGAAAGACTTATTTGCCTCCTCAAAAAGCGTAAAATTATGTAACATAATACTTTAAAAATTTCTATCAACACAAAACTAATCTGGGCGCAGTGGCTTCCGGTGAGCCACTGGGACAGACGGCATCGTCAGGAAGGCTGGCTCTGTGGTGCCTCAACCTGCCAGAGCCCAGGATGGTGGTGGCCTCCCCAGAAGCACCTGGCAACTCACCTGCACAGGGCCAGGGTCCCAGCTCCCCACACCCCAGCCACCACACCTTCTTCTGCTTTTTTTTTTCCCATTATTGTTTCTTTCTTTCTTTTTCTTTCTTTCTTTTTTTTTTTGTCAAATCTCAAGGAAAAATACATAGTTGCCAGAGGGTGGAAGGTCCTGTTCATTCACATTGAAAAGCTCGGGTATTTCTATTAGAATCACATGTTTTACTTGAGGTTGCTGACGCCTGTGTCCATCTCAACCTGGGCATTGTGCTGCCACCTTCCAGAAGAGAAAAACTAGGTAGTGCCTTGTGAAGGGGCAGCGTTTCTCATTTCCGACAACGTCAGTCCCACAGCCACCCAGATGAGTAGATGGGGGACACAGGGGAGGACCCAGACCTGCTCTCCTCCCACAGCACATTCTTGAGTCTTGGAAAGAGTTGTGAAAATGCCACAGGTACAAACACCTGCAGGCCACTCCCACAGGGACAGCTCCGTGAGGCGGTGCCGCTCATTCCCACAACCTCCTGCCACAGGCAACACTTAACACTTAGACAGTGACCCAAGGCCGACCAGGGAGGACGCCAGCCAGGATGTGTCATCCTCAGCTCTTCAGGACATGACGCCAGCAGGGGCAAAGTTATCCCTAGCAACAAGACAGAGGAAGAAAGGAAAACGGAAGAAAGGACAATGTCACAGTAGCCCCCATGACCAAGAGAGACGGTTCCAGAAGTGCAGGGCAACTCCATATGCAGATGCTGTTGCTGTGCGATTACACTCCAAGAGGGGAGTCCAGCTGGCTCTCAGGGTGCTCACTGCCCTCAGCTGGGTGCCTGCAGGACATCAAGTCCTGAGAACGCCAGGTTCTAGTGGAGTAGGATGAACTGACAGATACACAGCAAAGCTCCACATACTTTTCCTTTTCTTTGTGCCTGCAAAGTTCTTGTTCAGTGTCTCTCTCTTTCAGCTACTACTGCTGGTTGGTTTTAAAAAAACAAGACAATAGTAAAAATTGGAGACAAGTGTTTGGCCATAAAGAGAAACACTGGCTACCTCCCGTATTTTCAAGCATGGGTGATGGTTGCAAGGTGATCCAGCTCACCTTGTAGGGGATGAATCCAGAAAAAGCCTCTGTTACAAATCAAAATGGACATGCCGGAAGTATTAGCTCAAATCAACCTTGTCCTGTCTAACCACTTACTGACCCAAGATACCACTTGGACTATTAATCTCAGGGGCCAGAGAATGGAGCTGGAGAAGGAGTTGTTAGATCAGGGACAAATAACCATGTTATAGTGGCAACAGGAAATGGAAGACCATTTATTCATAACCATTTGAATCACAGCCAGGTGTATAAACACACATCATTGACTGATAGTTTCAGTTCTATGCCCAAGAAAATCATCGATGGAGTGAAGTAATTGAACTATCACAGAAGATACATTTGTATTTTTTCTTTTTTCAACTTTTAGATTCAGGGGGTGTGTATATATATAATATTTGTGTATATAAAATAATATATATATAATTAAAGAAAGCCTTTGTACAGTTTGCTGGAGCCACAGAAGCACTGCTCCAGAGCAGAGCAATGCCTTAAATCTTCAGTGTTCATTTGTAGAACATTCACTCACAGCTACAAAAGTGACTTAATTTTCTTCTGGAAATAATGCTTGCCTGTTGTGAGATGTTGGAATATATATGAACCATCATTACATGTTAACATGCCATAAGGAGTTTTTGATACCTGATTCACATTATTAGAGTTGCTTCTTAGTATCCATGTGAATTTTCACTCCAAAAACACAAGCTAGAAGCTTAAGTGAAGGACACCTAGGGCAAATGGTGGCTGAAAGTGAGGAAGATCCAAATTACTGTTGCTTGTACTGTATTAGGAAAAGAAAACAATTCTTTTCTTATTTGCCAATTTAATTCTTAATTTGCTAATTTGTAGTTATGCTTATATACATTTCAACATTTTAATAAAGTATTTTTTATGGTTAGCTATAAAATTTTTAAAAAGATTCTGTTCCTCTAGAACCACTCTTCGTACCACAGTCTCTATCAGTCCAGATTCTTCAGAGAAGCAGAACCAATAAGGTGTGTGTGTGTGTGTGTGTGTGTGTGTGTGTATTTGTATTCATATTATGATATTTATTCATGTGATTATTAGGGCGGTAAGTATGAAAATCTGCAGGATAAGCTAGCAGGCTGAAAACGCAGAAAGAAGATGTTCTAATTCTGAGGCAGGATTTCTTCTTCTCTGGGAAACCTCAGTTTCTGCTCTCAGAGTCTTCTACTGATCGGATGAGGCCCATCCACATTATTGATGGTAATTTTCTTTTTGTAAAGTCAGCTAATTCAGCATGGGGAAGGGGGTCATGGTAGACATGGGGGAGGGCTGGTCTCTCCACCTCCTCACACTAGGCTAACAGGGACACAGACACATTCAGATGCCTTTGCAGAAAGAGACACCAGAGGCTCCTGAAGTCACAAAGGGGCGGCATGAAGAAATCCTGCATCTCAGTCCCTCACAAGACAGCTGCCTCAGGCTACAGAAAACAATAGTCATGAACAAATTCAGGTCAGTGGCCATAAAGCGTAACACTCTGAACTCCCCACTACACACTCAAAGTGTCCCAAAGAATCACCGTAATCCAGTCTTGTCCCCTGTACCCCATCCCCCTTCCACATAAGGCCCTCCAGGACGCCACCTTTACAAGCTGTGAGAGACACATCACAGCCCTGGTCACTGTCACTGCCTGGGGTAGAACAAAAACAGGACCCGGTCAGAGCCTGCAGGAGATGTGGGAGAGGAGGAATTATGGCATAGGTGAGCTCCTCCACATCCGTCTCCCATAGTTACACACAGCCTGAGCACCTCCTTCTCTGCCTCTGGGAAGAAATCATCCTGTGAGGGGCTAGGGAAGAGACAGGGCCATGAGGTCCTAGAGGAACCCCCTAGTCTTGGACCCCAGAGAAGTTTCCAAAACTGTGACTGCAGACCCAGGGCAGGAAACATGAAGAAAGCAGGTGTGAGGACTGAACCAACTGCACGGTATGTAAAGACATACTTGGTACATAGTAGATACAAAGTTAGCTTTGGTCTTTGGTGAATTCATGAATATGATTGTATTAAAATGTAATTGCATTGCATAAACATTATAAAATGAAGAATACAAAAAATTAGGAAAGATTTTATCTTATACAAGGAGTGTACATTTCAATTCACTAATTTATTCCAATCGAGAAAATGTTATATGCTTATCTGTTGGTCTATGTATGAATTTTCTGTTACTGCATAACATATTACCACTAACTCACTGGCTCTACACAGCACCCATTTATTTCTCTACATTTCCTTAATGAGAAATCCAGGCCTGGTGTGAATGATTCTCAGCTCAGGATTTCACGAAGCTGTGTCCTCATCTTGAGGCTGGGGTCCTCCTTCCAGCTTATACAGAGCTTGGTGGCAGAATTCAGTTTCAGGCAGTTGTGGGATTGTAGTCCTTGTTCCTGGGCAGCTGTCAGGTGGAGGTGGGGTGGAGCTGTTCTCAATTCCTGGAGCCCGTCATATCCTTTGCCACATGGCCCCTTCATTTTCAAAGCTCACAGCGGAGGAAGCCCCTCACGTTGAATTTCGCTCACACTGTGAATCTCTTTGCTGAAGAAGAAATAAGTTGTTTTAAGAGCTCACCTGATTAGGACAGTCCAAGGCAGGATAATCATGGTCTTAAAGTCAACTGATTTGGGACCTTGCTTATATCTGCAGAATCCCTTCACAGCGGCACCTACAGTAGTGTTGATTGAGTAACTGGGGAAGGTGAATCACCAGGGGTGGTTATGTGGGGGCCATCACTGAATCATCCTCGCATAGCCAGGATCTTCCTTTTGTGTTTAATTGGGTCGTGGTAGGAAACTGAAGTTCAAATAAATAGGTTGTTGTGAATGTTAATAAAATACATCCTATTGATACATGGAAATACTGAAATCTTAAAACCAAATAACACTGAATATCTTTTAGTTAATTTAGAATAAATAAAAATTAAAGTGTAGTAATTCATTCTCTCTTTTGAAGCGCTATTGTCTATTGTTGTATAATAAATAACATGAAGTTTGACAACCCAAAACAACAAATACTTATCATCTCCCACAGTTTCCAGTGGTCAGGAATCTGGGAGAGATTTCCTTGAGTGCTTCTGGCTCAGGGCCTCTCACAAGGTTTATTGGGGGACACACCTGTCAGAGAATATGGGGAGGGAGCCAGAGAACCCTGGGAAAAGTGGCACATCCAGAGGCAAGGCCGACTCCAGTCCTGGACAAAAGGAAAGAAGGGTTGTTGGACGCATCCTAGACCACAGGCAATCTGAGGAGAGTTGAGCAAGGCCATGGAGGAGTCCTCCAGCCACAGATGGCCAACAGAGGAGTCTCCTGTTGCCCAGGAATGGTCTGTCTTAGTGTCCCTGCTGTTACGTGTCAGTGGCTGGGAACAGCCCATGGGAAGCAGGGCCTCTGCACCAATGCTGCTGAGAATGACAGAGCACGGGAGGGAGGCCTTGGGAAATTTCCTGGAAATGCGGCTCCAATCTTCCTCCTGAGGGGTCTGGGCCTTTGGAAATCAAACGCTGTCAGACTGGGTTGCTGGACGATTCTGTTCACATTTACAATGGGACAAGGGAAACAAGGAGGCCCCCAAGTGAATCTCTGGGTTCCACACAAACTCCTCCTGCCCTTACTGTGTATCAGCAGCCCTGCCTCGTCCTGGGGATGAGGGTCCATCACTCCTGCCTGGAGAGGAGGGGAGTGCTCTTCTTCCCTGCTTGTCTCTAGGCCCATACAGTCCTGTGGGCAACTGTAATGTGTAGCTCAATGGGCTCTTGTTTGTCCCCTTGTCTGAGTGCCTCCCTGTGGAAAACCAGGACCTCCTATACTACAAAGCCCAGATTTGGGATATGAGAAGTCCAAGTTCCACAGTGGGTGAATATAAGGGATGGGACATGCAGCCACACTCTCTTCCATCCCTTGGTTTCTGGACCCAAGTTTCTTCCTACTGAGAATACAGCACCGTAGTGATGTCTCTGATTCAATAAATGCACCGTGCCCTGAAAGATGGCACCCATTCCTCAGTGTTTCCTCCAAGCTGGTTCTGAGTTGTGCCTGTTGAAGGCCTGTCCAATGTTCTGTGTGGCCGGCAGCCCCCGCAGGGTGCAGATGGTGATAGGATCAGTGGATCCCCTGGTCATGGTCCATGCTGCACCCACTTCCATTTCCCTGTGAGGTGGGTCCCCCAGGAAGAGGCTGTGCTGAGAGTAATTCCAAACCTGTGGATCAGGAATGTCAGTGGTGCTGGCTGAGAGTCTGAGAATAGTGGGGGAAAAAGCCTACCCATGGAGGAAGTTTCTGTCCCAGTGAGGATGAATCTCTGGCCCTTCCATGATGAGGCTTAATGTGGTCAATGTGTCATTTAGTGGCACTTTGATCACCTAAAGAAATAGTGCCTAAGCAGGGCACATCAGGGCCTATCACGGGTGTCTAATCCTGACAAGTTGGATATTCAGAGGTGGCAGCAGCTAGTTCGGCCTTGGTAGGTGGGAGTCTCACCTTTTGGAGGCTACCTATGGGTCCAGCAGCACTGACTCCCACCGACCAAGGCCACTGAGTGACCTGGAAGGATGGGCACATGAAGGGAGCTATTGTGATTCCTGCATGCATGTTCCCACCCTGCAAGGCCTGAGATGGCCCCCAGTGAAGGCTGGCTAACTTCCATTTGTCTGCTTGGTTGTTCAGTGCCACCTCAGGGGCAGGTATTTTCTGGGCAGATGGGGTGTTAACTTGGGGTTTGGGCTCATTCCACATGGACCATTTCCATCTCATGATGGACACTGTTGGGCCTGTCCAATCTATAACTCTGTAGGTCACACAGAAGCCAATTCATACAACCACTTGGAATTACGTGGTTCTCAGTGTCCTGTGGTCAAGAATTCTATCTGATCAGGGCCAGCAACACTAAAAGTTGCTTCGAGAAGGGGGCATATATTTCTGCTGTGGATGACATGAACTTACTCCAGAATCCCAGGCCCTCCATTGTGACTTTCCCCACTGATGCTCAGTTCACTCCATCCTGCATCTTTCCCCAGCCCTGCCACCTCCAGCACCAGGGGGTCTGAGGGATGGTGGCTGCCTGCACCACAGCCTGGATCTGCTGCAGAGTCCTTTCCTGTGTAGGCTCCACTTGAATCTGGCATCCTCCTATGTCACCCAAAATGTGGCCAAAATGATATACCTAGATGTGGAATGTGGTGTTGTCAGAACCCAAAGAGATTCACCAGGCAGTCCGCTTCTCTCTCTTTTTTTTTTTTTTCTCACTGAAGATGAAAGATGCAACGGGTTTTTTTTTCTGTTTTCTTTTGTTTTTACTTGGAAGAAATATCTCTGCATGCACCTAGCCACTGGACCCATAAAATTTCACTGCAGTTGCCACTCCTAAATTTCTGTAAGATTTATCCTCCTCTTTCTGGGGTGCATGTGTTTTACCAAGACCTCCAGCATACTTTCCACCTTCTTTCTCATCCATCCCAATCTATGATGTTGCCAATGAAATGAACAGATTTAATATTCTGTAGAATGTCCGGCATCTCTTAAGACTATGTTACAGATGACAGAAGAGTTATAATAGCTCTCAGGGAAAGTGTAAATAAATGTGGTATGAATGTGAATAACTCCATATCCACTTTCTAGCTGGAAAGGAATGCACTCAGCAAATCCTCGGCTGCACACCATTGGCCTGCAGCCTCATTAACTTCTGCTAGCAGTGATATCCAGCCAGCATGGCAGCTGCAATCAAGACCACTACTTGGTCAAGTCTGAAGTAATCCTGTTCATTCTTTAGGTCCTATTGGGCTTCTGCAAGGACAGAATACACGGAGATAATAGGCAACTCCAGCACTATCCCACCTCCTACAGCTCTCTAATGGTGGTGCTACCCCCCACAATACCTGCAATAACCTCCAAGACCTGCCCTGGGACGTAATATCGCTTCGGTTGGGATAGGGGCAGTTTCAGAGGTTTCCCTTTAGCCTTCAGCGCAATAAGAGCCATTAATCCACAGGTTAGAGACGCGGTGTGGGGGTCACTCCAGCTGCCAGTGCATCAATGCCATTATGCACTCAAGGAATAGGGAACTAAACAGGGCTGGGACTACGGGATTGTGAGCTATAATGTGTCCTGGCCTCTGGAAGCCCCTCTGTGATGGGACACGATGGTGCTGTAGGAATCTGGGCATCAATGTTAGTTCACACACAAAGTCAATACTCACCCAAATTCTGCCTATTTCCCTTTCCCGGTGTACAGTCTCCTGTGTAAATGGCTGTAGGTTCCTTTGCAGAAGAGTTCAGGGAATTGACCCAGCATATACTCCCAGGGTGTTCCAGGGTTCTTCCTCCTAGGGATATGGACTCCCCTCCTCTGTCATTGGGATCTGAATCTGAAAGTTAGGTGAGGTCTAGGCATTGAGAACAGATTATGACTTTGTCTTGGATCAAACACCCTCAGCCTCCTGCTCCTCAATTCTTGCTTTCTTTTCATAGATATCAAGCAGCGCCCTTGCTGGCTGTCCTTCTGTTCTGAACCTGGGACACTGCCCTCTGTTAACCTTCCCCACACTCCCTGCAGGTCAAGCACAACCTTGCCTGCTCTGTTGGGGTTGTCATGGTAACTGTGACCTCTGACTTTTGCAGATCACTGCCACCACTTGATCTAGCTGAAGTAGTTCTAGCTGGAAGAATAGAGAATTAAAAGAAATCTTTGTGAAGCCACCACTCAGGTTTGTCAATTTGTAACATTTTAATATTATTGGCTATATGTAGTATACATAGAAAATAATAGAAATATATGCAGATAGCCCTGATTTTCCACAGTTCTGTTATGTATGTGTTTCAGTCGATACTGTACTGAGTAAAGCAAGGACTGCCAGTGGGGAGTGGCGGATGTCTTGAATTTGGTGAATGCCTTTATATTGTTACAAAGTTTTTAAAATCCCTTTGTTTTACATGATTTTAGACTTCGTATAAATTGTTTTTTGTTGAATGTATCATTCTGTGGCTTGCTTTATCATTTAATATGGTTTATGAGGTGAACCCACACCCATAGAAACAGTTACTTTGTTTTCAGTTCTGGATAGTATTCATGGGAGGAATATCCCACAATTTATCTCTTCTGTCCGTGACCTTTAGCTTGTTTCTGTTACAGACACTGCCACAATGAACATCCTGGGTCATCTCTCTCTGGTCCCCTGTGTGAGTTCCCCAAGATATGGATGTAGGAATGGGATTACTGTGCTTTTACCATGTGGTGTTATAGGATGTCAAATTGTTCTCTGAAGAGGTTGTATCAGCTCCCCGCTTTAAAATCTTCTTTGACATTTTACAGGTCAAGTTCTCTTCCTCCCCAACTGGCTGCTCCTCCTCAGTCCCCCTTCATTGGCTCCTTTTGCTGTAGATGCTGGAGCACTCTGGGGTGTTACTACCTTCCTAATCACTCCGGTGTCCTCCACTCTCAGGATTTTAAATATCATCTAGACACAGATGGCTCCCAAATATATATCTCTACATATTTCTATAATCAAAAAAATAATGGTACCAAAACAGGTACTCTGATATACTGCAGATGGGCCTGCAAACTGGAAATGTTTTCAGGAAAGGCAGTATGGCTATTTCTGTCCAAATTAAAAATGCATACACCCAGTAGTCCCACTTCTAGAAATGTGTCCAAAACACACCTGCATTCCTGAAAAATGACTGTATTCAGAATTATATGTTGCAACCCTGTTTGTAAAAGCAAAAAGAAAAGAAGAAAGAAAATGACAGATAAAAGAAAAAATAATCCAAATGTCTGTCACTAGGGGACTGGTTAAAAAAGCATTGCAAGCTGGGCACAGTAGCATTCACCTGTGAATACACTCTACTCCACTCTGGGTAACATAAGGAGGCCTCCCTTCTTAAGAAAACCCAAACAAGCACTGCATAGCTACACGGCAGAGTCTACAAACATTTAACACAAAAGAAGAAAGACATAGAAAACTCTTGATATTCCCTCATGAAGAAATAAAGCAAGGTGTAGAATAACATATAGAGTCTGCTAAAATTTGTGTGAAAAGGGACAAAGGATATATATGTACACATTTATATTTGCTTGCATATGCATAAAATATATTTGGAAGAATAAGCAAGAAGTTAATATCCTTGGTTGCCTGTTGGGGATGAGACAGGGTAAGAGAGAGACATTTTACCTTTTGAACATTTTGAATTTTGAATTTTGAACTATATCAAGAAATAAAAGATAATTCCTAAGGAGACCAAACAAACCCCCAAAAAATTCAAAATGAAAAACTTTTTAAAAACTAATGGAATTTTTTAACCTTTATCGAAATAAAATTTAAAAATTTTCTAAATATTATGTTATTCCTTTAACAAGGAGGTTTACCGCCATTTTAATTCAGTACGTTGTTTTCTTTTTAATTGCATGATCTTTCTTTACATCTGTCTTTTTTCCATTACAAGGTAAAATAACAGCATGATTAATTAAATGCAGTTTGTTTGGTGAAGGAAATTTTGTTCAAATCTTGGTCTAAGTGGGAAAGGGATTCTAGGGGATCCAGTGCAGCAGTTATGGGTTTCAGTATGCTCACGACGCCCTCCAGTGTTTGTGTGGGCTCATGGATGCCATATCTAGAAAACACTGGAATTCTCAAGCACACGTGACTGAAGCCATTTGCCAAATGTTCAAGGTCCTATTAATGGCCCATCTGAGTACTTGTCATACGCGGTCACCCTATCTTTGGATCAGAAGGTACACTCAGAGCTCCTAGTGTCACATCCCAGGCCCAACCTGCTGAGATTAGTCGAGGAAGGTCTGGAGGTCAGTGTCGTGAGGGGTGGGAAGACTGAGGGTGTGGGGGCCAGTTGTGGAGTGGCGGGAGCCCCAGGTGCTGTATGAAGCCGAGCCTCTGGATCACCCTGTGACCCCACATTTGGTCCCTTCCTGGGTGTCTTCCATTCCCAGGACTCCCAGGAAATAAAATGCTGCAAGAATGGGGTGGGGAGCTGTCCAGGGTGGGTCAGGTGTGGTCGCACTGATCCTACACCTCTGCCTCCCAGCCCACTCCCAGCCCTCTTCTGATATTAGAAACCAACACAGATTGCCTTAGGGTGGTGGTTCTCAAAGTGTGGTCCTGGGGGAAGCAGCATTGGCATCACCTGGGAACTTAGATATGCAATCTTCAGGGCCTGGCCTGGACCTACTGTATCAGAAACTCTGCATTTAACAAGCCCCCAGCAGAATTCTGCTTTTCAAATCAGATCTCTCTCTCTCTCTCTCTCTCTCTCTCTGTCTCTCTCTCTCTCTCTGTCTCTCTCTCTCTCTCTGTCTCTCTCTCTCTCTCTGTCTCTCTCTCTGTTTCAAGTCTCAATATTGAGTAGCTGTGACTTCTGGATAGTCAGGTGTCAGACACCCTTTCTTGCCAGGAGGCACCAGGCTCCTCAATCAGCTTAGTCTCATTCTTGGCCTGGCCCAGGGAAAGATGTTCACTTCCTGGATTCTGAGCAAAGCTCTCCTACCCTGGGTGCCTGTGGGGCTCCCACTTAGACCACAAAACAAAGCTCAAATAATATTATTTTCTTTTATGAGATTTTTGGTATTCCTTCATTAGTCAGAGCTGAAGATCTACATATATGTCTACCAAGCAAGTGTGCATGTCCCACTAGCCAGTTTGTTAGTCTTGCCAATGCACCACAACGTAGCAGCCTCTCAGTCTCTCCTTGTGAGGTGTTACCTGGAGTTCTTTGTCTCACCACCAAGAGAATTAAGGAGCATGGATACAAAGGGTGAGGTTGGAGCAAAAGTTTAATAAGCAAAAGAAGAAAGCTCTCCCCCACGGAGAGGGGGCTTGGAAGATGGTTGCCATTTTTACAGCTGAATGCAAAGCCTTTTATAAGAAACTGATGAGGGCTGGGTGTCTCATTTGCATAAGGCACGAATTTCCGGTAGCTCCACCCCATCCTCCTAGTGCCCATGCAGGCCCTTAGCTTAAGTTACTCCATATTGCTTTGTTTCCCTGACTGCCCACGTATCGGGGGACAGAATTTTCCATTGCGGGCATGTCTGGGCAAGTCTCCTGTGCAGCCTTTCTTATTTGTGCAGCTGTGGGCATGTCTTAGGCAAGCCCCCCTGTGCAAGTTCCCTTCTTTGTGCCTGCAGGCCGTTCTTTTGTTTGAAATAATTCAACTGAGGACCCACCATAACTGCCCGCCTGACCAGTTTCTTCCTTTTTCCTCTCTCAATTTGTGTTATGATTTCCTTACTGATCTCTGCCTGAGCAAGACTGGGCACGCCTTGAGGGCAAGGAGGGTTTATTTCCTCTTATCTCAGTCCCAGCTCCTCTTAAAACAATGCCCTGCACACAGTAGGTATTTGATAAATGTTTACCAAATGAAGGGATTGCCTGGAATGGCTTGGCAGACAGGAAAGCAGAATGAAAACCCACAGGCCAAAAGTGGCTGGGAAAAGATTTTCCAAATCCTAGTGATGGGCACAGGGCCCCCTAAAGTTCACTTTTGGAACCTTCCCATCTGTCTTGTTCTCCTTTCATCAGGGACATCCATGCCCCTCAAAGCCCCCCTAGTCACACACTACCTTTCAGGACCACCTTCCAGATCAGCCAGGTGCAAATCCCACAGACTTCCTGCCTGTGGCTCCAAATGCTCAGCTGAAATTCTGAGGCTAATTTCAGTGGAGTTAGAGGCTTATCCCTTAGGAGTGGCAATGGCTGGCTTTAAGATTCGAGAAGTAGTGTTTACATCTCAAAAGAGAAGACCGCGCCACCAGAAATGCAGAATTTTGGTATGTGCGGGTCCGGGGTCTTCAGGAGATAAAGAATGATAGCTCCAGGAGCGCTGGGACCCCCGTGCAGCCACCAGTCACCACAGCCTAGGCAGGGGTTGGGCTCTCACCTCGGCCCCTCCCCTGCACGCCCTGGATGTGGATGGTCCCCGAGTGTGAACTCGCCTGGGCTCTGACCCTGGGTGCCCTTCCCGCCGTTGTGGAGCCTCTGCGGGTGTGGTGCATGCACAGGGGGCTTCACAGGAGACCCGGGGCCCTTTAGAGTCTGAAGGCCAACATTCTTGGAGAATCCATGTCAGGCATTCAGGCTCTCAGGGACTCAGATGCCCAAACTATGAAAATGAGAGAATCTATCCCACTCTCTCAGGTGTGGTGAGATTCATATTATATGACAATCGGTCGTCTACACATTGATCACACTCTCAGTATTGCCTTTATCAGTCGGCCAATGCCTAAAACCCAAAGACGGGTCAGGCATGGTGGAGGACGAGTTCCTTTCTTACCTTCTGAAGGTGCCATCAACAGGAATTTCTACCCTGTGGAGTCTAGAGGAGACTTTCCTTGAAGCTGAGTTGGGAATGGACATTTGGACTTTTTTTTTTTTTTTTTTGAGACAGAGTTTTGCTCTTATCACCCAGGCTGGAGTGTAGTGGCACGATTTTGGCTCACTGCAAGCTCTGCGTCTCGAGTTCCAGCGATTCTCCTGCCTCAGTCTCCTGAGTAGCTGGAATTACAGACACCCACCACCACATCCAGCTAATTTTTTGTATTTTTAGTAGAGACAGGGTTTCGCTATGTTGGCCAGGCTGGTCTCGAACTCCTCACCTCGTGATCTGCCCGCCTCGGCCTCCCAAAGTGCAGGGATTACAGGCATGAGCCAATGCGCCTGGCCAGACGTTTGGACTTCTTTAAAATTTTATTTCAAATTTTTAAAACTTTCTAATAGGTATTTTATCTTCTTAGGAAGTAAAATCTCAAGTACAGAAAATATAAAAAGGTATAAAGAAGCAGAAGGATGGAAACTGCCAGTGTCTCCACTGGGAGGATCGGGATGAAACGTTGCCTGGCAGAGCCTCAGACTTCAGAGGGAAGGGGCCTGGAGCTGTGCTTTGCAGCTGCCCCTGAGTTTCCACTCCTGGTTTTTGTGCATGCGGGTGACTGTGCAGGATGACTTAGTGTCGTCATGCTTATGAGTTATTTTGAATCTTGCTTTTCAAAACTTTATTATCAATACACAACTTTCTATCATATTACAAAATCTTCTTACACACAGCTTTCACCAGCTGTAGGCTGTTTCCAAACAGAGGACCTAGCCACTCTTCTTTTGCATGTTTTTTTCATTATTGTAATTAATATCCTTATACCTAAAGATCTTTCTATATATTGGATTTTGTTTTAAAATCACAGATTTCTCAATAAAAGTTACTGGGTCAAAAGGCATGAAATTTTTTTTTTTTTTTGAGACGGAATCTCGCTTTGTCACACAGGATGGAGTGCAGTGGCGAGATCTCAGCTCACTGCAACCTCCACCTCCTGGGTTCAAGAGATTCTCCTTCCTCAACCTCCTAAGTAGCTGGGATTACAGGCACACGTCACCACACCTGGCTACTTTTTGTATTTTTAGTAGAGACAGAGTTTCACCATATTGGCCATGCTGGTCTCGAACTCCTGACCTCATGATCCACCCGCCTCGGCCTCCCAAAGTGCTGGGATTACAGGCGTGAGCCATCATGCCCGGCCGCATGAATATTTTTAAGCCTTCTCATACATATTATCAAATTACTTCTCAAAAGCAGTGTACCGGCTGGGCGCAGAGGCTCACGCCTGTAATCCCAGCACTTTGGGAGGCCCAGGCGGGCAGATCACGAGGTCAGGAGATCCAGACCATTCTGGCTAACACAGTGAAACCCCATCTCTACTAAAAATACAAAAAATTAGCCAAGCGTGGTGGCGGACGCCTGTAATCCCAGCTACTCTGGAGGCTGAGGCAGGAGAATGGTGTGAACCCAGGAGGCAGAGCTTGCAGTGAGCCGAGATCATGCCACTGCACTCCAGCCTGGGTGACAGAGAGAGACTCTGTCTCAAAAAAAAAAAAAAAAAAAAAAAAAAGCAGTGTACCAATTATATTCACCCATTTACTCAACCCATATTTATTGAGCCCCTTCTCTGTCCTTGGATTTCTAGATGCTGGAAATCCAAGTGGTGACTAGACAAGGTCCCTGCCTCGAAGAACATGACAACCAATGAAACAAATGAAAACAATTCTAATACCGGTGATAATTGTTATGGAGAAAATATGCTTGAGCTAGAAGGTTGATGGTGGTGAGGATGGTAGGAGATATAGTCTGTTGATCAAGATGTTCCTGGGAATTTGAACACTGGACGTCTGAGCAGAGACCTGAATGGTGTGAGGGGCCTTTGGATCCCTTTGGATCCCTGGGGAGCAGGTGCACTTGGGGAGTTCCAGTGGGAGGTGCCTGAGACAGGATTGAGCAGTGTTAGTGGAGATGAATGAGCTGGGCCGAGAGGGGTGGGATGAGGCCAGAGTGGCCAGAAGGATCCTGTGATGAGGGATGAGGGGCTGTAAAACATAGTGAGAGACTGGGGTTTCACTGTGCTAAGAAGGGAAGAGGCTGGCATGTCTGTGGGACGCGGAGGCGAGGATGAGCTCTAATTCCCATTTGAAATGCTCACTCTGACTATTGTGTGGGTGATGGACAGCGGGTGTGAGAGTCAGCAGGCAGCCCAGCTGGAAGGCCTTCTGGTTTACTATCTTGGAGAGGATGGCCCTGGGGAGGAGGCAGTAGAGGAGTGAGAAGTGATTGGATTTGGGGTTAATACATTTTTAAGATGGTGTTAGCAATAACTCCTTGGAGAACCACACATTTATTTGCTTACTTTAATTCTACAGCAACATTCGAGGTGGCTTACTGCAACAAACCCAGTGTAATAAATACATACGAATTACTTTAAAATCAACGCTAAGGAAAATATACATTTTAAAAGATTAAGGCTGGGGTAAAGCTGGAACATTACTAGGCAGGAAGGAACATCTGAAACATTTGCTGAAATGGAGTTGACCCTTTACCTAGCCATAGATTTGTTGCCTCACGATTTCATTGCATCTGAGCACCAGGGAGGGTGGTGGCAGTTCAGGTCACCAGTCCCTTGTTTCCTGATTCAGGAACAGCGTCCTGTTCTACACTTACAGTCAAAGCAAATTACATCATTATAAGATGTTTAATGATGAAGTCAAAGTCCACAGAGTCAGCAAGCAAGTGTAAAAACCTCAGGAGTCTAAGGACAGTCTACATTTCTCCCCAGAAATGGCCTCCCTATGTACTGTTGAAGGGAGAGGGTCCTTTCAAGGGGCTCCAAGACGCAGAAGCAACTGGGCTGCAGCTCGAAATAAAGATGTCCTTTCTACCTGCAGGTTCCACGAAGCCTCACAGGCAACTTTGGTGATCTCACCTGAGCTAGGAATTCGGTTTTTTGATGTGGGTTCTCTTTGAGCCATTGTGTGAGCTTTAAAATGTGATGTGGAGATTTTGCTATACTGGTGTTTCCTTGCCGGAATTTGACATCCATGGTGGCTCTGGCTTCCCTGTCTGGTCCCAGGAGGAAATGGAGTGTCCTGCACTTTTTTTCAGCTTCGCTTTGTGTAGGAAGGATCAGGAGACCTGGAGTCAGGGCTTCCTCCAATCTCACTCTCCTCCATAAAACAGTGTCTCCTAAGCTTTCTGGGGGTGAGGGCCTTGACACCGTGCTGTTCTGATGAATATAACTGTCCCAGCTCCTGAAATAAAAGCACAGGTGCACAAAATACCGACTGTTGCAAGCAATGCCTAGGTGGGGATGTTTCCTAGGCGCCAGGTTTAGCACTTTGACTTTGTATGTACACACACAGGGGCCAGGCATTGTGGTTTATGCCTGTAATCTCAGCACTTTGGGAGGCTGAGGCATGAGAATTGTTTGAAGCCAGAAGTTCAAGACCAGCATGGGTAACAAAGCAAGACCCAGTCTCTACAAAAAAAAAAAAAAAAAAAAAGGGTATATATATACACAAACACACACACACACACACACACACACACACTGGGTGTGGTGGCTCCAGTCTGTAGTCCCAGCTACTCGAGAAGCTGAGGTGGGAGGATTGCCTGAGTCCAGGAGTTGGAGCCTGCAGTAAGCTGTGATCAGGACACTGCAGACTGTCAGAGTGAGACCCTGTCTCAAAAACAAACAAACAAAACAAAAATACATACACACACACACAGCCAGAGCCAGCGCTGAGGGAGAGGCTGGACTCAGGGGCGGGGTCACAGGCGTTTCTCAGGTCCTTCTCGTGGTCTTTGTCTCTTTTTCCTGGAGGTGGGGGACTCTGTACTTCATGAGGAGAAGTTGTCTGAAGAAGGTGGGAGATACTCAGGAGCAGGGTCCAGAGAGGGAAAAGGATGAGGAAGTGGAGACAAAGCAGAGGGGGCAGGACAAGAGGAGAGCACGCAAGGAATGGGGATGGGGAGGACCTTCCAGCTGTCAGAAAGGTCACCCGCAGAATTTGGCTCTTGGTTTTTCTGCTTTATCAGGATGGATTTGGGAAACCAGCCGGAGTGGGAGATAAGGAGTCTACTTTGCAAAGGACACATGTGAGCCTCCTCCTAGTTTGAACTCATGAGTAGCAGCTAACAGCCAGGACCCTTGTGTCGGGCACGTGAGGCCCCTTTGCAACCAGGGCGTTTTCTGCACCCCACCAGCCACCCCTCCTGGGACCACGCTGGTTCCCTCCAACCCTAACAGGGAGAGAAGGAAGGAGAGGTCTGGAGGGTTTGGGTCCTCCCTTGTGCTCCTTCTTCCTCTGCCATTTATTCCCTGAGTGTCCTCGCCTTTCCTCCGCTACCTGGACCCCACTACAGTAATGCACACTGGCCTGGACTCCCTTTGTAACCACCAAGTGGGTTCATCTTGCCGGCTACCTAGACGAAGCCGATTTATCAAGACAGGAGAATTGCAACAGAGAAAGAGTAATTCATGCAGAGCCAGCTGTGCGGGAGACCAGAGTTTTATTACTCAAATCAGTCTCCCCAAAAACTCTCATCAGTTTTTAAGGATAATTTGGTGGATAGGGGGGCCAGTGAATCGGGAGTGCTGACTGGTTGGCTCCGGTATGAAATCATAGTGAGTGGAGGCCATTCTCTTAGGCTGAGTCAGTTCCTGAACGTGGGGGCCACAGGACTGGTTGGCAGGTCCAGATGGGGCCCTCCAGCTGTTAAAAATACAAAAACCTGAAAAGACATCTCAAAAGGCCACTCTGAGGTTCACAATAGTGATGTTACCTTCAAGAGTAACTGGAGAAGTTGCAAATCTTATGACCTCTGGAATAATGGCTGGTAATATTCAGAATTCCAGCCCCTCTCATCCTAACTTAATGGCCGGTGGCCTTTCTTCGTTTTACAAGAACAGTTTCCCTTTAAACTATAAACTAAATTCCTTCCCAAGGCTAGTTCAGCCTACGCCTAGAAATGAAGAAGGGCAGTTTAGCGGTTGGAAGCAAGATGGGGTCAGTTAGGTTTGATGTCTTTCACTGTCATCATTTCCTTAGTTATAATTTTGCAAAGGCGGTTTCACCTTGGCTTCAGCCCCACCCATGCAGTAACACTGTGCCCTGTCCTTCCAATCACTGCCACTAGGTGGAAGCAGAGCGTGCATCGCCCAGATGGGCTAGATTCTCACAGGCTCACTGCTAGAACGAATATTCTTGAGACTTTAGATCTGAAAGTCAGCCTGATTTCTGAAAGCCTTGGACCGTTTCCAAAATCAAATCAATACTCCAGGAACAAGATCTGCCTCGACTTTGCCTCTACCCAAGGACGCTATGGCAACGCAGTTTTCAAACGTGCTTTGAGAATAAATGGAACAGGGTCCCCTGTGTCCCCACTCATTTGCGTTTTCCTTTTTATTACAGCCAACCGCTTTTGTAAATATTGTTACACATCTCTCTATTCCACTGAAAACATCTCTTTCAAATGCACTTTAAGAAAGATTCAATGCCATGAAAATATGAAGGATCCTCTTGAAAGAGAGTTTCTGGTGGTGGGTTTTAATGAACATTTTCTTTTTTAAAACTCTGTAACTATTTCGTTGTGGGGCTTAGCTTCATATTTTCAAACTGAAATATTCTCTTCCTTAACCTCCACATAAATCCAAGTTTATAATTTTTATTATTTTAAAATTTTATTTATTTTTCTGTTTTGGGGACAGGGTCTCCTCCTGTCACTCAGGCTGGAGTGCAATGGCACAATCATAGCTCACTGCAGCCTGGAACTCCTGGGCTTAAGCAATCTTCCTGCCTTCGATTCCCAAAGAGCTGGGATTATAGTCATGAACCACTGCAATCCACCCAAATCCAAGTTTACACTAAAAGATAAAATTCCAACATTGTAGGGGATTGGTCAGGTGGTGGGAATAATTATAAAGATAAAGTTATAGGAAATAGACACAAACCTTCTTGGAAGGTGGAAAGTTTTGCAAAAGCCTCAGGATAGGGTTATAGCTGAAAGCAGCCTAATCCCCTTACCTTGAGTTAATAGCTTCGAGTAAGTACAAAGACATGTAAGAGAGTTTATCTAAAGAGCATGTTTACCTTTGATCATTTGTAGGACTGCTCTCTCCGGGGGACTGCGACCAGATTAATTACCCACAGGTGTGTTGACTCAAAGCCTTTGTCATTAAATCTGTGCTGAATAAAGGCCCACAGGGCCAGATAGTCAGGGCACGCAGCTGCCACAACCCTTTCTGTGAGTGGCCTGGCCCTCTGGTGCACTCTTTCACTGAATATCGGTGTCTGAGTACATTATTCATCCATCGTGCAGCCTGGGTCTGCCGGTCAGACCCTGGCACAACATTTAAGAGGAAATGAAAGTCACAAAGTTATCCCAGTCTCTGGAGTCACTGTCAAAACTTTGGTGAGGAATCTTCCAGGTTTTCCCCTACTTCAAATATATATTAATATTATGTAAGTGATATTAGTGGCATTTTCGCCCAGGCTGGAATGCAGTGGCATGATCTCGGCTCACTCTAACCTCTACCTCCCAGATTCAAGCGATTCTCCTGCCTCAGCCTCCCAAACAGCTGGAACTACAGGCACCCACCACCACGCCCGGCTAATTTTTGCATTTTCAGTAGAGACAGGGTTTCACCATGTTGGCCAGGCTGATCTTGAACTTCTGACCTCAGGTTATCTGCCTGCCATAGCCTCCCAAAGTTCTGGGATTACAGGTATGAGCCACTGTGCCCAGCCTCCTTAACCTTTTAAAAAAGGTTAAAAGTATGCTGGGCACATCTTTTCATAGCAATACTTAAAATTGCTCTTACTCTTTTTAATGACAACATAGAATTTTATCGTGTAGCTGTTCTTTGGGAGACGATTAAAATCTTCTTTATCTTCACTGTGGTAGTGGAGATGTGGGTGTGTACAACAGCTAAAATTCAACAAGTTGAACATTTTAAATAGATGCAGTTTATTGCATGCAAAGTATGTCCCAATAAGATGATTTAAAAATATTATCCTCTTTGAGACTTGTACTTTGCTTATGTGAAACAAAACAAAACAAAAACCCTGTTCTTGTGCCCAGGAGACACACCCTGACACATCTGGAGGTAGAGGGTCATGCTGTCTGCAACTTACCCTCACAGGCTCTGAAATAACAATAATAGCAGCATATTTACAGATTTAGAGAGAGAGAAATTTGTGGTAAAAATGTTCATAAGTAAAACTAGATAAAGGGCAAAAATAAAAGAAATAATGAAACTACGTCTTTTAAATTTTCTCTCTCCGGCCGGGTGCGGTGGCTCACGCCTGTAATCCCAGCACTTTGAGAGGCCAAGGCAGGCAGATCACGAGGTCAGGAGATCGAGACCATCCTGGCTAACACAGTGAAACCCCGTCTCTACTAAAAATACAAAAAATTAGTCGGGCGTGGTGGCAGGAGCCTGTAGTCCCAGCTACTCCAGAGGCTGAGGCAGCAGAATGCCCTGAACCCGGGAGGCGGAGCTTGCAGTGAGCCAAGATCGCGCCACTGCACTCCAGCCTGGGCGACAGAGCAAGACTCCGTCTCAAAAAAAAAAAACAAAAAACAAAAAAACTCTCCTTTACTTTTTCTCTCCCCTTTTCTTCCTATCTCTTCCCTCATTTCTTCAACACGTCCCCCCATCCTTCCCTCTTTTCTCCATTCTCTGCATTTGATCCCCGGTATATTCCAGCCTCCAGGCCAACAAACTTCTCCGCGTCCGCCGGGAGCAGGTCAGGGAAGGGACGCGAGGCGGCGCTGTCACCGCATTCTGAGCGCCGCAGCTCCCTGGGCCCCTTGTATCATTTCAGTGAAGGTCACTCCAGTCTTTCATGGAGGCCAAACTAAGGGTGTAAATTAGGATCCTCACTGAAGTGGCGGGACCCTAAGAGGCTTTTTCCTGGCCCCTTAGTTGTGGGTTTTCCTGCGGGCGGCGCAGCCGGTTTCCATCAGAACCGCCCAGAGGCGGACGCTGCCTTCCTGGGGTGACGGAGCAGCAGGAAGCGTTTTCGGATCCTGGAATACGTGGGCGGCCCGTGGGAGGGGCTGAGGCGCAGTTTCCTACTCACCCGGATCCGAATCCTCCGCGGTGCTGTTTCAAGAGAGCCGGATTCCAGATCACGCTCCAGCCCGGACTCGGAATTCCTGCCCTGCGGGTCTGCATTTTCATAACGGGCAGGTGTGAGTGCCCTGCAGCTGGAGACCAGAAGCCTGAAGGCAGCTCGGCCCTCCCCAGCCCACAGCGCCGTTATTCCGTTTCTATATCAGTAAACACATTTCATTTTCCGTAGACCAGGGCGGGGTGACGGGTGATCCCAGTCCTCGCAGTGAATTCCGGGCAGCAAAATTCAAAACACATGCGGCCAAGGCCGGGCACGGTGGTTCACGCCTGTAATCCCAGCACTTTGGGAGGTCGAGGCGGGCGATCACCTGAGGTCGGGAGCTCGAGACCAACCTGACCAACATGGGGAAATCCCGTCTCTACTAAAAATATAAAATTAGACGGGCTTGGTGGTGAATGCCTGTAATCCCAGCTAGTCGGGAGGCTGAGGCAGGAGAATCGCTTAAACCTTGGAGGCGGAGGTTGCGGTGAGCCGAGATCGCGCCATTGCACTTCAGCCTGGGCAACAAGAGGGAAAACTCCGTCGCAAAAACTTTCGGGGGCGGAGCGGAGCCCCGCCCTGGGTTATGTAAGCGACCGCGCTGGGCCGTTTCTCTTTCTTTTCCGGACCCTGCAGTGGCGCCTAAAGTCTGAGAGAGGGAAGTCGCCTCTGTGCTCGTGAGTGCATGGGGTATAAGGCAAGTGCTGAGGGAGAAAACGTAGTTGATGGGGTAGAGCAGACGGGGTTGGAGGTGGGGTGGAGGGGGAGGGCTTTGGACAGAAGACCTGGGAGGCTTGGTGGGGGAGGGGCGCCCAGGCCTGGGCACTAAGAAACAAGTCCCCTGGAGCTCAAGACCATCTCGGCCTCCCCTAGCCCAAGAGAGGACTGGCTTCATGACTCCCTGAAACCATTTCTAAATGCCTTAGAACAAACCTTGCATATTCATTATTGTTATTGAACTATTAAAAGTCTTTTTTGGGGGCGAGCTGAATCAGATCCTTTGCTGGAGCTGGCACACGGAGGAAGTCCTGGAGGGAGGGTAGACACCGTGGAGGTAAGGGCTTGGGACCTGTGTCAGGAGAGCTAGGTCCATCTCCCTCCCAGTCTCTCACTAGGCTTATGATCTTTAGCAGTGAAAATAATCTCTCTAAGGTGGGGAAAGGACCCCGGTCCCTGCTGTGCTCAATAAATTATGAGGATCAAAATAAATTATCAGTGAATGTGAATGGGAAAACTAAGAAATTGTTAAAATTCTCGAATACATTACATTTTCATCCACAGAAAAGTGTAGGCTAGGGATCATGGGGGAATAGTTAGTAATGACAGGGATAGTTGAACTTAAAAAAAAAGTTTGTGAGGCTGACAAAGAAGAAACGGACACATTTCCTGATCTTGGAGGGTTCATAGGGTAGAAGATGGTAGATGACAGCTGGGTGTGGTGGCACTCGCCTGTAGTCCCAGCTACTCAAGAGGCTGTGGTGGGAGGATTGCTTGAGCCCAGGCATTCAAGGCTGCAGTGAGCTATAATCATGCCACTGCATTCCAACTGAGTGACACAGCAAGACTCCTCTCTTAAAAAAAAAAAAAAAATTCATGGCAGGGCACAATGAGTACTATCAGGAAGGTTCAAACCACGGGCTAAATCAGTAGTTCTAAAACTTGACTACACATCGGAATCACCTAGGGAACTTTAAAAGATACTAAGATTTAGGTCCAACCTGGGTTTACTGATTTAACAACCTAGGTTGTGGCTGTGGCCTGGGAACATGGATATTAAAAACTCTCCAGGTGGTTCTACGCAGTGGCTAGGTTTGATGACCTCTGCCTAGATGTCCCAACGACTAAGAGATGTGCGTTGGGGACAAGGCAATTCTCTTAGTAGAAAGAGGCTTTCGGGACAGCATTCTTATTATTGAGAATTGAGAATTCATATGCCACACAATTTATCCTTTTAAAGTGTGCAGCTCAGTGGCTTCTAGCGTAATCACAAGGTTGTGCCACCGTCACCACTGTCTACCCTGGAAGATTTTTTTTCCTTTTTTTCTTTTTTCTTTTCTTTTTATTTTAAAGGCTAGTCAAGTGAAACAGTGGGAGTGAAGAAGAAACAAAGACATCTATAACTGGTTGTGATCAATTAGTTGTAAACACTGCACTCAGACCAGCCTGGGAAGATTTTAAGGATATGGTGTGGTCTGATGGGTTCCAAGGCAGAGGTTACAATAGCCTGGAAGAGGGAGACTGCTTAGGCAGTGGCATCCTGGTGGGATAGGGTGAGGAGATCCCAGAGCCCACGTTTACTGCAACCCTGGGGAGATGTCACCAGAGAAATGGGGGTGGTGCCAGACAGCAGATTGTGGCAGCTGAGGTTTTCCACGGTAGAGTAGAAGCATCCATCATGTGTGACATTCAGCAGATGGGGCGCTGTGGGTGGCTTGGAGCACTCTGGTTGTAACTGAGGCAGGCACCGTGTTTAGGAAGGCTGTGCAGTAATCTAGGCTGAAGGGAGGGGAAAGCCTAGACTAAGATTGTGGCTGTGGGATTGAAATAGCGTTGAAGGAGCTGACTTTGACTCCCGGAGATGATGGGGAAAGAGGAAATCAGAAGGGACCAAGGATGGTGATGTTCTTAAGAGAAACTGAGGAGGAAGAGAGGATGATATGGTGGCAGACGTATAGAGAGTCTTTGTAGATCTCTCACATTGGAGGGGACTATGGTCGGAGGTACAGATGTCCTAAGGCAGGCTGGAAAAGGGAGTCTGGAGAGAGCTTGGTGTTGTAGTGAACCACAGGGAGCCGCCTCCTTGGCCCTGTGATCACCCAGGGACTGAATAGAGAGGCGGCCCTGGGAGACTTCAGACACTTAGAGGATATAAGGGGGTGAAAGGGGGGCCTGGCTTTGAGTCAAAGGGAGGAGAAGGAGATTATAAAGCTGAAACGTCTAAGAGAGTTTGTGGTCTGAGCGGTTCTACTGCGGCAGGTGCTTCTGAGAGGCAGAGGTGGCTGAGATCTGGAAACAGGTCTGCAAATCTGGTCACTGGTCTCATTGCCAGTAACGCTGTGCGCGGTTGAGGGAGTGTGTTGGGAGAATAGCCACGCGTTGTCTGTCCTGGAAGGAACAAGCCAGTGAGAGCCGGTTTAATGGGGCGGCCGGCGAAAGGGGCTTGGTGAGGCCCGCGCTCCTCGGGGTGGGGGCGCGGGGATGGGTGGTCGCGATGCCGGGAGGGCAGGCAGGGCCCTGGCCGTGCTTATGAAGTTGGAGCTGTACTCTCAGCTACTCGAAGCTGGTCCCTGCTTTAGGCTGCGCTCCCGCGTGCTCCCCATTTTCTGGGCCCCAGGTCCCGCCTTCTAAATCTCCCCAGGTCTCCAGCCCACTGGAATTTTCTCTTCCAAGCGTGGCCCCGCCCTCTCCGCTCGTGATTGGCCCTAAGTTCCGGGCCCCAGTTTCATTGGATGAGCGGTCGGGGGACCGGGCCAGGTGACTAAGTTTCCGCGGCGCCTTCTCCCCGGCCACTGCTTGAGCCGCTGAGAGGGTGGCGACGTCGGGGCCATGGGGCTGGGCCCGGTCTTTCTGCTTCTGGCTGGCATCTTCCCTTTTGCACCTCCGGGAGCTGCTGCTGGTGAGTGGCGTTCCTGGCGGTCCTCGGCGGAGCGGGAGCAGTGGGACGTTTCCGGGGGTCGGGTGGGTAGCGGCGAGCGCTGTGCGGTCAGGGCGGGGCTCCTGTGCCCTGTCGGTGGCGCAGGGAGCTGGACGCGGCCCGTTACCGCCACACTTCAGCCCTGCTTCCCCGTCACTTTTCAGTCCTCCTCGGGATCGCGCATCACCTGCACTTTCTGGTCTCCTCCTGCTCTTTCTCTCCTCGCGTCTCCTCCGCTTCCTCTCACTTTTCGGACAAACCAGTCCTTCTGAGGCCCATGGGTTCCCGGGCTGCCTCCGGGGCTGCTCCTGTGAATGGCATTCGAGTGCCCTTCCAGCGCGGCCACTGAAGCAGCCACAACCCCCGGTGCTCGGGGCGGCTCTCAGGTCCCTGAAGTCCTGTCCTCTCCCGGAGCCGACGTGTTCTCAGCTCCTGGGCCGCAGCTCCTGGAGTAGGGGCCCTCCTTTCTCGGGACCCGGAGCTGGTGCTTCCTGCTGCTGTGGGGACTGTGGGGGGTCCTGACTCTCAAGCTGAGGGGTTGGAGTCTGCAGGCTCCGGGCAGAGGATTCTTCCTGCGACTTCTCTCATCCCCAGCTCATTCTCCCCTCGCCTCTGGCTCCGAGGGTCCTCTCCTCTCTCTCATCCCACCCCTACTAATGACCAGTGATCTAAGGACACCAGATTCCCTCTCACCTCCTCCCTGCCCATCTCAGGGCCCGCTGAGTCCTTTTGCCCTCCCAGCTCCCTGCTACCCCTTCCTGTGTGCTGTTCTCTGATCCATTTCTAGGGTGTCCTCTGCCCTCATCCCCTGTCCCCGCCACCGAAGGTCCCTCCTGCACCCCTTATGGGCCTTTCCTACAAGCAGCCTTCACCCAGTGCTGCCCCTATGCCTCCCCGTTCCCAAATGTCCCTGACTCTAACTTTCTGGTGCTGCCTTTTATCCGGGGGGGTCTTCCCTCCATCCCACTCCCCTCCAGACCCCCAAGGGGAACCCTGATGCTAATGGCAGTTGGGCCTTAGGCAGGGCGCAGGGCAGCGCAGATGCCCCCTCCCCTCCAGTGCAGATGCCTGCTCTGGACCCTGCCTCATGGTGGCCCCTTCCCCACTCCTTCATCCTCAGCCTCACCCTCTTGAGGACCCCACCCTCCAGCCCACAGGTGCTGGACCATCCCTCCCTGGTCCCTCCGCCCCTCTCCACCTTGGGACCTTGTGCTGCTCCTGTCTCTTGCCCAGCTGCCTTGGGCCCTCAGCACGTTCTCATCTTTCAGTGGGAAAGTGGGAGTGCTGGAGCATATGACAGTGCTGAGCATCTTTCCCAAGCCCCACCCTCCCCCAGAGCACCCTCCCCTCCTGTCCTCACCCTACCCCAAGTTCTCCCACAGTCACTCCTGCCCCATGCTCATGCCGCCCTCCAGTTCTTGCTCTGCCCATCTCCCCTCCCCAACCCAGACCTAAAACAGGCTGTTGGGCCAACTGTTCCTTGACCTTCCTTCTTTTCTTTTGGTTCCTTGACCCCAGTGGGCTCTCACTCCCCACACCGCATATCTAAAATCTGTTTTGCCTGCTCTTGGGGTGCCACTGCTCCCCCTCCAGCATTACTCCTTTTGGCAGGTCCTTCCTCAGGCTGAGAATCTCCCCCTCTACCTTGGTTTTCTCTCTCTGGCCAGCACCCCCACCCCTTGCTTTGTTTTTAATTTTTAACTTTTGTTTGGGTACGTAGTAGATATATATGTATATATTTATGGGGTACATGGGATATTTTGACACAGGCCTACAATATGTAATAATCACATCAGGGTAAATGGGTTATATCACAACAAGCATTTATCCTTTCTTTGTGCTACAAACAATCCCATTATGCTCTTTCAGTTATTTTTAAATGTACAATAAATTATTGTTGACTGTACTCACCCTGCTGTGCTATCTACTAGATCTTATTCATTCTAATTATATTTTTGTACCCATTATTAACCATCCCTGCTCCCCCACTCCCCACTACCCTTCTCAGCCTCTGGTAATCATCATTCTATTGTCTCTCCCCATGAGGTCCATTGTTTTAAATTTTGGCTGCCACAAATAAGTGAGAACATGCAAAGTTTGTCTGTCTGGGCCTGGGGCTTATTTCACTTCACAGGATGACCTCCAGTTCTTTGCAAATGACACGATGGCTGAATAGTTCTCCACATACACATGTACACCACATTTTCTTTATCCATGCGTCTGTTGATGGACACTTAGATTGCTTGCAGATCTTGGCTACTTTGAATAGTGCTGCAATAAACATGGAAAAGTAGATAGCTCTTTAATATACCGATTTCCTTTCTTTGGAGTATATGCCTAACAGTGGGAGTGCTGGAGCATATGACAGCTCTATTGTATTTTTAGTTTTTGGAAGAACCTCCACATTGTTTCCCATAGTGGTTGTACTAGTTTACGTTCCCACCAACAGTGTACATCCTCACCAGCATTCCTTATTTCTACATCCTCGCCAGCATTCCTTATTGCCTGTCTTCTGGATAAAAGCCAGTTTATCTGGGGTGGGATGTTATCTCGTAGGAGTTTTGATTTGCCTTCATCTGTTGACGAATGATGTTGAGCACCTTTTCATATACCTGTTTGCCATTTATATGTCTTCTTTTGAGAAATGACTATTCAGATCTTTTCTCATTTTTAAATTGGATTATTATATTTTTTTTCCTATAGTTGTTCGAGCTCCTTATATGTTTCAGTTACTGATCCTTTGTCAGATGAATAGTTTGAAAATATTTTCTCCCATTCTTGGATGGTCTCTTCATTTTGTTTATTGTTTCCTTTGCTGTGCAGAAGCCTTTTTACTTGATATGATCCCATTTATGCAATTTTACTTTGGTTACCTGTGCTTGTGGGGTATTACTTTAAAAATCTTTGCCCAGTCCAATATCCTAGAGAGTTTCCCCAATGTTTTCTTGTATAGTTTCATAGTTTGAGGTCATAGATTTACATCTTTAATCCACTTTGATTTGATTTTTGTATATGGTGAAAGACAGGGTCTAGTTTCATTCTTCTGCATAAGGATATCTAGTTTCCCCAGCACCATTTTTGAAGAGACTCTCCTTTGCCAATGTGTGTTCTTGGTACCTTTGTTGGAAATGAGTTTACTGTAGATGTATGGAATTGTTTCTGGGTTCTCTATTCTGTTTCATTGGTCTGTGTGTCTGTTTTTATGCCAGTATCATGCTGTTTTGGTTACTGTAGCTCTGTAGTATAATTTGAAGTCAGATAATGTGATTCCTCTAGTTTTGTTCATTTTGCTCAGGATAGCTTTATCTATTCTGGTTTTTTTGTGGTTCCATATGCATTTTAGGATTATTTTTATTATTTCTGTGAAGAATGTCATTAGTGTTTTGATAGGGATTGCATTGAATCTGTAGATTACTTTGGGTAGTATGGATATTTCAACAAAACTGATTCTTCCAATCCATGAACGTGGACTATCTTTTCCATTTTTTGTGTCCTTCAATTTTTTGCATCAGTGTTTTTTGTTTTTGGTTTTTGAGATGGAGTTTCACTCTTGTTGCCCAGGCTAGAATGCAAGGGTGTGATCTTGGCTCACCGCAACCTCCGCCTCCCAGGTTCAAGCTATTCTTCTGCCTCAGCCTCCCAAGTAGCTGGGATTACAGGCATGTGCCACTGTGCCTGGCTAATTTTCTATTTTTATTAGAGATGGGGTTTCTCTATGTTGGCCAGGCTAGTCTTGAACTCCTGACCTCAGGTGATCCACCTGCCTCGGCCTCCCAAAGTGCTGGGATTACAGGCATGAGCCACCACGCCCAGCCACATCACTGTTTTATAGTTTTTATTGGAGAGGTCTTTCACTTCTTCAGTTAGGTTTATTCCTCAGTATTTTATTTTATTTGTAGCTATTGTAAATGGGATTCGTTTCTTGATTTCTTTTTCAGATTATTTGCTGTTAGCACTGATTTTTGCATGTTGATTTTGTATCCTGCAACTTTACTGAATTTGTTCTTCAGTTCTAATGGTTTTTTGGTGGAGTCTTTAGGTTTTTCCAAATATCAGACCACATGATCTGCAAACAAGGATAATTTGACTTCTTCTTTTCCAGTTTTAATGCCCTTTCTTTCTTTCTCCTGTCTGATTGCTCTAGTTAGGATCTGCAGTACTGTGTTGCATAACTGTGGTAAAATTAGTCATCCTTGTCTTATTCCAGATCTTAGAGAAAAGGCTTTCAGTTTTCCCCCATTCAGTATGTTACTAGCTGTGAGTTTGTCATATATGGCTTTTATTATATTGAGGTCTGTTCCTTGTATACTTAGTTTTTTGAGAGTTTTTATCATGAAGGGATGTTGAATTTATCAAATGCTTTTTCAGTATCAATTGAATGATACTGGCTTTTGTCCTTTATTCTGTTGATATGACGTATTACATTGATTGATTTGTGTATGTTAAATCATCCTTGCATACCTGGAATACATTCCACTTGCTCATAAAGAATGATCTTTTTTAATGTATTGTTGAATGTGGTTTGCTAGTATTTCCTTGACGATTTTTGCATCGGTGTTCATCAGGGATATAGGCCTGTAGTTTTCTTTTTTATGATGTGTCTTTGCCTGGTTTTTGTATCAGGATATTCCTGGCTTTGTAAAATGAGTTTGGAAGTATTCCCTCCTCCTCTATTTTTCAGAACAGTTTGAATAGGACTGACATATGTTGTTCTTTAAAAGTTTAATTGTGGTAAATTATACATTACATAAATTTTACTGTTTTAACCACTTTTAAGTGTATACTCGGTGGCATTAGATACATTCACATTTTTGTGCAACCCAAAACTCTGTGCCCATTAATCGGTAACTCCCCATTCCTCCCTACCTCTGGCCCCTGGTAACCACCATTCTACTTTTTGTTTCTATGAATTTGACCACTCTAGGTACCTCATTTAAGCAGAATCATGTAATGTTTGTCTTTTTGTTTCTGGCTTATTTCACTTATAATATTTTTGAGGTTCGGTGGGCACAGTGGCTCACGCCTGGATTTCCAGCACTTTGGGAGGCTGAAGCAGGTGGATCACCTGAGTTTCGGAGTTCGAAACCAGCCTGGCCAACATGGTGAAACCCCATCTCTACTAAAAATAATAAAAGTTAGCCGGGCGTGATGGCGGGTGCCTGTAATCCCAACTACTTGGGAGGCTGAGGCAGGAGAATCGCTTGAATCCGGGAAGTGGAGGTTGCAGTGAGCTGAGATCAGGCCACTGCACTCCAGCCTGGGCAACAAGAGTGAAATTCCATCTCCAAAAAAAAAAATAAAACAATAATAATAATAATATTTTTGAGGTTCATCCAAGTTGTAGTATGGGTCAGAATTTCATTCCTTTTAAGGATGGATAATACTCATTATATGTATGTACCACATCTTGGTTATCCATCCCTCAGACAATGGACACTTGGGTTACTTCTACCTTTTGGATATTGGCAAATATTTCATTTCCTTTGGGTATATATTTATTTCCTTTGGGTATTTCTTTTGGGTATATATCCAGAAATAGAAGCAGTACACAGGGGCTTCATTTTCTCTGTCTCTTTGCCAACCTTGCTCTGTGTGTGTGTGTATGTGTGTGTGTAGGTGTGTGATAACAGCCATCCTGATTGGTTTCAGGTGGCATCTCATTGTGGTTTGGATTTGCATTTTCCTAATGAGTGCTGATATTGAGCATCTTTTCATGTGTTTGTTGATCATTTGTAATTTTCTTTGAAGAATTGGCCATTTAAGTCTTTTGCCCATTTTTTCCCCCACATAGCTTCTCTTATCAGATATATGACTTGCAATATTTATTTCATTTCGGGGTTGATTGCTTTTTCACTCTGATTGTGCCCTTTGATGCATAGATGTTTTGAATTTTCATCAGTCTACTTTGTCAGTTCTTTCTATTCTATCTGTGCTTTGGTGTCATATCCATGAAAGCACTGTCAAATCCTATGTCATGAACATTATCCCCAATGTTTGCTTCTAAGAAATTTTTAGGTTTTAGTTCTTGAGTGTAGAGTTTAGGTCTTTGATTCATTTTGAGTTAATTTTTGTATATAGTGCAAATTAAGGGTCCAATTTTATTTTAACACCCCCTGCCCCCAGAACTATTTGCTGAAAAGATCAACTGACTCTTTGTCACCTGCTCACCCCAGTGGACACTAGCTGTTCCATCCAATTGCTGTCCTGGGGCCTTGTCATGCTACTCTTCCACTTTGAACCCAAGCCCACACCGTTCGTTGCTCCCCTCTGGGATACTGACCCCACTATAAACTTCTCTGGGGCTACAACCTTCCTACCCTTTGTGCCTCATGACCACCCCCTCCCTTGTCCCCGCCATGCCCATGATGAGTCTCTTCTCGAGGCAGCTCCCCTTGCCTCCATCTCACCCTCAGCCTATGCACCACAGCCACACTGGACATGGGTCCCTCTGAGCCTGAGTCCCTTCCCATTCCCACCATCCCCTCTGGCAAGACCTTCCTTCCACCACCTTCATGCTCCTCCCTTGCCCCTGCAGGGCAGCCTCTCCCCTTGGCCCCTATTCCCTTAGGGGGCTTGTGGCCACCCAGTCCTTGCACCTGGCCTACAAGTTTGCCATCTTCATTCCCCCTTCTTCTGTTCATCAGCCCCCTCCTCTATCCTCCCACCCTCACAGTTTTCTTTGTATATGAAATCCTCGTTCTTGTCCCTTTGCCCGTGTGCATTTCCTGCCCCAGGAAGGTTGGGACAGCAGACCTGTGTGTTAAACATCAATGTGAAGTTACTTCCAGGAAGAAGTTTCACCTGTGATTTCCTCTTCCCCAGAGCCCCACAGTCTTCGTTATAACCTCACGGTGCTGTCCTGGGATGGATCTGTGCAGTCAGGGTTTCTTGCTGAGGTACATCTGGATGGTCAGCCCTTCCTGCGCTATGACAGGCAGAAATGCAGGGCAAAGCCCCAGGGACAGTGGGCAGAAGATGTCCTGGGAAATAAGACATGGGACAGAGAGACCAGGGACTTGACAGGGAACGGAAAGGACCTCAGGATGACCCTGGCTCATATCAAGGACCAGAAAGAAGGTGAGAGTCGGCAGGGGCAAGAGTGACTGGAGAGGCCTTTTCCAGAAAAGTTAGGGGCAGAGAGCAGGGACCTGTCTCTTCCCACTGGATCTGGCTCAGGCTGGGGGTGAGGAATGGGGGTCAGTGGAACTCAGCAGGGAGGTGAGCCGGCACTCAGCCCACACAGGGAGGCATGGAGGAGGGCCAGGGAGGCATACCCCCTGGGCTGAGTTCCTCACTTGGGTGGAAAGGTGATGGGTTCGGGAATGGAGAAGTCACTGCTGGGTGGGGGCAGGCTTGCATTCCCTCCAGGAGATTAGGGTCTGTGAGATCCATGAAGACAACAGCACCAGGAGCTCCCAGCATTTCTACTACGATGGGGAGCTCTTCCTCTCCCAAAACCTGGAGACTGAGGAATGGACAGTGCCCCAGTCCTCCAGAGCTCAGACCTTGGCCATGAACGTCAGGAATTTCTTGAAGGAAGATGCCATGAAGACCAAGACACACTATCACGCTATGCATGCAGACTGCCTGCAGGAACTACGGCGATATCTAGAATCCGGCGTAGTCCTGAGGAGAACAGGTACCGACGCTGGCCAGGGGCTCTCCTCTCCCTCCAATTCTGCTAGAGTTGCCTCACCTCCCAGATGTGTCCAGGGAAACCCTCCCTGTGCTATGGATGAAGGCATTTCCTGTTGGCACATCGTGTCCTGATTTTCCTCTATTGTTAGAGCCACTGGATAAAGACAGAGGGTCAGGGACTGGACCATCCAGTGTTGTAATCAGGGCAAGTAGAGGACCCTCCGACAGAATCCTGAGCCTGTGGTGGGTGTCAGGCAGGAGAGGAAGCCTTCAGGGCCAGGGCTGCCCCCTCTGCCTCCCAGCCTGCCCATCCTGGAGAGTTCCCTCCTGGCCCCACAACCCAGGAGTCCACCCCTGACATCCCCCTCCTCAGCATCAATGTGGGGATCCCAGAGCCTGAGGCCACAGTCCCAAGGCCCATCCTCCTGCCAGCCTGGAAGAACTGGGCCCCAGAGTGAGGACAGACTTGCAGGTCAGGGGTCCCGGAGGGCTTCAGCCAGAGTGAGAACAGTGAAGAGAAACAGCCCTGTTCCTCTCCCCTCCTTAGAGGGGAGCAGGGCTTCACTGGCTCTGCCCTTTCTTCTCCAGTGCCCCCCATGGTGAATGTCACCCGCAGCGAGGCCTCAGAGGGCAACATCACCGTGACATGCAGGGCTTCCAGCTTCTATCCCCGGAATATCATACTGACCTGGCGTCAGGATGGGGTATCTTTGAGCCACGACACCCAGCAGTGGGGGGATGTCCTGCCTGATGGGAATGGAACCTACCAGACCTGGGTGGCCACCAGGATTTGCCGAGGAGAGGAGCAGAGGTTCACCTGCTACATGGAACACAGCGGGAATCACAGCACTCACCCTGTGCCCTCTGGTGAGCCTAGGGTGACCCTGGAGAGGGTCAGGCCAGGGTAGGGACAGCAGGGATGGCTGTGGCTCTCTGCCCAGTGTATAACAAGTCCCTTTTTTTCAGGGAAAGTGCTGGTGCTTCAGAGTCATTGGCAGACATTCCATGTTTCTGCTGTTGCTGCTGGCTGCTGCTATTTTTGTTATTATTATTTTCTATGTCCGTTGTTGTAAGAAGAAAACATCAGCTGCAGAGGGTCCAGGTGAGAAAAGCGGGCAGTTTCTGGAGATGGTAAGGCCCCTGTCTGGGCAGTAGGGTCCCCTCATTGCTCCTGCAAAGATAGGCATGTTGGTGACAAGGCTTCCATAACAGGGGATGAAAGTTGGGGAATTTGGGAAGGGAATGGGGGCAGCATCTCCATCTACACCCATAAGTGCTGCCCAAGCAAGGGTCAAACGCCCAGCTGTGGCATCCTCCTGCTGCAGGTGAGGAGTGGGCAGCAGGGAGGGCTGCGGCGCCTGCTCTGTCCCCATCCCGGTCTCTGTGTCTCTTGAACTCACTAGGGCGCATCCAGGTGGGGTGAGCTGGGAATCACGTGCTGAATGCTAAGGGCCTGGATGATCACGGCCTCAGAGGGAGCAAATAGTAAAGGCAGCTGTGATCTGGGGAGGGCCAGAAACTGGAGAGGAATCTGAGGAGAGGCGGTGCCCCTATTCCCTTCCTCTCTGCATCCCCCTCCCCTGTTTCTCCAGCCATCGGGGCGGACACCGAGAAAAAGACCTATGAGGCCCAGCCTGGGGGCCCTGCCTGTGTAGCCCTTTGGAGACCCCTTGTAACAGGGAGGGTCCTGAGCACACATGGCCATCTCTGTCCACTTTGCAGCTCCCCATGCACCTCCTCCAGGAGCTTTCTTGGGGTTGTCGTGTCCTCTGCACCATTCGAGGCCCTACTCTTTCCAGGTTCCCACGGCCTGGCCTCCCTGAGTTTCTTGCAGATGACATGGATGAGTAGATAAGCAGATGTCCCTGGGCCATTTGAGGAGTGGGGCCCAGCCCCTCATCAGGGCAGCTGTGGTCCCTGTTTTCATCCTACCTCCGAGTGTTTTCTTCTCCAGTCCCTGAGGGACACAGTCCTCAGGGCCCATGTTTTTGGGGATTTAATCTGTGCTCTGTGGCCTCACCTTGCCCTCCCTGAGCCAATTTCCCTTTCTAAAGGTGGTCACTGCCTGGTAAGTTTGGAGTAAGGGACGGTCAGAATCATTTCCCCTACAGTCAGGTTGTTTGATGGGGGATGAAAAGAGACAGCAGGAAGTTTTGTGTTTCTGCAAAGACAGAAGCAGTTCAGGCGACAGTAAGAGGCTGGGGTGTCCAGGAGGATGTGTCTGGCAGTAGGGTCGCTGGTTTCTCATCCTTGAACCTAATTGCACTGTCAATCGGCCCCTCAGGCCTGAGCAGATGGGAAGGTTTGTCCCCTGCCCTGCAGCAAGAGGGCCCTGTCCAGGAGGCACCCACAACAGGGGCAGTGCAGGTCTGTGGTCACTCCTGCTCTCACCTGTGGCGTCTCCCGTAGAGGGATTGTCAGTTCTGGTTCCCTGTGGGCAGGAATGGTTTCCTCATAGGTCACTGGAGTTTTGGCCAGGAAAAGAGTATGAAGTTCATGTGCCAGTTTCTCAAAATTCCTGCTTTCAATGTTGATGTCCAGTAAAGATATTCGTAATTTCAGCTCTATAATCTTAATAGGATTTCCTCTAATATTGTGAAGCATATTATATGAAACAGGAACACAAATTTCTCAAAATTCCTGCGATGTCCAATAAAGATTTTCATAATTTCAGCTCTGCAATCTTAATAGGATTTCCTAATACTGTAAAGCATATTAAATGAAACAGGAACTCAAATTTGGAGCCCCCTCTCCAGGAGGTTCTGTGTGGAGATGGTGGCTGTGGCAGTGGCAGTTCCCAGGTGCAGAGGGTGGGCAGAGGCAGCCTCAGGCTAAGGGGTCTCCCCTACTCCACATGGAGAAAATCCCTTGTAGGTTGCAAGGGCAGTGGCCGGGTGGAATCCCTGCTAGGGACAGAGCAGGAAGGCCTCGCAGCCTCACCAAGCAGCAGCCCTGGGGTGGAGCTGCGTTTCCAGGGTTAAGCGGACCAGGCAGGAGTAGCGGTTACTCAAGAGCAGGTCACAGGCTTGGGTTGTGAGGGTCAGGAGAGGCCAGGCCTCCTCGAGCAAGGTGGGGGTCCCAGGGTCAGGTCAGGTGCAGATCCTGTGGCAGCCACGTCTTTCCATGCTGGGCCTGCTGGGCCCCCCAGGCTTCCTGATGGGGTCCCCAGTTAGGAGCTGCCTGCTCAGGGCTGGGAGGGGAGGAGCACTGAGCTGCAGATAGAGGGCAGAGCCCACAGTGGGCAGGGCCTGCCCTGGTGTGTAGGTGCCTCTGAAGGAGAGGAGGGCCTGGGGACTGAGAGCAAGGGTCAGGGCCTCTCTTTGGGGAGGCCTCTCACTGTAACAGGACTGGTCAGGCCTGAGAGGAGGGCACTGGGTTCCCTCTTGGGTCTTGTCCTTTAGTCTTGGGGCCCTTTCCCTCCCTGCACGATGAGTGGTGGGCACAGGGCACGGGCTGATGTTGATGGAGTGATGGGAGGGAACTGGCAGGGGCTGGGAAAAGCAAGGAGGGAGGAAGAAAAAAGTGGGGGCCTCATCTTCCCTCAGAGAAAGGGCAAATCTGGTTTTGGAGCAACTGAAGAGAGAAAAGTCCCCAGGGAATAAACACAACACTGCACCCAGTGGAGCATTTACCCATTTCCCTCTTTTCTCCAGAGCTCGTGAGCCTGCAGGTCCTGGATCAACACCCAGTTGGGACGAGTGACCACAGGGATGCCACACAGCTCGGATTTCAGCCTCTGATGTCAGCTCTTGGGTCCACTGGCTCCACTGAGGGCACCTAGACTCTACAGCCAGGCGGCTGGAATTGAATTCCCTGCCTGGATCTCACAAGCACTTTCCCTCTTGGTGCCTCAGTTTCCTGACCTATGAAACAGAGAAAATAAAAGCACTTATTTATTGTTGTTGGAGGCTGCAAAATGTTAGTAGATATGAGGCATTTGCAGCTGTGCCATATTAATTGGTGTCATTGTTTTTGTTGTTTTCGTATTATTATTTTTTTTTTTTAAGACAGAGTCTCAGGCCAGGCACGGTGGCTCACGCCTGTAATCCCAACACTTTGGGAGGCCGAGGCGGGCGGATCACAAGGTCAAGAGATCGAGACCATCCTGATCAACATGGTGAAACCCTGTCTCTACTAAAAATACAAAAAATTAGCTGGGCCTGGTGGCGTGTGCCTGTAGTCCCAGCTACTCAGGAGCTGAGGCAGGAAAATCACTTGAACCTGGGAGGTGGAGGTTGCAGTGAGCTGAGATCACACCACTGCACTCCAGCCTGGCGACAGAGCGAGACTCTGTCTCAAAAAAAAAAAAAAAAAAAGACAGAGTCTCACTCTGTCACCCAGGCTGCAGTTCAGTGACATGATCTCAGCTCGTTGCAGCCTCCGCCTCCCGGGTTCAAGCACTTCTCTTGCCTCAGCCTCCCGAGTAGCTGGGGTTACAGACATGCACCACCATACCCGGCTAATTTTTGCATTTTTCATAGAGACAGGATTTTGCCATGTTGGCCAGGCTGGTCTCAAACTCCTGACCTCAGGTGATCTGCCTGCCTCAGCCTCCCAAAGTGCTGGGATTACAAGCATGAGCCACCATACCCGGCCTATTTTATTACATTTTAATTTATTTTATTTTATTATATCATCCACCATGTCTGGCCTATTTTATTATATTTTAAGATATTTTAATATATTACGTGTGTTGTAATTGGATTATCATCGGTGAGCTTTGTGAGTGAGTGTCTTGGAGATGACTCCTCCTGACCAGCCCAGGACCAGCTTTCTTGTCACCTTGAGGTCCCCTCGCCCCATCACACTCTTACGCATTACTCTATGTCTACTGTTATGGGTGTGTAATTTTATACCATAGATGTTTACTCTTTAAACAGACACTTCTAGTCTGTTTTATTTCATGTGTCTGGGAGCGGATAAAGTGTGAGGTTCAGGGAGAAAGAGAGGTCTGTCTCAATGCCTTGGCACGGCATGAAGACAATCTCCCCTCCTTGTCCCCTTTCCCTGCTAGCTCCTGATGACTGACAGATTCACAGCAGAACAGAAAGGACTGGGAAGGGATGGAGGTGGGACATCTGGCACTGACCTTCAGGGGCTGACCCTGTGGGGGAACATCTGCCCTGAAGAGTTGGAGCCTTCATGTGATGACACAGAGCTGAAGTGTGATATTCGGGAGGGGATAGAGAGTGCTTGGAGGTTTTCTGATTTTGAAGAATCCCAGTCAGTCAGGTTCTGGCGTAAAGTGACTGCTGGGGAGGTGTGGACTGAATGAATGAAGAATAAATGAACCAGGAAAGTGGACATGCAAGAGGTGGGTTATTCCTCACCCTATTTCTTGATGCCTCCTGACTGCTGGTGTTGGGGCACACAGATGGGTGATGCACTTCTTGGTCAAGGCAACCTCAGCCCCACCCACGTAAGGTGGTCATGGCAGAGAGTGTAAGGGTGACACCTGTGAAAAAGACCCAAGGCAGGGATGGGAGCCCTTCTTGCAGCAGGAGTGGATGCAGGACCTGCCTGGAAGCAAGAGAAGGACGAGGGACCCTGGCTGGGCCCTGTTTCCTCCCACTGCCTGGTTCACAAAGCAACCAGTAAGGGAGCTGGAGTAGGGAATTCACTCATGTGCTACTTACTGATCCAGAGATGTGTTCGTTGACATTTTCTTTTATGTTTTCAGGTTGATGTCATTTACACATTCATGCATTTATGTTGTGTATTTATTAGTCTTGTTTATTTTAGTTAGCAAGTGTCACTTGTTGAATTCTGTTCTCATTAGGTATAAATTTTCATATTCATTGAAGTTTTTATAATCAAAATTTAATTGTCCATGATTTTAAAAGTCAAATATTTGCATAGGATTTCTCTAGAGAAATGAGTCCTCTCTGCATCTTCTCAATTTCTGCCTTCCTAGAGGCAACCATTTTCAACATTTTTAGCTAAGTCTTTCAACTTTTACTTCCATATGTCTAAATACAATTCCTTCATTAATACTGCTTGATTTTTCCGTTGCAGTCATTATCTGTTGCACAGCACAGTGGTGAATGCAATAGTTAATTGTACCTGTTCCCTTTCACTCTTCCCATTCTTTCATCTTCCCGATGTATTTCTGTAGTAATTATGTTTGGTTCAGTCGTTCCTTGTTTCCTTTTCCATGACTAATTTTCTCATATGTCAGCTTGACCACTTTTCACTTCCTGAACATTTGTTCTTCCTGTAGTTAATACTTGCCTTTGTTTTTGTTTATTTTATAAATAGCACTCATTAACGTTGATATTTCTTCTATTTGTATTACTCCTTTTTTTGGGATGGAGTCTCACTCTGTTGTCCAGGCTGGAGTGCAGTGGTGTGATCTTGGCTCACCACAACCTCCGCCTCCCAGGTTCAAGCAATTCTCCTGCCTCAGCTTCCCGAGTAGCTGGGATTACAGGCACTCACCACCATGCCCAGCTAATTTTTGTATTTTTAGTAGAGACGGCGTTTCACCATGTTGTCCACAATGATGTCGATCTCTTGACCTCGTGATCCACCCACCTCAGCCTCTGAAAGTGCTGGGATTACAGGCGTGAGACATCGCGCCTGGCCTTTTTTTTTTTTTTTGAGATGGAGTCTCGCTCTTGTTGCCCAGGCTGGAATGCAATGGCACAATCTTGGCTCACCACAACCTCCACCTCCCAGGTTCAAGGGATTCTCCTGCCTCAGCCTCCCGAATAGCTGGGATTACAGGCATGCACCACCACACCCGGCTAATTTTGTATTTTTAGTAGAGACAGTTTCTCCGTATTGGTCAGGCTGGTCTCGAACTCCTGACCTCAGGTGATTCACCCGCCTCGGCTTCCCAAAGTGCTGGGATTACAGAGGTAAGCCACTGCACCCAGCCGTATTACTCTTTTAAGAAATTACAGACTTTGGATATTCCACTTTACCTTCTTGGAAATGTCCCTCCTGGGCCCTTCTCGCTGCTCCCATCTGGACTGGAGGCTTCTCCCTGTGGAGCAGAGTCACTGTCCTAGGATCTCCCTCCACCGCCATCTGGGGCAGTGCTTTACATGCAGTGGAGCCACCTGGGGTCCAGCCAAAATGCAGACTGATTCAAGATGTCAAGGCTGAGGCATATGAGCCTTTCTGTCTAGTTTCATGAGATGCTGATTCTCCTGGTTCGTGTGTGTGTGTGTGTGTAGAGAGAGAGAGAGAGAAAGGGAATTTTGCTCTGTCAGCCAGGCTGGAGTGCAGTGGTGCCATCATGGCTTACTACAGGCTCAACCTCATAGGCTCAAGTGACCCTCCTACCTCATCTTCCTAGGTAGTCAGGACCACAGGCCACATCCTAATATATTTTTAATTAACTGATGCAGTTTCTTTCTAAATTAGTAAGAGGGCTGAGCATTTTTTCATTGTGGCAAAAAATACACATAAAATTTACTATCATAACTATTTTTAAGAATACAGTACCATTGGCCAGGTGTGGTGGCTCATGCCTGTAATCCCAGCAATTTGGGAGGCTAAGGCAGGAGGATCACTGGAGGCCTACAGTTCAAGTCAGGCTTGGGGAAAGTAGTGAGACCCTGTCTCCAGCCAAAAAAAAAAAATTAAATTAAAATATACTGTACTATAATAGTGTTAATTGTAAGCACAGTGTAGTGCAACCGATCTTTAGAATATTTCACCTTGAAAGCTGAAACTCTGTGCCCCTTTCACAAAAATCCTTATTACCTGGAAGTTTTACCTGGCAGCCACCATTCTACCTTCACATTCATCAAGTTTGACTGTTTTAGACACCTCATGTAAATGGAATTATGCAGTACTTGGAGTTTTTTTTTTTTTTTTGATTGGCATATTTCACTTAGCAATGACTTTAAGGTTCATATACGTTGTAGCATATAGCAAGATTTTCTTCTTTTAAATGTTGAATAATATTCCATTGTCTGTATATAATCATATTTTCTTGATCTATTCATCTGTTGGTAAACATATAGGTTGCTTCCATATCTTGCCTGTTGTGAATAACACCATTATGAATACGGATATGCAATCTTTCTTTTCACTTTTGTATCCCCCCTCATTTTGGTGCAACTAATCTTCTAGTAGCTTTTCCTGAAAGCACGTGCTTAAAGTACATTTGTGTGTTTCAACATATCTACTATCATTTTGCCTCTCTCCAGGAAGAGGAAAGAAATGTATTAAGGTGCTCTTTGGCACAGCATTTAATGGTAAAGAAAGAAACAGTATAACTGGCCGGTGCTGGGTTTCAGCATCCTGCAATTTCAGAACTACTGTGAATACAAAAGAAAGAAAGGTCCTGCCCAGGATGGGAGTCACTCCTATATATGGTGGCCCTGGGACAGCAGACCTTTCCTGTCACACCTCTTCCATGAGGGCCCTTACTTCAGTGACTGTGGTGCTTTCCTTCTCTCTATGGTCCATCTATCTATCTATCCAGTTGGTTGGGTTTCTCTGGAGAACCCTAATATACCAATGGACAGTAAGCAAATAAAACCTAGTATTACCACTAATTGCCATTGAGAAAAATATGCCTAGGCCAGAAGATTGGTGATGGTGGGAATAGCAGGGACATAGTTTAGACAAGGTCATTGAGCAAGACGTTTCTGAGAACTTGACCACTGGTTATCTGAGAAGAGACCTGAATCGTGTGAGGAGTGAGTCATGTGAATCCCTGGGGAGCAGGTACATGTGGGAGTCAGAGCATGGGTAGGTGGCAGAAATAGGGCAGAGCAGTGACAAGAGGCTGGTGTGAGTGGAGACAAGTGAGCTGGGCTGAGAGGAGTGGGATGAGCCCAGAGTTGACAGAGGGGCCCTGTGTTGAGGGGCTTGTAGGAAATGGTGAGACATTGGGGTTTCATTGCACTAAGAGGGGAAGAAGCTAGAGTGGCTTTGGGATGTGGTGGTGATGATGTGCCCTAATTCCCGTTTGAAAGGTTTACTCTACCTGTTGTGTGGGTGATGGACAGCGGCGTGAATGTCTCTTCATGTCCATTACCCATTTTTGAATGGCGTTGTTTTTTTAATGGATGAGTTGTAGTTTTTTTATGTATTTTGAATATTAATTCTTCATCAGATGTATGATTGGCAAATAGCTCCTCCCATTCTGTGCATTTTCTTTCCACTCTTTTAATAATGTCACTTGTTGCAAAAAAGTTTTTAAATCTGATAAAGTCTAATTTATCATTTTTCTTTAATTGCTCATGCTTTGGGTCATCCAGCCAAGAAACTACTACCAAATCCAATGTTCACAAGACTTTCCTCAATGTTTTCTTCTAAGGGTTTTACAGGTTTGACTCTTAAGCTTCGTTGTTTGATACATTCTGAGTTAATTGTTGAGTATGGTGTAGGGAAGGCTATGAATTGTGTCCAACATCATTCTTTTGCATGCGGATATCCAGTTTCTCAGCACCACTTGTTGCAGCACCATCTGTGGAAGTGAGGCTGACACATTTGCAAAATGCATTGAGCACTAGTACACCATGCATTTATTTACTTTTCTTTACTCCACAGTTGTTTTGAGGAGGCTTCCAGTGACAAACACAACAGAAATGAAAATACATGAATTCTTATAAAATCAATATCAAGTAGAATTATAAACTTTAAAATGTTAAGAGTGAGGCAAGGCTAGATCATTACTAGACAAGCTGAAACATAGACTGAAATGGAGGGTTTACGGTTTTCCTTGCTACAAATTTTGTTGGCCCACAATCTGTCATGCTTACTGCATAAGGGAGCCAGCCACAGGGTGGGTTGATAGCTCACATAACCAGTCCCTGGTTTCCTGCTTCAGAAACAAGTTCAGATTCTCTCCACTTACAGTAAAAAAGTGAATTGCAGGATGTTCAAAGTGAAGTTGACATCTACAAAGTCAACAAATAAGTAGTAAGTGTAGACCTCAGAAATTTAACAAGATTCTACTTTTTCCCCCAAAAAAATGTCCTCACAATTTCCTGCTGAAAGGAGAGGGTTCATTCAGGGGACCACATGATGCCGTTCTTCTGCTGCAGTTCTAAATTAAGTTGTCCTTCCCTCTAACTACAGGTCTCACAAACCCTTGCAGCCAGCTTCAATGATTTTAGCTTGACTAAGGTTTTGGGTTTTTGATATTGTTTGTATTTGAGCTGCAGCCTGGGGCTTAGAAATGTGACTTGGGTATTTTGCCAAAATGGTATGTTTTTCTATAGAATTTGACGTTGTGGAGACCCTGCTTTTCTGCCAGGTCCCCAGAGGGGATACAGTGCTTTGTACCTCTTTTTAGTACTTCATTAGCAGTGATAGAAGATTTGGAGTGAGGGCCTCCCTCAATCTCTACCCTCTGCCTAGTGCAGAGGATCATGGACTGTTGCAGTTATGGCAACAAAAAATTTCTCCAGACATAGCTCCTGTCCTCTGGTGGGAAAATCTCCCCTGGATGAGAACACTAGTTTGAGAGGTAGAGACACTCAGGAGCTGGGCTTGGACAGGGGAAGGGAAGAGGAGACAGACACAAAACGGAGTGGGGCTGGGAAACAGGCAAAGGGAGTTCAGGCCTGGAGGGACCTGGCCTGATGAGGCACATGAGGAATGGGGAGAGTGGCAGGATCTCCTATTGCCAGAAAATCGTACTTGTACCCACTGCATTCCCAGCCCTGGTGTATGCATCTCTAGGAAATCAGAATGAATTTGGCTATTATGGTGTCAGAAAGAGCCCTGAAGAGCCTCGTGTGCCTGTCAATGTAATGAAAGTGCAGGTGACAGCCCCTCCTGGAAATATTGTTGCCAAATGTTTAACCCAGATCTGCCTCGGTCTTTAGGAAACACAGCAGAGAGAAGAGCAAAGTAAAAGGCATCAGGGGAAATAATATGATAAATTCGGTGTGGAGAGCATGCTAAAGTTATTTGGCCTGCAATAAGTAATGCTGTTCTAAAAGAAAAAAGGATTAGTGGATTGTTGTAGATTACAGGTAACTAAAGGACACATAATCAAAGGCAATGAGTGGATATTTTATGGAACCAAGTTATAAAAATGTACAAAGAATAGATTGAAGAAGTGAAGATACTTGAATATGAAAGGACTTTAGATAATATGGAATTATTGTTTATTTTCTTTGGTGTGATAATGTAGGTTTTTACTCTTAGGAGATGCACGATGAGGTGTTTAGTGGTGAAATATCATGGGTCTAGCAAGTTACTTTAGAATGGTTCAGTCAAAAATCTTAGTCTCTTCATTCTGTCTCTCTTCATACATACACACACACATACACTCACATATACACACTATACAAACACATATAGCTGAAGCAGCATAAAACCTAGTTTCTAGTAGAGGGATGCAAAAAGGGAGGAGAATTGGTAAGTTAGAGTTTTTTGGCAAAGGACTGACAATGCGCCACATGGATAGGACTTCTATTCCGCTAGCTGGTGCTGTTGACCTTGAAACTCCATGTGCACTCCAGACCAAGGGCAGAGAGAGATGCTCACTGTGGCGGGTAGGGGGGATGTGTTCCTAGAAAATCACAATGACATTCCCCTGAGCTATATCCCTGGTTACTACAGCATTTCCTGATCTTGCCTAACAGGATTACTTCCCTGAACTGTAAAATTCCTGCAGCATTGTATACAGAGAAAGAATAGGAGACATGGCAATCATGGACAAGAAAGGAGGAAATCGTGATAGGAAAGTTAGAGATCCTGTTGCCAACACCCAGTCAGGCATTCGGAGGCTGGGGTCAGTCTAGAAGCCTTTCATAATGCCACGTGGTAGCTCCATCCAGAAATCCTCAGTTGCTCCCTGACTTCTTCCAGCCCCAGGTGATGGCTAGATCCTCCATGAAAGGAAACTGGTTCAAACACGGCCAATATGCCCAGCAACCCATGGGTAATGGGGGATTCTCCATGTTCTCCCCAGGAAGCCTGTCTCCCGTCTTGTAATGCTGGGAGCCACACTAATCATTTTTAAATGGCTGAAGGGGACCCAGTATTTGGTTTGATTTGATTCTAAAAATGGAGGCCAAGAGCCTCAAAATAAAAAAACAGAGTGGAGGTCTGCTCCTGTACTCACCATTCTGATGAATGTACCTTGGGATCCTGAATGAGCACCAAAAATAAAGCAGCACCTTTGTCTGGGGTGATACCTGAGATGCATTGCCTCATGCCAAGAAAATTAAGGACACAGACACACACAAGGAGTGAGTTTAGGAGTAGAGGTTTAATAGGCAAAAGAAAAGAAAGAGAAAGAAGAATAGCTCTCTCTCCTGTGAGAGAAGGGGCACGCAAGTGGGAATTCCAGCCCATGGCAGAGTGCACTGGATTTTATACACAGGCTGAAAGAGGTGTCTGATTTGCACAGGGCCCACAGATTGGTTGGACCAGGTGTGATGTTTACATAGTGCATGGGGAAGCTGACCACCCCACCCTAATCTTCTTATGCAAATAGGCTTTCCACTTGGCTGACACCATGTTGTCTGCTCCCTGCTGCACACGTGGTTGGAAAGGAAAAGAGAAGATGGAGCCGCCATTTGAACATGCCTAGTCCCAGGTAGCCTTTTCCTATTGGCACAACTGCTGGCATTCACTCAGGCAAGCTTCCAGCTTGCTTGTCTATGTCTGCAGCTCAATTTTACAGGCTGCTCTTTGTTAGAAAAGAAAATGATTTGGGGGCTGCTTTTCATTAAAAGGAAAACCTTACCAAGGACTTCTTTACTCTCACTATCTGCCTAAATAATTTCTTTTTAACTCCTCTATCAGTTACAAAATCAGTTTTAAAGCACATACTGTTCTGTGATATTGGGATATCTGGACATTTTGTTGTCATAGGAGTTTATCCTTGCAGGTATTACCAAACTGCTTCCTTAGCTATCAACATCCTAGGACCATGGGTCATGACAAGCAAGGAATGTACCCTGCTAGTTTAAAGATAAACTTGATTTGCGGGGAGGGGGTGGTTTTTAGTTACATGGGTAAGTTCTTTTGTGGTGGTTTCTGAGATTTTGGTGCATCCATCATCTGAGGAGTGTACATGTACCCAATGTGTAGTCTTTTCTCCCGCACCATCCTATGACCCTACCCTCTGAGTCCCCAACGTTCATTATATCATTCTTTTGCCTTTGCATGCCCATATAAGTGAGAACACATGACATTTAGATTTCAATTCCTGAATTACTTCTCTTAGAATAATGGCCTCCAACGTCATTCAGGCTGCTGCAATTGCCGTTATTTCACTTCTTTTTGTGGCTGAGTAGCATTCTACGGTATATATATATATACACCACATTTTCTTTTTTTTAATTACACTTTTTATTTTGAGGTAATCATAGATCCACATGTAACTGTAAGAAATAGTAAAGAGGGCAGGCATGGTGGCTCAGGTCTGTAATCCCAGCACTTTGGGAGGTGGAGAGAGCAGGATCACTTGAGACCAGGAGCTCAAGACCAACCTGGGCAACACAGCAAGACCCTGTGTCTTACCAATAAAATAATAATAATAATATAGAGAAATGTCATACATTCTTTACCCATTATTCTTCAATGACATGTTACAAACTACAGCATAATATCACAAGGGACACTGACATTGATATGGTCAAGACACAGAACAGTTCTACCACCACAAGGAGCCCTCATGTTACCCTTTTATAATCACACTGACCTTTCCCCGCTTCCATGCCTAACCCCTGGCAACCACTAATATATTCTCTACTTCTATTAAACTTGTCATTTCAAGAAAGTGATATGAATGGAATCATGCAGTATGTGTTCTTTTGATATTGGCTTTTTTTTTCACTCAGCATGATTCCCTAAAGATTCAAGGATTCATTTACATTCTTGGATGTATCTATCAATAGATTGTTGGTTTTTTTGTTTTTTTGTTGTTGTTTTTTTTAATTATACTTTAGGCTCTAGGGTACATGTGCACAACGTGCAGGTTTGTTACATATGTATACATGTGCCATGTTGGTGTTCTGCACCCATTAACTCTTCATTTACATTAGGTATTTCTCCTAATGCTTTCCCTCCCCCCTCTTCCCTCCCCCAACCCCACGACAGGCCCCAGTGTGTGATGTTCTCCACCCCGTGTCCAGGTGTTCTCATTGTTCAATTCCCACCTATGAGTGAGAATATGCGGCGTTCAGTTTTCTGTCCTTGTGATAGTTTGCTCAGAATGATGGTTTCCAGCTTCATCCATGTCCCTACAAAGGACATAAACTCATCCTTTTTATGGCTGCACAGTATTCCACGATATACACCACATTTTCATTTTCCACTCATTGATTGACGGACATTTGGGCTGGTTCCATATTTTTGCAACTGTGAATTGTGCTGCTATAAACATGTGTGTGCAAGTATCTTTTTCATATAATGACTTCTTTTCCTCTGGTACATACCCAGTAGTAGGATTGCTGGATAAAATTGTAAATCTACTTTTAGTTCCCTAAGGAATCTCCATACTGTTTTCTATAGTGATTGTACTAGTTTACATTCCTGCCAGCTGTGTAAAAGTGTTCCCTTTTTACCACATCCACACCAACACCTATTATTTTTTTATTTTTCAATTATGGCCACTATTACAGAAGTAAGGTGGTATTGCATTGTGGTTTTCACTGGCATTTCCCTGATAATTAGGGATGCTGAGCATTTTTTTATGTTTGCTGGCCATTTGTATATCCTCTTTTGAGAATTTTCTATTCCTGTACTTAGCCTTCTTTTTGATGGGATTATTCATTTTCCTCTTGCTGATTTGTTTGAGTTCCTTGTAGATTCTGGACATCAGTCCTTTGTCAAATGCATAGTTTGTGTATATGTTCTCCCTCTCTATGGGTCGTCTGTTAACTCTGTTGATTATTTCTTTTGCTATGCGGAGGCTTTTTTGCTGAATTAGGTCCCATGAATTTATTTTTGTTTTTGTTGCATTTGCTTTTGGGTTCTTGCTCATGAAGTCATTGCCTAAACCAATGTCTAGAAGGGTTTTGTTCAGTGTTATCTTCTAGAATTTTTATGGTTTCAGGTCTTAGATTTAAGTCTTTGATCCATCTTGAGTTAATTTTTGTATACGGTGAGACATAGGATCCAGTTTCATTCTTCTACATGTGAGTTGCCAATTATCCCAGCAACATTTGTTGAATAGGGTGTCATTTCCCCACTTTATGTTTTCATTTCCTTTGTCAGAGATCAGTTGACTGTAAGTATTTGGTTTTATTTCTGGGTTCTCTATTCTGTTTCATTGGTCTACATGAGTCTTTAGGGTTTTCTAGCTGTACAATCATATCATCAGCAAACAGCAACAGTTTGACTTTCTCTTTGCCAATTCGGATGCCCTTTATTTCTTTCTCTTGTCTGATTGCTCTGGCTAGAACTTTCAATACAATGTTGAAGACAAGTGGTGAAAGTGGACATCCTTACCTTGTTTCAGTTATCGGGGGAATGATTTCTAATTTCCCTCATTCAATATAATGTTGCCTGTAGGTTTGTCATAAATGGCTTTTACTACCTTCAGGTATGTTCCTTGTATGCCAACTTTGTTGAAGCTTTTAATCATAAAGCAATGCTGGATTTTGTAAAATGTTTGTCAAATGTTTTTTGTGCATGGTTAATACTAAGTGTCAACTTGATTTGGATTGAAGGATACAAAGTATTGATCCTCGGTGTGTCTATGAGGGTGTTGCCAAAAGAGATTAACATTTGAGACAGTGGGCTGGGGAAGGCAGATCCACCCTTAATCTGGTGGGCACAGTCTAATCAGCTGCCATTTAACATAAAGCAAACAGAAAAACAAGAAAAGGAGAGACACTGGCCTAGCCTCCCAGCCTACATCTTTCTCCCATGCTGGATGCTTCCTGCCCTTGAACATTGGACTCCAAGTTCTTCCCTTTTGGGACTCAGGCTGGCTCTCCTTGCTCCTCAGCTTGCAGACAGCCTATTATGTGACCCTGTGATTGTGTAAGTTAGTACTCAATAAGCATATATATATATTATATATTATATATGTTTTATATATATTATATATTATATATGTTTTATATATAATATATATTATAATATATATTATTCTATTATTATATTATTCTGTTAATATTAAATACTAACATAATATATATTATATATAAAATAATATATATATAACGTACTAACTTACATTTTGTGTGTGTGTGTATATATATATTCTATATATATATTCTATATATATATTCTATATATATATTCTATATATATTCTATATATATATTCTATATCTATTCTATATATTCTATATATCTATTCTATATATTCTATATATCTATTCTATATATGTTCTATATATTCTATATATATATTCTATATATATATTCTATATATATTCTATATATATATTCTATATATATTCTATATATATATTCTATATATATTCTATATATATATTCTATATATATATTCTATATATATTCTATATATATATTCTATATATATTCTATATATATTCTATATATATATTCTATATATATTCTATATATATTCTATATATATATTCTATATATATTCTATATATATATTCTATATATATATTCTATATATATATTCTATATATATATTCTATATGTATTCTATATATATATTCTATATGTATTCTATATATATTCTATATGTATTCTATATATTCTATATATATTCTATATATATTCTATATATTCTATATATATTCTATATATATTCTATATATTCTATATATATTCTATATATATTCTATATATATTCTATATATATTCTATATATATTCTATATATATTCTATATATTCTATATATATTCTATATATATTCTATATATTCTATATATATTCTATATATATTCTATATATATTCTATATATATTCTATATATATTCTATATATTCTATATATATTATATATATATATTCTATATATATATATTCCATATATATATTCTATATATATATTCCATATATATATTCTATATATATATTCCATATATATATTCTATATATATATTCCATATATATATTCTATATATATATTCCATATATATATTCTATATATATATTCTATATATATTCTATATATATATTCTATATATATCCTATATATATTCTATATATTCTATATATATATCCTATATATATTCTATATATTCTATATATATATCCTATATATATTCTATATATTCTATATATATATCCTATATATATCCTATATATATCCTATATATCCTATATATATATATCCTACATATATATCCTACATATATATATCCTATATATATATCCTATATATATCCTATATATATATATCCTATATATATCCTATATATATCCTATATATATATCCTATATATATATCCTATATATATATCCTATATATATCCTATATATATATCCTATATATATATCCTATATATATATCCTATATATATATCCTATATATATCCTATATATATATATCCTATGTATATATCCTATATATATATATCCTATGTATATATCCTATATATATATCCTATGTATATATCCTATATATATATCCTATATATATATCCTATATATATATCCTATATATATATCCTATGTATATATCCTATATATATATATCCTATGTATATATCCTATGTATATATCCTATATATATATCCTATATATATATCCTATATATATATATCCTATATATATATCCTATATATATATCCTATATATATATCCTATATATATATATCCTATATATATATCCTATATATATATCCTATATATATATCCTATATATATATATCCTATATATATCCTATATATATATATCCTATATATATCCTATATATATATCCTATATATGTATATCCTATATGTATATCCTATATGTATATCCTATATGTATATCCTATATGTATATCCTATATATATATTCTATATACATTCTATATATATATTCTATATACATTCTATATATATATTCTATATATATTCTATATATATATTCTATATATATACTATATATTCTATATATATAGTATATATATTCTATATGTATATATTCTATATATATTCTATATACATATATTCTATATATATATTCTATATATATTCTATATATATATTCTGTATATATATATTCTGTATATATATATTCTATATATATATTCTATATATATATTCTATATACATATTCTATATATATATATTCTATATATATATATTCTATATACATATATATTCTATATATATATTCTATATACATATATATTCTATATATATATTCTATATACATATATATTCTATATATATATATTCTATATACATATTCTATATATATATTCTATATACATATTCTATATATATATTCTATATACATATTCTATATATATATATTCTATATACATATTCTATATATATATTCTATATATATATTCTATATATATATTCTATATATATATTCTATATATATATTCTATATATATATATTCTATATATATATTCTATATGTATATTCTATATATATATTCTATATGTATATATTCTATATATATATATTCTATTAGTTCTGTCCCTCTAGAAAACCTGACTAATACAGATTTTGGTAACAGGAGTGGTTCTAGAGGAACAGAATATTAAGGATGGAGTTCTTTTGTTAGTTTAGGGGTTTCTGGAGTTGGTTGCTTAATATGATTAGACCCAAAAATGCTAAGGACTCTACTTCTAATAGTGTGGAGAATGCTGATAGTCCCTGGCATGAACTGTTTAGAGAGTAACGCAAAATAAATGCATTTCACACTATTCACTGCTCCTGAGAGGCAAGTTTAGTGACTCTAACCTAATAATTTTGACCATATGTAGAGAACCAAGGAACATAATGAAGCTGGTTGGTTGCTCCTAAGTTCAGTGGACAAAGTGATAAAAGAAGATAATGAACTCAGGGATTCTGTCTCCCAGCTTCAGAAGCAGATACTGAGCCTCAAATCTGCTAAGATTGCCCCATGAGTGACAGTCTTATCTCCTGTAGAGAAAGAGCTGAAATTGTGGAAAAACAGACAAAAGCTCCTATCATGTGAGTAGCTGACCTGCGATGAAAGATGCATACACAGCCTCACCAAGTGTCTACTGTTAAAGTGAGGGCATTGATCAGAAAAGAATGAGACCCTGCAACTTGGAATGGGGATATGTGGGAGGATCCTAATGAAGCTGGGGACACTAAGTGTGTAAATTATGATGAAACTTTTTTTGCTAGAAGAATCAGCTTCCCCGTCCCTAGTATTGGCAACATCCCCTCCCCAGCCCATGCTGTCATCAGCCTTTCCACCTTTATCTGAGAAGACAAACCCTGCACTGCCTGAGGCAACAGTGATGGCCTGCCCTGAAGCAGTTGCCAGGCAAGATAATGTTGATTCTCCTCAGGAGCCACCCCTAACACCTCTGTTTGCTTCTAGACCTATGACTAGACTAAAGTCCCAGCGGTCCCCTAGAGGTGAGGTTGAGAGTGTGACCCATGAGGAGGTGCACTACACTCAAAAAGAGCTGTTTCAGTTTTCTAATTTATATCAATAGAAATGTGGAGAACAGGCATGGGAATGGATATTACAGGTATGGGATAATGGTGAAAGGAACATAGAGTTGGATAAGGCTGAATTTATTGATTTGGGCCATTAAGTAAGGACTCTGCTTTTAATGTTGCAGCTCGGGGAGTTAAAGAAGGTCGTAATAGTTTATTTTCTTGGTTAGCTGAAATATGGATTAAAAGGTGGCCCACTGTGAGCAAGCTGGAAATGTCTGATCTCCCTTGGTTTAATGTAGAGGAAGGAATTAAAAAGCTTAGGGAGATTGGGATGGTGGAATGGATTAGTCAGTTTAGACCTACTCATCCCAACTGGGAAGGTCTAGAAGATTTACCCTTGACCAGTGCCTTGTGAAATAGGTTTGTGAGGGCAGCACCTGCATCTTTGAAGAGCCCTGTAATTGCTCTTCTCTGCATGTCAGAGCTAACAGTGGGAATCACAGTACTCAACTATAAAATTTAAATACAATGGGAATAATTGGATCCCGAGGTGTCAGGGGCCAAGTGGCAGCATTCAACCATCAAAGGCAAGGTGAGTGTAGCTACCATAATGGACAGCAGAGGCAAAGTGGCAGTCATAATAGTCCAACTCATGCAGAGCTCTGGCATTGGCTAATTAATCATGGTGTTCCTAGGAATGAAATTGATAGGAAGCCTACTTCATTCCTACTTAATTTATACAAGCAGAAAACTTCTATGTGCAATGGACAAAAGACTAATTTTAATCATAAAAACAAAGAATCATGGCCCCTCAGTCAATTTCCAGACTTGAGCCAGTTTACAGACCCAGAACCCCTTGAATGAAAAGGAAGCTGGGTCTCCTTGAAGAAGGACCCCACTACATTACTGACAATTTATGCAGTGAATCTTCTTCCATCCTTCTGTGAGGAGACCTCCAGCCTTTTACCAGGGTAACTGTGCACTGGGGAGAGGAAAATGATTAGATATTTCAGGAATACAGGACACTGGCTCTGAGCTGACATTGATTCCAGGGAACCCAAAACATCATTGTGGCCCTCCAGTTAAAGTAGGAGCTTATGGAGTTCAGGTAATTAATGGAGTTTTAGCTCAGGTCTGACTTACAATGGGTACAATGAATCCCCAGACTCATCCTGTGGTCATTTCCCCACTTAATGCATTTTCCCAATTAATTTTCCCAATTAATGCATCATTTCCCCAATGCAATTTCCCCAATTAATGCATAATTGGCATAGGAATAGTTAGCAGCTGGCAGAACCCCCACACTGGCATGCTGACTGGTAGAGTGAGGGATATTATGGTGGGATAGGCCAAATGGAAGCCATCGGAGCTGCCTTTACCTGGAAAAATAGTAAATCAACAATGTCACATCCCTGGAGGTACAGAGGAGATTAGTGCCACCATGAAGAACTTAAAAGACACAGGGGTGGTGATTCAAATCACATCCCCATTCAACTCTCCCAAATGGCCTGTGCAGAAGACAGACAGATCTTGGAGAATGACAGTGGATTATTGTAAGCTTAACCAAGTGGTGACGACTCCAACTGCAGCTGCTGCACCAGATGTGGTTTCATTGCTTGAGCAAATTAACACATCTCCTGGTACCTGGTATGCAGCCATTGACTTGGCAAATGCCTTTTTCTCCATTCCTGTCCATAAGGCCCACAAGAAGCAATTTGCCTTCAGCTGGCAAGGCCAGCAATATGCGTTTACTGTCCTGCCTCAGGGGTATATCAACAATCCAGCTTTGTGTCATAATCTGATTCAAAGAAACCTTGATCACTTTCCGCTTCTGCAAGATATCACACTGGTCCATTACCTTAATGACATTGTGCTGATTGGATCCGGTGAGCAAAAAGTAGCAAACACACTGGACTTATTGATGAGACATTTGCGTGCCAGAGGATAGGAAATAAATCTGACTAAAATTCAGGGACCTTCTACCTCAGTAAAATTCTAGGGGTCCAATGGTGTGGGACCTGCCAAGATATTCCTTCTAAGGTGAAGAATAAGTTGCTGCATTTGGCTCCTCCTACAACCAAGAAAGAGGCACAATGCCTAGTGGGCCGATTTGGATTTTGGAGGCAACACATTCCTCATTTGGGTATGTTACTCCGGCCCATTTATCAAGTGACCTGAAAGGCTGCCAGTTTTGGGTAGGGTACAGAACAGGAGAAGGCTCTGCAACATGTCCAGGCTGCTGTGCAAGCTGCTCTGCCCTTTGGGCTATATGACCCAGCAAACCCAATGATGTTTGAGGTGTCAGTGGTAGATAGGGATGCTGTTGGAGCCTTTGGCAGGCCCACATAGTTGAATCACAGCAGAGGCCTCCAGGATTTTGGAGCAAGGCCCTGCCATCTTCTGCAGATAACTACTCTCCTTTTGAGAGACAGCTCTTAGCCTGTTACTGGGCTTTGGTAGAAACTGAACATTTGACTATGGGTCATCAAGTCACCATGCAACCTGAACTGCCTATCATGAACTGGATGCTTTGTGACTAATCTAGCCATAAAGTGGGTCATGCACAGCAGCATTCCATCATCAAATGGAAGTGGCATGTACATGATCGGGCTCAAGCAGATCCCGAAGGCACAAGTAAGGTACATGAGGAAGTGGCTCAGATGCCCAGGGTCTCCACTCCTGCCACCCTGCTTTCTCTTCCTCAGCCTGCACCGATGGCCTCATGAGGAGTTCCCTATGATCAGTTGACAGAGGAACAGAAGAATAGGGCCTTGTTCACAGATTGTTCTGCACGATATGGAGGCACCACCCAAAAGTGGACAGCTGCAGCACTACAGCCCCTTTCTAGGACATCCCTGAAGGGCAGCAGTGAAAGGAAATCTTCCTAGTGAGCAGTTCACCTGGTTGTGCAGTTTGCATGGAATGAGAAATAGCCAGATGTGCGATTATATACTGATTCATAGGCTGTAGCCAATGGTTTGGCTGGAGGGTCAGGGACTTGGAAGAAGCATGATTGGAAAATTGGTGACAAAGAAATTTGGGGAAGAGGTTTGTGGATGGACCTCTCTGGTCAAAACCCACAAAGATATTTGTATCCCATGTGAGTGCCCACCAATGGGTGATCTAAGCAGAGGAGGATTTTAATAATCAAATAGGATGACCCGTTCTGTGGACACCACTCAGTCTGTTTTCCCAGCCACTTCTGTCATCGCCCAATGGGCCAATGAACAAAGTGGCTATGGCAGTAGGGATGGAGGGTATACATAGGCTTAGCAACATAGACTTTCACTCACCAAGGCTGACCTGGCTATGGCCACTTCTGAGTGCCCAATTTGCCAGCAGCAGAGACCAACACTGAGCTCTCAATATGACACCATTCCTTGGGCGATCAGCCAGCTACCTGGTGACAGGTTGATTATTGGACCTCTTCCATTATGGAAAGGGCAGAAGTTTGTCTTCACTGGAATAGACACTTACTCCGGATATGGGTTTGCCTATCCTGCATGCAATGCTTCTGCCAAGACTACCATCATGGAGTCACAGAATGCCTTGTCCACCCTTATGGTATTCCACACAGCATTGCCTCTAACCAAGGCACTCACTTCATGGCTAAAGAAGTGCAGCAGTGGGCTCATGCTCATGGAATTCACTGGTCTTACCATGTTCTCCATCCTGAAGCAGCTGGATTGATAGAATGGTGTAATGACCTTTTGAAGTCACAATAACAATGCCAACTAGGTGACGATACTTTGCAGGGCTGGGGCAAAGTTCTCCAGAAGACTGTGTATGCTCTGAATCAGCATCCAATATAGGATAGTGTTTCTCCCATAGCCAGAATTCTCGAGTACAGGAATCAAGGATTGGAAGTGGCAGCACTCACCATCACCCCTAGTGACCCACTAGCAAAATTTTTGCTTCCTGCTCCCACAACATTATGTTCTGCTGGCCTAGAGGTCTTAGTTCCAGAGGGAGGAATGCTGCCACCAGGAGACACAACATCGATTTCATTAAACTAGAAGTTAAGATTGCCACCTGGATACTTTGGGCTCCTCCTACATTTAAGTCAACAGGCTATGAAGGGAGTTACAGTGTTGGCTGGCGTGATTGACCTGGACTATCAAGATGAAATCAGTCTACTACTCCACAACAGAGGTAAGGAAGAGTATGCATGGAATACAGGCGATCCATTAGGATGCCTCTTAGTATTACCATGCCCTGTGATTAAGGTCAATGGGAAACTACAACAGCCCGATCCGGGCAGGACTACAAATGGCCCAGATCCCTCAGGAATGTAGGTTTGGGTCACTCCACCAGGAAAAAAAAACACAACCTGCTGAGGTGCTTGCTGAAGGCAAAGGGAATACAGAATGGGTAGTAGAAGAAGGTAGTCATCAATACCAGCTATGCCCACGTGACCACCTGCAGAAACAGGGACTGCAATGGTCATGAATATTTCCTCCTTCTTTTGCTAAAAGTCATGTTTGTGCATGTATACACTTGGACTAAGAAAATACCTTTATTTTATTTCCTTTTCCTTTATCATGTGACATAAGATTTATTGACTTCATGTCAGCATTTAAGTTTTATTAACTTTATGTAATAGTACTTGGGGATTGGTGCGTTTCTGGTTGTACGAAGGATCATTGTATTATGTTGGTGTAATTATGACCTTATTATTGTCTTTGTTTGAAGATTATGTATGATCTCAGGAGATGAGTATGGGTTCAAGTTGACAAGGGGTGGACTTGTGATGGTTAATACTGAGTGTCAGCTTGATTAAATTGAATGATACAAAGTATTGATCCTGGGTGTGTCTATGAGGGTATTGCCAAAAGAGATTAACATTTGAGACAGTGGACCAGGGAAGGCAGATCCATTCTTAATCTGGTGGGCACAGTCTAATCAGCTGCCAGCAAATATAAAGCAAGAAGAAAAATTTGAAAAGGAGAGAGACTGGCCTAGCCTCCCAGCCTACATCTTTCTCCCATGCTGGATGCTTCCTGCCCTCGAACATCAGATTCCAAGTTCTTCAGTTTTGAGACTCGAACTGGCTCTCCTTTCTCCTCAGCTTGCAGACAGCCTATTGTGTGAACTTGTGATTGTGTAAATTAATACTTAATAAACTCTTATATATATATATACACACACACACGTATATGTGCTATTAGTTCTGTTCCTCTAGAGAACCGTGACTAATACATGTATCTATCGAGATAACAATATTATTTTTGTTTTTCATTCTGTTTATGTGATGTATCACATTTATTGACTTGCGTATGTTAAACCATCCCTGCATCCCTGGTATGAAACCCACTTGATCATGGTGGATTATCTTTTTGATATGCTGTTGGATGGATTAACCAGTATTTTGTTGAGAATTTTTGCATCTATGTTTATTAGGGATATTGGTGTGTAGTTTACTTTTTTGGTTATGTCTTTTCCTGCTTTTGGCTTCATAGAATGATTTAGGGAGGATGCCGTCTTTACCTTTTGAAATAGTTTCAGTAAGATTGAGACCAATTCTTCTTTGAATGTCTGATGGAATTCAGCTGTGAATTCATCTGGTCCTGGACTTTTTTTGGTTGGCAATTTTTTTTTATTGCTCTTTCAATCTTGCTACTTGTTATTGGTCTGTTCAGTTTCTGTTTTTTCCTGATTTAATCTGGAGGGTTGTATATTTCCAGGAATTTATCAATATCAATCTATTCTAGATTTTCTAGTTTGTGTGTGTAAAGGTATTCATGGTAGCCTTGAATTTCTGTGGTATCAGTTGTAATATATCCTGTTTCATTTCTACTTCAGCTCGTTTGGGTCTTTTCTTCTCTTGGTTAATTTCACTAATGGTCTATCAATTGCTTATCTTTTCAAAGAACCAGCTTTTTGTTTCATTTATCATTTTTCATGCTTCAATTTTATTTAGTTCTGCTCAGATCTTTGTTATTTTATTTCTTATGCTGGGTTTGAGTTTGGTTTGTTCTTGTTTCTCTAGTTCCTTGAGGTTTGACCTTAGATTGTCTTTTTGTGCTCTTTCAGACATTTTCATGTAGGCATTTAATGCTATGAACTTTCGTCTTAGTACTTCTTTTGCTGTATTCCAGGGTTTTAATAGGTTGTGTCACTATTATCATTCAGTTCAAAGAATTTTTAAATTTCCATCTTGATTTTAATGTTGACTCAAAGATCATTGAAGAGCAAGTTATTTAATTTCCATGTATTCACACAGTTTTGAGGGTTCCTTTGGAGTTAATTTCCAGTTTCAGTCCACTGTGGTCTGAGAGAGTACTTGATATAATTTTGATTTTCTTAAATGTATTGAGACTTACTTTGTGACCTATCATATGGTCTACCTTGGAGAATGTTCCATGTGATAATGACAAAAATGTATATTCTGCAGTTGTTGGGTAGAATGTTCTGTAAATATCTGTTAAGTCCATTTGTTCTAGGGTATAGTTTAAGTCCATTTTGTCTTTGTTGACTTTCTTGATGACCTGTCTAGTGCTGTCAGTGAAGTATTGAAGTCCCCCACTATTATTGTGTTGCCACCTATCTCATTTATTAGATCCAGTAATAATTGTTTTATAAATTTGGAACCCCTAGTGTTAGGTGCATATATATTAAGGATTGTGATACTTTCCTGTTAGACTAATCCTTTTGTCATTATATAGTGTTCCTCTTTGTCTTTTTTTTTTTAAACTGTTGTTGCTTTAAAGGCTGTTTTGTCTGATATAACAATAGCTACTCCTGCTCACTTTTGGCTTCCATTTGCATGAAATATTTCCACCCCTTTACCTTCAGTTTATGTGAGTCCTTATGTGTTAGGCATTCTCTTGAAGACAGCAGATACTCGATTGGTGGATTTTTACCCATTCTGCCAATCTGTATCTTTTAAGTGGAGCATTTAGATTATTGACATTCAACATTAGCATTGAGATGTGAGGTACTATTTTATTCATCATGCAGGTTGTTGCCTTAATACCTTGTTTTTTCCATTTCATAGTGTTGTTGAAGAGTGATGGCTAAATGTATCCAGCATAATTCACCTACACTTAGTTTTCTAGATAATTGAGTTGGGTGGCCCCATTTTAATAATGACAAACATGAAATTCTAAATGCAATATCATCTTGGAGAGATTATTTGATTTTTTCCTATAGGAATTGTCTCCAAACTGCTTTCTAGACAGCCTCACAAAGCATCTAGAATGTATAAATTTGACTTTCATAATGCATTAATGATATGGTTTGGCTGTGTTCCCACCCAAATCTCATCTTGAATTGTAGTTCCCATAATTCCCATGTGTCATGGGAGAAATGTAGTGGGAGTTAATTGAATCATGGGGGCAGATCCCCCATGCTGTTCTCATGATAGAGTGACTCTCATGAAATCTGATGCTTTTATAAGCATCTGACATTTCCCCTGATTACACTAATTCTCTCTTCTGCTGCCATGTGACAAGGTGCCTTCTGCCATGATTATAAGTTTCCTAAGGCCTCCCCAGCAATGCGGAACTGTAAGTCAATTAAACCTCTGTTGTTTATAAATTACCCAGCCTCAGGTATTTCTTCATAGCAGTGTGAGAATGGACTAATACAGTAAATTAGTACCAGGAGTGGGGTGCTACTATAAAGATACCCAGGAATGTGGAAGTGACTTTGGAACTGGGTAACAAGCAGAGGTTGGGACAGGTTAGAGGGCTCAGAAGAAGACATGAACATGTGGGAAAGTTTGGAACTTCCTAGAGACTCAGAGGGCTCCGAAGACAGGAAGATATGGGAAAGCTTGAAACTTCCTAGAGACTTGTTGAATGGTTTTGACCAAAATGCTGATAGTAATATGGACAATGAAGTCCAGGCTGAGGTGGCCTCAGATGGAGATGAGAAACTTGTTGGGAGCTGGAATAAAGGTGATTCTTGCTACGCTTTAGCAATGAGACTGGCAGCATTTTTCCCCTGCCCTAGAGATATGTGGAACTTTGAACTTGAGAGAGATGATTTAGTGTATCTGCCAGAAGAAATTTCTAAGCAGCAAAGTGTTCAAGAGGAAGCAGAGCATAAAAGTTTGAAAAATTCGCATCCTGATGATGCAATAGAAAATAAAAACCCATTTTCTGGAGAGAAATTCAAGCCCACTGCAGAAATTTGCATCAGTAAGGGGGAGCTCAATGTCAATCACCATGACAATGGGGAAAATATCTCCAGGGAATGTCAGAGACTTTCACAGCAACCTCTCCCATCACAAGCCCAGAGGTCATCCTTAAGTGAAAAAATCAACCACAGGAGATGACATGATAATAGGCTTATTACAGTAGAGGAAGGTACAAAGTGTTTCTCATCATTGGTGTGTTTGTTAAAATGGGGAGGGGTTACTGAGTGAGTGGGCAGTGGGTGGTGGTGGTGACAACCACATTCTCTCACTGTGGCCCAACACTTTTGAAGCAGTTTCCCATTTCTCCATTAGATGTGTCTTCTCCACATGCAGAAAATGTAGTCTCATAGCTTCCCTATTGGGTGCTGGACTGTTGGCATTTCATTATTTTTTTTAAATCAAAGACATGGATATCTTTTTTCTTAGTTGATTTCTAGGACTTCAAGGTTATTTGGGGGAAGAAGTTGCTTGAGGAGGCTCCTGGGTGGACCATGGAGTCCCTCCTAGGGATTTATTTGGTGCTCCTGGTGTGGGTGACTATCTCCCTGAGTCCCAAAAGACAGCACATTCTGCCGGGTACCCAGAGGTGGGGACAGATGCTAACAGGTCCATCTTATAAGTGCAACATGAAATTTAAGGTCAGGGAATCTCTTAACTTTTCTTGAAGGACCTCATATTTAGCTTCTTGACTCAAAATCATTTGTGGATTTGAACAGGTTTCCTCTGCAATGTACTCTCTGGAGGGGAATACATTGAAAATACAGTTCATTTTCAGATACTCAATGGGATTGAAAAGTTGAATTGTGTGCTTTCTTGCAGTGAGCACAGAGGAATTTGCTGTCCCATGCCACTGGGACATTTTTAGGAGCACCATTCTCTTCCAGAGGGCTTGAGTAAGGTCAGTGAGGAATTAACATGTAGCATATTGGCAACTCCAGGGTTGAGCAGGGAGACACACATGTTTTTCTGATGTGTGAAGTTCTGAGGGCATTTTCCAAAGTACTTGTTCACTGAGCAGGTGTTTCCACTACTTGCATTAAGTCAGGGGATATGGAAGCCACTTTTCCAGCAATCAAACTCAATGAGAAGATGAACAAGAAGTGTTCTGAAAGTAAGCAGAAAAGGCCCTTTCCATGAATTTTCCTAATTTTTAGATTTCTCTTAAACAACATGCCTGAAGTTACAACCGCATCCTTCTCTAGCAGCTTCTAAATGAGAAAATCATCAAAAGGGTATTTAGTACTCAAGTGGTGGACACAGGATAAATGCTGAAAATCAGTGCTCGATTCGAAGATAGTGATGTTCCAGGATGTTGGAGTCTCTCAGGTGTCAGTAGGGAGGCGGGCCGGGAACTTCTCCCAGTAACCAGAAAGAAGAGCCTCAGGGAGATGAGGATGTCTCACAGCCAGGGACGGGACAGTAAAGGGCCCCATGTGAGTGCATCACAGGGATCTGTTCCTGTTTAGACTCCAATGCTCAGTACCCAGTGCAGAACATGGCAAGACTTCAGCAAATACATCAGTCAGCTGGATGAAGGAGGCAGGTGTGAGCCAGCAAAAAAAAGCTTGTGATTTTATTGGAGCATGAATTTAAAAGTGTTGATGTGGCTGGGCGCGGTGGCTCATGCCTGTAATCCCAGCACTTTGGGAGGCCGAGGTGGGTGGATCACGAGGTCAGGAGTACGAGACCAGCTTGACCAACATGGTAAAACCCCATCTCTACTAAAAATACAAAAATTAGCCGGGCATGGTGGCAGACGCCTGTAATCCCAGCTACTTGGGAAGCTGAGGCAGAGAATTGCTTGAACCCAGGAGGCGGAGATTGCAGTGAGCTGAGATCATGCCACTGCACTCCAGCCTGGGTGACAGAGCGAGACTCCATCTCAAAAAAAAAAAAGTGTTGATGTACCTACCTTGCAAGGAGGTAGATAGGTAGACAGAAGCATGGATAGATGGATGGATATTCTTTTTCTGTGTTTTTCTATTTCTGTTCTTTCTCTGTGTTTTGTCTCTTTCTCTTGCTCTGTCTGTATCTTCCACTGTTCCTTCATAATCATGTCTTAGCCATCATCAGTGACATCTTTTATCTGGTCTTATAAGATCTTGTCTGTCTGTTGTATTAGTAGCCACAGGACAGAAAAAGGAAAGGAGTCGTGAAAAACAAGATAAGGAAAAAGATGCTCCTGACATGGGGCATCGGGAGGATGTGTGGCCCTGAGGCTCCCGGGAGACAGGGGCTGCGCCTCACTGCAGAGTCCATCCTGCTGAACACAGAGGGGAAAAGCGCCCTGACAGCCCCGTCCGTGCTGCTCAGAAAAGACGGCTCCGTCTCCAGATCCTTCTCTCTATGTCCTTCAGTCTTGGCTCTCTAGGTACAATTTACTGCTATGAAAAGGGATTTGAGAATTCCCAGAGGAGGCTTTCAGCCTCTTTGCATGGCTCTTTCTGGCCTTTCAAAAGCGCCAGAGACATCAGAAATGAAATCGTACACACTTATTCGGAGTTTTCCACAATCATTGAAATTTCTGTGAGTGCCAAAGTTAAGTTTTTGGCAACCCCGTCAAAGCCGGGTGTGCCCAGGACAGTCAACTCAGGCGCTGGACTCTCATTCTGGTTGGATTTTATGACAGCCGTATTCGCCATAAGAATTCTAGAGCCAGACCTTGTTACTTCACAATTGCCTCACGTTGCAGGACAAGCAAATCTAGCCTGAGTCCTGTGGATTCCAGGGCTGCTCAGGAGACGCCTCCATCCTGGCGTGGATGACCTCAGGATCAGCCCCGTCTGCCCCACTCAGCCCGCAGCCTGGTCCCCGAAAGCGCTCAGTCAGAATCCGAGAGCACTGTGGCGGCGCCCCCGTGTGGCCACAGGACTGAAGACAGAGGACCCCGCTCCCCTTTCTCCCCAGCCAGGACGTCCCAGGCTCTCCCCCTGTTCCCCGCACCTGGACGGGACTCTGCACAGAAGAGAGTCTCCCGGTCTCGTGTCAGGCTCTGAGTTCATCCAGCTTCCCAAAATCCATGTTGATATGAACGTTTTCTCCCACAACTGATTGACTGGACTTTTGTCTCAGGGCAGAGGGAGGCCTCCAGACCAAAACAGCAGGATCAGGTCTGGAGCTGACTCAACCCCAAACCCTTGCTAATGCACGACCCAGTCCCCCAGCCTCCAGGATGGGACCTTGGCCTCCTGTCCCCTCCCTTGTTCCTGCCACTGCTCCTGCAGGTGGAGGCTGCTCATCCCAGGAATCAGTCTGTGAGCTCCAACCTTGGGGCCTCGGTCCAGGAAGGAGGGAGGCTCCAGAGAGCAGAAGGGAGATGAAATGGATCATAAGAGAAGAAGGAATCATACCAAACACTGGAACTGTAGGTCAATTAAACCTTTTTCTTTATAAGGGGGGGGGAGGAAGAGGAGGAGGAAAAAGGAGGAGGGTGAAAGGAGTCAGGGAGGAGAGAAAAGTGGGAAGTGTTTCTTTAGAAGGGGTGTGTGTGTGTGTGTGTGTGTGTGTGTGTGTGTGTAGGTGTGTGTAAAGCAGGAGGGAGTTCCTAGGATCCTGAAGAAAAGAGAGTGAAGGACAGGGGCTAAGGGGCCCAGCCCTGGTAGGTTGAGGGCCCCACTTTCTGTGCTCGGGCCTTACTGTCCTAGCAGAGTCCAGCCCCGGGAAGCCTGGGGTCACAGCACTCGGCTTGCTGGATGGCTGCCTCTTCATTGTCTTTGACAGCAGGAGCTACCTTGCCAGGCCCAGTGGCCACAGGGTCACAGGCAGAGAGCAGGTCCCTCTGCTGGCAGCCAAGGAGATGCTCTTGGAGGATACGTGCACAACTTAGCTGGGAGTCTGAAGATGGTGGTGGGTTACAAAGAGCTCAGCGATGAGCCTGGCCCAAGATTCTGACCCCTTGCCCTGGATCCTGAGGGTTCCACCCTTCCCTATTCCCAACAGGTCTCAAGAATTCTTCTGTTAGTCTCCTGCCCTCTTGGGACAGCCCCGCACTTCCCTCACTTTGATACCCTGGTACCCAGGCATCTGCCTCCTTCATTCTCCTCCAGCTACCCAAGCACCCCCAGGCCCTGCTCTCTGCCAACCCTGATCCCTGAACTCCAGCACTTTCCAAACCCACCCCCGAATTGCTGGATAATATAGTGGTTCTATTTTTAGATTTTTTAAAACTCTCCATACTGTCTTCTATAGTGGCTGTACTAATTTAAATTCCTATCAACAGCGTACAAGAGTTCCCTTTTCTCCACATCACCAGCATCTGTTATTTTATTTTATTTTATTTATTTTATTTTTGTCTTTTCAGTTGTGGCTATTCTATCTGGGGTAAGATGACATCTCATTGTGGTTTTGATTTGCATTTCCCTAATGATTAGTGATGTTGAACATTTTTTTATGTATCTGTTGGCCATTTATATTCTTCTTCTGAAAAATATTTATTCATGCCCTTTGCCCACTTTTTAATAAGATTGTTTGGTTTTTTAATTCTTGAGTTGTTTGAGTTTCTTATAGTATTCTGGATATTAGTCCCTTGTCAGATAAATTGTTTGAAAATGTTTTCTCCTGTTCAGCAGATTGTCTCTTCACTCTGTCAATTGTTTTATTTGCTATGCAGAAGCTTTTTTAGTTATTATAGTCCTATTTGTCTGGTTTTATTTGTGTTTTCTATATTTTTGAAGTCTTAGCCATAAAACCTTTGCCCGGACCACTGGCCTAGAATGTTTCCCCTGTTTTCTTCCAGTTGTTTTATAGTTTCAGGTCTTTCATTTTATTTAAGTCAACTTGAGTTGATTTTTAATAGGGTGAGAGATAAGAATCTAATTTCATTCTTCTGCATACGGGATATCCATTTTCCCAGCCCTTTTACTGAAGAGGGTGTCCTTTTCCCAAATGTGTGTTCTTGGCACCTTTGTTAAAAGTCAGTTGGCTGTAAATATATGGATTTATTTCTGCATTCTCTATTATGTTCCATTGATTGGCATGTCTGTTTTTATATCAATACCATTCTGTTTTGGATACTATAGCCTTGTAATGTATTTTAAAGTCAAGTAGTGTGATGGCCCTAGCTTTGTTCTTTTTGCTCAGGATTTCTTTGGCTATTTGGACTTTTTAAAAATGTTTTGGGTCCATAGAAATATTAGAATTATTTTTTCTAATTCTGTGGAAAAATAACCTTGGTATTTTTGTTGGAATTCCCTTGAATCTTTAGATTGCTTTGGGAACTATGGTCATTTTACTAATATTAATTCTTCTGATTCATGAGCATGGAATATCTTTCCATTTGTTTGTGTCCTCTTCTTTCTTTCATCAGTGTTGTATAGATTTATTTTTAAGAGATCTTTGACTTCCTTGCATAAACTTATTCCTAGGCATTTTTTTCTAGTTATCGTAAATGGAATTGCTTTTTTGATTTCTTTCTCAGCTACTTCATTAATAATGTATAGACATTATACTGATTTTTGTATGTTGATTTTGCATCCCACAACTCTACTGAATTTACTTATCATATCTAATAGTTCTTTGATGGAGTCTTCAGATTTTTCTAGAAATAGGATCATTTCATTGGCAGGGAGGGGAGAGAGGCTGAAGGTTAAGCTGATGGCCAATGATTTAATGAATCATGCCTAAGAAATATGACTTCCATCAAAACCCAAAAGGGCAGGGTTTGGAGAGCTTCTGGATAGCTGAACACAGGGAAGCTAACAGGAGGGTGAACAAGAACTCAGCCATGTGCCAGAGAGGGTGGCGCATCCCAACCCCATGGGACAGAAGCTCCTGCACTGGAAACCCTTCTGACCTTGCCCTATGTGTCTGTTCATGGGGCTCTTTATTTGTGTCTTTTAAAATATCTTTTTAAATAAACTGGTAAATATATGTAAGTGTTTTCCTGAGTTCTGTGAGCCATTCTAGCAAATTAATCAAACCTGAGAAACGGGTTATGGGAACACTGATTTAAAGCAAGTTAGTTAGAAACACGGGCAAAATGGCTTGAGACTGGCATCAGGAGTGGGAGGCTTGAGACTGGCATCAGGAGTGGGAGGGGGACAGTCATGGGGACTGAGCTCTCAACCCATGGGATGCGATGCTATCTCCAGGGAAAGAGTGGCAGAATTCAGTTAGAGGACACCCAGCTGGTGTCCATCACAGAACTGATTGCTTGTTTGTTGGAGAAATTCCCTACATTTGGTCAGAGAAGTCTTCTGTGTTGATAGTTGTTGTGGTGTGAGAGTAGTGGAAAACAATGTGAGATTTTCCACACTCAGAGTGGATCTAAATGTTGAGTTGCTTTTAAATTTGACTTAGTCGTGGCCTGACTAAACAGGATTAGATGTGAGAAATTTTTTGGTATAATGTATAGGAAGGAACTAAAGGCTGATGAGGATGGGAGTGTTGGAATAGATGTTCTGTGCATGAGTACCCCCTTCATCCTCTCTGTCTCCCAAGAACCAAAAAATACTCTCTCTGCAGCTTTAACAAATACTGGTTTGGAAGAGAGTGACTGCGTTTTTCAAAGTTCTAAATGGCTATGATTGCAGGACCTTTGTGATGCTCAGGAATGTCCTGATGTCAGCGGAGATGAAGGAAAACCAGAGATTCAAAAGTCAAAGGAAAGGGCCATTTACCATAATTCATATCATACATATTTCCTGGAAAAAAAAAGAAAAATTCCTTGGGGAAAAAGCATCAAAATCATCAGGAAGTCTTCCACACAGAAATGACTTCATTAATTTGATCTCTGTCATTCTTTCTTTTCATTCATGTATTATTATCCATAGAGATTTCTATCCTGTGGGTTTTTTATTTAATTTTTGTTTGTTTGGTTTTTTCAGACACAGTGAGACCCTGTCTCAAACAAACAAACGTCACAGGCTGCAGTGCAGTGGCACAATCATTGCTCACTGCAGCCTCGACCTCCCTGTCTGAAGCAATCCTCCAGCCTCAGCCTCATGAGTAGCTGAAACTACAGGAACATGCCACCATGCCCAACTAATTTTTTAAAAAATTTTTTTGTAGAGATGAGGTATCACTATGTTGCCGAGGCTGGTCTCAAACTCCTGGGTTCAAACAATTCACCCACCTTGGCTCCCCAGAATGCTGGGATTACAGGCCTGAGCCACGTACCCAGCCTCTATCCCATGTTTTGATTCATCATCATCTCCTAAGCCCTTTCCCAGCATCGATAGTCTACTAAACATGCCATGATTAAATTATATCTCTATACCTTGATATAAACAAAAAATTATATGAGCAGTAAAGACAAATATGAAAAAGTAAAATTACTGCCAAAGTTATTAGGAGGATAACCTAAATTATTTGGGTAGGAAAATCTTTCTTTTTTATTTTATTTTTTTTTCCAGCCAGGGTCTCATTCTGTCACTCAGGCTAAATTACAGTGGCCCGATCATGGCTCACTGCAGCCTTGACCTCCCAAGATTCAGGTGATCCTCTTGCCTCAGCCCCCTGAGTAGCTGAGACAACAGGCATGTGAGACAATGCCTGGCTCCTTTTTATATTTTTAGTAGAGATGGGGTTTTGCCATGTTACCCAGGCTGGTCTCAAACTTCTAGGCTCAAACGATCCACCCACCTCAGCCTCCCAAAGTGCTGGTATTACAGGCATGAGGCACTGTGCCAGCCTTTTTTTTTTTTCACATCTGCTGGAATGGAAAATATTTCTTAAATGAGACACAAATGTATCAAATTGAAAATGTTTAAACTTCAAAGGACTTACATACATATACAGTCATTCTTCGCTCAATGGTGAGATAGCTTCTGAGAAATGAGTCCTTAGGTGATTTTGTCATGTGTGGACATCATAGAGTGTCCTTACATGAACCTAGATGGTATAACCTACTTCACACTTAGGCTACGTGATAAGCCCATTGCTTCTAGGCTACAAATTATATAGCATGTTACCGTATGGAACATTGCAGCCAATTCTAACACAATGGTAAGTATTTGTGGATCTAAGCATGTGTAAACAGAGAAAAGGTACAGTAAAAATGTGATTAACAAAAAGATCTTTAAAATGGCGTATCTGTCTAGGACACTTACCATGAATGGAGCTTGCAGGACTAGAAGTGCCCTGGGTGAGTGAGTGAGTGGTGAGTGAATGTGAAGGCTAGGGCATTACTGTACACTACTTAGACTTTATAAACTTAGGCTACACTAAATTGATTTTAACATTGTCTTTCTTTAATAATAAATTAACTTATTAATAATTAACTAATAATTTTATTATTTATTTATTAACAATTAATAACTAATTAATAATTAGTTACCATAGCTTTCTGTAACCTTTTGAACTTTTTTGTTTTATTATTATACTTTAAGTTTTAGGGTACATATGCACATTGTGCAGGTTAGTTACATATGTATACATGTGCCATGCTGGTGTGCTGCACCCATTAACTCGTCATTTAGCATTAGGTATATCTCCTAATGCTATCCCTCCCCTTTCCTGCCACCCCACAACAGTCCCCAGAGTGTGATGTTCCCCTTCCTGTGTCCATGTGTTCTCATTGTTCAATTCCCACTTATGAGTGAGAACATGCGGTGTTTGGTGTTTTGTCCTTGCGATAGTTTACTAAGAATGATGATTTCCAATTTCATCCGTGTCCCTACAAAGGACATGAACTCATCCTTTTTTATGGTTGCATAGTATTCCATGGTGTATATGTGCCACATTTTCTTAATCCAGTCTATCATTGTTGGACATTTGGGTTGGTTCCAAGTCTTTACTATTGTGAATAGTGCCGCAATAAACATACGTGTGCATGTGTCTTTACAGCAGCATGATTTATAGTCCTTTGGGTATATACCCAGTAATGGGATGGCTGGGTCAAATGGTATTTCTAGTTCTAGACCCCTGAGGAATCGCCACACTGACTTCCACAATGGTTGAACTAGTTTACAGTCCCACCAACAGTGTAAAAGTGTTCCTATTTCTCCACATCCTCTCCAGCACCTGTTGTTTCCTGACTTTTTAATGATTGCCATTCTAACTGGTGTGAGATGGTATCTCATTGGGTTTTGATTTGCATTTCTCTGATGGCCAGTGATGGTGAGCATTTTCTCATGTGTTTTTTGGCTGCATAAATGTCTTCTTTTGAGAAGTGTCTGTTCATGTCCTTCGCCCACTTTTTTATGGGGTTGTTTGTTTTTTTCTTGTAAATTTGTTTGAGTTCATTGTACATTCTGGATATTAGCCCTTTGTCAGATGAGTAGGTTGCGAAAATTTTCTCCCATTTTGTAGGTTGCCTGTTCACTCTGGTGGTAGTTTCTTTTGTTGTGCAGAAGCTCTTTAGTTTAATTAGATCCCATTTGTCAATTTTGGCTTTTGTTGCCATTGCTTGGTGTTTTAGACATGAAGTCCTTTATAAACTTTTTAAACTTTTCTACTCTTTTGTAATAGCACTTAGCTTAAAACGTCAACACATTATACAGCTCTACAAAAATATTTTTCTTTATATTCCCATTCTAGAAGCTTATTCCTATTTAATTATCTTTACCTTTTAATCTTTTTTGGTAAAAATAAAGACATACATTAGCATAGGCTGACACAGGGTCAAGACCAACAATATCAACCATCTTCAGCCTTCACATCTTGTCCCACTGGAAGATTTTCAGGTGTAATAACACGCATGGAGCTGCATCTCCTATGATAACAATGCCTTCTTCTGGAATACCTCCTAAAGGACCTGGCTGAGGCTGTTTTAATTTTTTTATATATATAGAAGGAGCACACTCTAAAATAACAATAAAAAGTATAGTAAATACATAAAACATAGCATAGTCATTTATTATCATTATGAAGTATTATGTACTGTGCATAGCTGTATATGCTAGACTTTTTATAGGACTGGCAGTGCAGTAGGTTTGTTGACAGCAGCATCACCACAAACACATGATTAATGCATCATACTATGAGGTTATGATGGCTTCAATGTCACTAGGTGATAGGAATTTTTCAGGTCCATTAAACTCTCATGGGACGACAGTCATATATGCAATTCATCATTGACCCAAACATCATTATACAATGCATGACTCTATAACACAGTGGGGTGTGTGTGTGTGTGTTTGTATTTTGTGTGTAAGATTAACACTGAAATTGAGGTATCAACTAGGCACCAAGGTAAAAACATATTAACTTTTCCTGTGAGGTGTCAAATTACCCCATGCAGAATTTGAAATGCAAACGACCATTGGAGGCTTAGAGGTCTTCGGGTTCAAACCGTCAGAGAATAGCTCATTTTAAACTCATCCTCCCACAGTAAACAAGTATAAAAGTCACAAAAAACATACAATGCAGTTGTGCAGCCACAAAACAGCAACCAGCACAGGACTATCACCTTTTGGAGAATGGAAGTTCCTGAAAGGGAGATTCACATCCTTATCAGCTTTCTTTCCAGAAGCATTTGCCAAAATACAATGAAGAGAAATGGAACCCAAGCAGAGAAAATCAGTCTCATCGGCAAAGGAAACAGAGATCAGAGTTCAGGCTTGGCACATTGACTGGGATTTAGGGGTAGGGTGCTGAGGGAGGGAGTTACAGACAAGAAACCCCCAAAATCTGCACTCCTGAGCTGCATATGCTCCAGATGACACTCTAAGAAGCCCACTGGAGAACAGCTTCTTGGAGATTGCATGCTAAGTAGAAATGTCACAGGCTCCATAGTGTGAGGAGATGTTGGAATTTCAGCCCTGCAAAACCTGTGTTGAGACATCAGGATGGGGAAGCCGTGTAAGTGAGGACCGTGACCTTGGAGTAAGAACCACACTGAAATAGACTCACCCTAGCAAAGGCTAAAATCAAGAGGAAGCAGAATCAAAGTGGGTCTGATTTTTACTAAAGGTGATTCTTTGATAATTACCTAACTGTCAAACTATTACCAGTCTTTGGAGGAAGATAACAAAACCCAGAGCCTCTAAAATCCATCATGTAGAATATGTGCCATGCCAAGCAGCAGAGAGAATGCAGCAACTAAAGAAGAAATAATCAACAGAAGCCAACTCAAAGATGATCTGAATATTGAAGTCAGCAAACAAGGACATTCTTCAAAATATTTATGATTAATATGTTAAGGAAAATAGAGGAAAAGATGGGCAAACTATTTCAAAATTCCCAGAAAGATTAATCATAAGAAGAGAGAAAACACAAATGAACACTATGAGAAGGGACATTATAAAACTGTAGATTTTATTAAAACAAAAATAAGAGAAAGTTAGACACAACTTCATGGAAAGAGCTTTTAAAATTTAGGTATAGTGACATGAGTTCTTGAAAAAGACGGTTGAACAAAGCCAACAGAAAACTAAGTAGAAAATATAAATAATCCTATATCCATTAAGAAATTGAGTTCTAAATACATTCCTTCCCACCAGAGAAACTCCATGCCCAGACTTCTTCACCTGTCAATTCTTTCAAAAACTTTTTAAAAGGCATGTCAGCCTTATACAGTCTTCCTCTGGTACCTTTTGGGATGGGTTCTAGGGCACCTGTGGATACCAAAATCCATGGATGCTCAGGTCCCATATATAAAATAGCCTAGTATTTGCCTATTAGCTATGCACATCCTCCCATATACTTTAAATCATCTCTAGATTACTTATAATTCCTAATGCAATGTAAATGATTTGTAAATAGTTGTTACACTGTATTGCTTAGGAAATAATGACAAGAAAAATGTCTATACATCTTCAGTACAGACATAACCACTGTAGGTACTCCTAACTACAGAGTATACATCAGCAACAACATAACATTTTCAATCCTAAGGTTGTTGAATTCACAGATGTGGAACTCACAGACATGAAAGGCAGACTGTGTGCTATGGTTTGTCTGTTTGCCCACCCAAATCTCATCTTGAATTGTAGTTATCATAATCCCCACGCGTTGTTGGAGGGACTCGATGGGAGACAATTTAATCATGGGGGTGGTTCCCCTCATGCTGTTCTCATGATAGTGTGTTCTCACAATACTTCATGGTTTTATAAGGGGCTTTTTCTGCTTCGGTTTGGCACTTCTCCTTGTTGCTGCCATGTGAGGAAGGATGTGTTTGCTTCCTCTTCTGCCATGATTATAAGTTTCCTGAGGCCTCCCCAGTCATGCTGAACTCTGAGTCAATTAAACCTCTTTCCTTTTAAATTGCCCAGTCTTGAGTATGTCTTTATTAGCAGTATGATAACAGATTAATACACTGTCTTATATTTTTTAGATAATAAAGAGTAAACACCTTCCAACTAATTTTATGAGGCAACATAAGTCAGACAAGGACCTAAACATGACAATTATATTACAAGAAAAATAAACTCATCATCAAAATGATCTGATGAACATAGCCACCAAAATTCCAATTAAAATATTAGTAAATAGAACCAAATAATATATGAAATGGATAACACATAATGACCAAATGGGATTTATAAGAGAAATACATGGTAGATTTAACTTCAAAATGTCAGAATAATCTACCCCAAGAATAGAGAAAAGTAGGACAACATGTGGTTATATCAATAGATGCAGGAAAACCATTTGATAAAGTTCAGTAGGCATTCATAATAAAAACTAAATAAACTAGACATAAAAGGGAACTTCCCTAACAGAATACAGTTATTTACAACAAAGAAATACAAAGAAATACCTAAATCTAAAGTCATAATTAATGAAGAAATATTAAACACTCCTCTGAGGTGGGGACAAGAGAAGGATGTCCACTATCATCACTTTTATTTAACATTGTACTGTGTGTCCAACAGCAAAAATAGATTACATAAGATATATGACTGTCTTCTTCAAGGAAAACATTATCGTGTATGAAGAAAATTTAAGAAGCTCTATGAACAGACTATTAAAAATAAGTGAATTTGGCAAGGCCAGTATAAAGCAAAAAGTAACATTTCTATACGTGAGTAATAAACAGTGAGAAGAACTGACATTCTTTAAATAGCTCTATGTACAATACCACAAAGAAACATAAATTGTAGAAATAAATATAAAAGTTATACAAAATCTCATCATTCAGAATTACAAAACATTGCTGAGACAAATTAAGTGGATAGTTATTTCATATATATGAAGAAGACAATATTGCTAAGATACCGTTTATCCACAAAGTGATCCATGGAGTCAATGCAATTGTAATAAAACTCCCAACAGTTTTTTTTGTGGGAATTGACATGCTCCTTCTAAAATGTATACAAAAATGTGAGGAGCTTAAAATAGCCAGAACAATATTGGAAGAGAACACAATTGGAGGACTTAAACTATCAGATATCAACAGATATTTGAAAGCCATAGTGATTAGAAAAGTGAAGTATTTGTTCAGGGATAAACAAACAGGAAAAAATTATTAAAATAGAGCCCTCTCTATTTTCTTCTATGAGTTTTATAATTTAGCCCTTACATGTAGGTCTCTGATCCATTTTGTGTTGATTTATACATATGCTGTGAGGTAGGGTTTCAACTTCTTTGTTTTTTTTCTTTTGCAGAGACAGTGTCTGTGTCACCCAGGCTAGAGTGCAGTGGTGCAATCAGAGCTCATGGTAACCTTGAACTCCTGGGTCCAAGCAATTCTCCTGTCTCAGCCCCTCAAAATGCTGAGATTGCAGGTGGAGTCACCACTTCCAGCCCCTCAACTTCATCCTTTAGAATGTGGGCATCCAGGTGCCCAGCTCCATTAGATGAAGAGTGTATACTTTAACACATTGAGTTGTCTTAACACCTTTACTGAGGTTCTTTGCATATATCTCTTTATGTGTCTCTGAGCTGTTGTCTAGTGCCCTTTCATTTTAATCTGAATGACTCACATTAGTATTTCTTATAGGAAAAATCTACTGGCAATGGAATCTGTCAGTTAGTTGTTAATTAACTGGAAACATCTCAATTTCTCCTTCATTTATTTTAATTTATTAATTGTGATAAAATGCACATAACATAAAATTTACCATCTTAACCATTTGTAGTGGTAGTGTTCAGTAGTGCTAAGAACACTCACACTGTTTTGCAAACCAATCTCCAGAACTCCTTTCATATTGCAAAACTGCATATTTTCATTTTTGAAGAATAAGTTTTCTAGATATAGAACTTTTGGTTGACAGCTTTATTTTTGTAGCACTTTAAACATGTCATACCACTCTGACTTTCCTCAGTGTTTTCTGGTATGAAATTGGCTGTTAATCTCAATGAGGATCCCTTGTACATGATGCATTATTTGTTTCTTGCTGCTGTCCAAGTTCTCTCTGCTTCTATTTCAACAGTTTGGTTATAATGTTTCTTGGTTTGGATGTCTTTGAGTTTATTCTGCTTGGTAGATTCACAGATTTTTATCAACTTTGGCAAGGTTTCACCTGTTACCCTATATTTTTACTCTCTCTTTCTATCTCTCCTCTACTTTGGGAACTCCCATTATGCATCTGTCAGTCCACTTGATGCTGTACAGAGGTGTCATAGCCTCTGATCATTTCCCTTTATTTTTTTTTCTTCCTGCTCTTCAGATTGCATAATCGTAATTGGCCTATCTTCAATTTGCTGGTTCTTCTGCCTGCTAAACTCTGCATATATTAGTCAGCATGGCAGTGTCCCACAAGTCCCTTAGGCTCTGTTCACTATTTTTTGTTCCTTTTTTCATTTCTATTCCTCAAAGTCTATGATTTAAGATGACTTGGCTTCGAGTTTGCTGATTCTTTCTTCTACCTGTTCAAGTCTGCTATTGAACATCTCTAATGAATTTTTTTTCAGTAATTATATTTTCCCTTCTAGAATTGCTGTTTCCTTATTATATATATATATATTTTTTTTTATTTTAATTTTTATTTTTTTTATTGATCATTCTTGGGTGTTTCTCGCAGAGGGGGATTTGGCAGGGTCATAGGACAATAGTGGAGGGAAGGTTGGCAGATAAACAAGTGAACAAAGGTCTCTGGTTTTCCTAGGCAGAGGACCCTGCGGCCTTCCGCAGTGTTTGTGTCCCTGGGTACTTGAGATTAGGGAGTGGTGATGATTCTTAACGAGCATGCTGCCTTTCAAGCATCTGTTTAACAAAGCACATCTTGCACCGCCCTTAATCCATTTAACCCTGAGTGGACACAGCACATGTTTCAGAGAGCACAGGGTTGGGGGTAAGGTCACCGATCAACAGGATCCCAAGGCAGAAGAATTTATCTTAGTACAGAACAAAATGAAAAGTCTCCCATGTCTACTTCTTTCTACACAGACACGGCAACCATCCGATTTCTCAATCTTTTCCCCACCTTTTCCCCCTTTCTATTCCACAAAACCGCCATTGTCATCCCGGCCCGTTCTCAATGAGCTGTTGGGTACACCTCCCAGACGAGGTGGTGGCTGGGCAGAGGGGCTCCTCACTTCCTAGTAGGGGTGGCCGGGCAGAGGCGCCCCTCACCTCCCGGACGGGGCAGCTGGCCGGGCGGGGGGCTGACCCCCCCACCTCCCTCCCGGACGTGGGGCTGACCCCCCCACCTCCCTCCCGGATGGGGCGGCTGGCCGGGCGGGGGGCTGACCCTGCCACCTCCCTCCCGGACGGGGCGTCTGGCCGGGCGGGGGGCTGACCCCCCCACCTCCCTCCCGGAGGGGGCGGCTGGCCGGGCGGGGTGCTGATCCCCCCACCTCCCTCCCGGACGGGTCGGCTGGCCGGGCGGGGGGCTGAGCCCCCCACCTCCCTCCCGGACGGGGTGGCTGGCCTGGCAGAGGGGCTCCTCACTTCCCAGTAGGGGCGGCTGGGCAGAGGCGCCCCTCACCTCCCGGACGGGGCAGCTGGCTGGGCGGGGAGCTGACCCCACCTCCCTCCCAGACGGGGCGGCTGGCCGGGCGGGGGGCTGACCCCCCCCACCTCCCTCCCGGACGTGGGGCTGACCCCCCCACCTCCCTCCCGGATGGGGCGGCTGGCCAGGCAGAGGGGCTCCTCACTTCCCAGTAGGGGCGGCTGGGCAGAGGCGCCCCTCACCTCCCGGACGGGGCGGCTGGCCGGGCGGGGGGCTGACCCCCCCACCTCCCTCCCGGATGGGGCGGCTGCCGGGCAGGGGGCTGACCACCCCCACCTCCCTCCTGGACGGGGTGGCTGGCCAGGCAGAGGGGCTCCTCACTTCCCAGTAGGGGCGGCTGGGCAGAGGCGCCCCTCACCTCCCGGACGGGGCGTCTGGCCGGGCGGGGGGCTAACCCCCCCACCTCCCTCCCGGACGGGGCGGCTGGCCGGGCGGGGTGCTGATCCCCCCACCTCCCTCCCGGACGGGTCGGCTGGCCGGGCGGGGGGCTGAGCCCCCCACCTCCCTCCCGGACGGGGTGGCTGGCCTGGCAGAGGGGCTCCTCACTTCCCAGTAGGGGCGGCTGGGCAGAGGCGCCCCTCACCTCCCGGACGGGGCGGCTGGCTGGGCGGGGAGCTGACCCCACCTCCCTCCCAGACGGGGCAGCTGGCCGGGCGGGGGGCTGACCCCCCCACCTCCCTCCCGGACGTGGGGCTGACCCCCCCACCTCCTTCCCGGACGGGGCGGCTGGCCGGGCGGGGGGCTGACCCCCCCACCTCCCTCCCGGATGGGGCGGCTGGCCAGGCAGAGGGGCTCCTCACTTCCCAGTAGGGGCGGCTGGGCAGAGGCGCCCCTCACCTCCCGGACGGGGCAGCTGGCCGGGTGGGGGGCTGACCCCCCCACCTCCCTCCCGGATGGGGCGGCTGCTGGGCGGGGGGCTGACCCCCCCACCTCCCTCCCGGACGGGGCGGCTGCCGGGCGGAGATGCTCCTCACTTCCCAGACGGGGTGGCTGCCGGGCAGAGGGACTCCTCACTTCTCAGATGGGGCGGATGCTGGGCGGAGGGTCTCCTCACTTCTCAGACGGGGCAGCTGGGCAGAGACGCTCCTCACCTCCCAGACGGGGTCGCGGCCGGGCAGAGGCGCTCCTCACATCCCAGACGGGGCGGCGGGGCAGAGGCGCTCCCCACATCTCAGACGATGGGCGGCCGGGCAGAGACGCTCCTCACTTCCCAGATGGGATGGCTGCCGGGAAGAGGCGCTCCTCACTTCCTAGATGGGATGGCGGCCGGGCAGAGACGCTCCTCACTTTCCAGACTGGGCAGCCAGGCAGAGGGGCTCCTCACGTCCCAGACGATGGGCGGCCAGGCAGAGACGCTCCTCACTTCCCAGACGGGGTGGTGGCTGGGCAGAGGCTGCAATCTCGGCACTTTGGGAGGCCAAGGCAGGCGGCTGGGAGATGGAGGTTGTAGCGAGCTGAGATCACACCACTGCACTCCAGCCTGGGCACCATTGAGCACTGAGTGAACCAGACTCCGTCTGCAATCCCGGCACCTCGGGAGGCCAAGGCTGGCGGATCACTCGCGGTTAGGAGCTGGAGACCAGCCTGGCCAACACAGCGAAACCCCGTCTCCACCAAAAAAGTACGAAAACCAGTCAGGCGTGGTGGCGCGCGCCTGCAATCGCAGGCACTCGGCCGGCTGAGGCAGGAGAATCAGGCAGGGAGGTTGCAGTGAGCCGAGATGGCAGCAGTACAGTCCAGCTTCGGCTCGGCATCAGAGGGAGACCATGGAAAGAGAGGGAGAGGGAGACCGAGAGGGAGAGGGGAGAGGGGAGAGGGGAGAGGGGAGAGGGGAGAGGCAGAGGCAGAGGCAGAGGCAGAGCAGGAATTCAGATTTTTTTTTTTCCTTATATTTTTAATGAGTCTTTATTTGGTGAGATATTGTTCTTCTGGTTCCTTTACATATATACATATATATATACACACACATACACATATATGTGTATATATATACATATATATATACACACACATACACATATATGTGTATATATATACATATATATATACACACACATACACATATATGTGTATATATATACATATATATATATATTTACATATATAGAGAGAGAGTCCACGGTCTTTTTTATCTATTTGAGCATATTTAAACTATTGGTTTAAAGTCTTGGTCTAGTAAGTCCAATGACTTGGCTTCCTTAGGGACAGGTTCTGCTGATGTATTTTTTTCTGCAAATGGGCCACTTTCTTAAACTTCTAAATACCTCAAGAATTTTCGCTGAAAACTGAACACTTTGAATACAACAATCTAGTAACTCTGGATACCATATTCTTTCCACTCCCCAGAGTTTCTTGTTGCCACTTGAGGATGGAGTTGTTTCTTAGTGACTTTTCTAAACTATTGTTAAGCTGTTCTATGTCATGTGTGGTCACTAAAATCTATTCTGTTAGCTTCATGGTCAGCTAGTGATTTGACAGAGGTTTCCTTAAACAGCTGGAGCCAAAAAAATAAATAATTAATGCCCTCCCAGGTTTTGCAGATGGACTCTGAGTTGGGACACTTCTTCAACACTTAACCAGGCAGTTTAGACGTCCACCTTAACCTTCACTGGCTGCTTACTTGGAGGCTAAAGATCACCCAGAGGTAAAAGCCTAAGGTCATCTCAGGTCTTTTTAAAGAGTGTGGGCATCCAGGGCTAAATATCCAGTGTTTAGCCCTGGCCATGTATGTGACATTCTGATTTCCTCAGTATATGCGGGATATTTTGAAAGCCATATTGCCTTATGTATCTCCATCTCCAGCCTCTACCTCCCTAGGCTTTTCAGTCTGTCTGCTGTTAACCCATCCATCATTCCATGCCCCAGGCATCTGTGACTAGTATTTGCCTTTAAATGCTTTTGACAAACATTGCTATGGAGACCTCTCCAATCTTAATAAAGTTCCAAGAGGAGTGAAGCAAAGACCAGCCTCTAAGCTGATCTTTTTGGGGGCTATCATACATGTCAAAGGACACAAACACAATTCTTTGAAAAGAAAGTTCATTTTGCCTTTTCTGGCATCAGGAAACTACACCAGGAATGTGGGACACCGTCCCCATGGCTGCCTCATAGCTGAGGGTGTGGGGGTGGGAGTGAGTAGGTGGCTAAGGAATAGTGGCACATGCTCTCCTACCAAAATCTAGAGCTCCTTTTTCATTAAGCACTACTTTGGTTGTTGTAAAAAAAAAAAAAAAATTCATAGACTCCAGAGTACAGAAAAACTTAATTTTGATAGTTTTTTTCCAGGTTAATAGTTGCTTTAGTTGGGGAATGTGTTGTTGGAGTTCTCTACCATTTTTGGTGAAGGCATTACAGTTGTCTTTTAATAAGATTTTAAAATTATGAAAAAATCTTATGTATCTACCCATGTGCTTACCATTTCTGGTGCTCTTCATTACATATTTGCTTTTGGTATAATTTTCTTTTTGCCTGAAGGACTGAAACACTTATTACAGTTCGTGTCTGCTGGTTATGTATTTTTTCACTCCCTATAAGTCTAAAATCCCTTTTTTTATAGATATCTTTAGAGTCTGTTAAGTAGCTTGATGCAATCATTACACATGGTATACATATATCAGTACATCACACAGTACCTCATGAATGTATTATTATATGTCAATTAAAATTATACATATATATATGTTTTTAAAAGGTTTTTTTTCTGGAAATAGAATCTAGTTTGACAGCAGTTGTCTTTCAGAACTTTAGCGATGTTGGTCATCTGTCCCTCATTTGCATTGTTTCCAATGAAATAACTGCTGTCATCTTTATTATTCTTCTTATGTGTTGTGTTTTGTGTTTTTCATTTTTGCTTTCTGCTTTTTCAATTTTCTCTCCTTCTCTGGTTTTGAACAAATACATGTTACTCTCACTCACAACTATAAAGCGAACTTAGGAAACAATCTATAGGGAGAGTTTGTTGATGATTGGTTATACATTTTCAGAAACAGTTGTTTATTCCTTCCTTTACAAAGGCTAATTTCCTTAGAATATTATTGTATTGAAGAATGTCATAAATAATTTTATTTGTCACCTGGACCTGGTGCCAAGATACGTGGTCAAGCATTATTCTGGATGATCTTTTTAGGATGTTTCTTGGATATGATTAACATATAAATTGCTATACTTTGAGTAAAGTAGATTGACCTCTATAATGTGGACAGGCTTCATTCAATTCATTGAAGGTGTAAATTGAATGAAACACTGACCTTCCCCAAGCAAGATGGAATTCTGTCCTGGGATTTGAACTGCAGTATCAGTCACCTGACCCATAAAGAGCTGGTTGGTTTGTGTACAGCATTTGCAAGATGAATGGACAACACCCTGTTTGGAAGTCTACCCCTTTGATCAAAGAAGATAAAAACAGAACAGCTCTTGTGGGCTGAATTGCAGGGTGTTTTCTTAGCAGTGATGGAAGAATTGAACAATGATAAAAGCTCCTATGTTTTAGTTTTACTGACTTATGGGCAGTGACTGATGGCCTGGCCATATAATTAATTAAGAAAGCAGTGGAAAACTGGCCTATGAAAAGAATGCCCATATGAGACACAGTCCTATGGAAATCACTATGGTAATTTGAGGGGTGCATTAACGTAAGACATGTTGATGCCTGATATAGATTGGATGTTGTCCCCACCCAAATCTCATGTCGAGATGTAATTCCCAGTGTTGGAGTTGGGGTCTGGTGGGAGGTGACTCAATCATGGGGTGGTTTCTCATGAATGGTTTAGTACCATCCCCTCAGTGCTGTTCAATACCCATCAGAATAACTCCCTTCCAGGTTTGGAAGGTGATTGAAATCAACAAGCATTTATCTCTAAGTGCTTGCCAGGTGCACCTGTAGTCCCAGCTATGAGAGTGTCTGAGGCAGAAGGATATCTTGAGTACAGGCATTTGGGTTTAGCCTGAGAAATATTTGAGTCTAGCCTGGGAAACATATCAAGACCACATCTCAAAAAAATTTACATTTGCTTGTGAAGATCACCGGGGTCTACGAAATAAGTAGACACTGAGGCTGTAGCAATGCAGAGATGGGCTGAATCAAGACATACTCCCCTTGCATCCCCCACCTCTAATAAGCACAAAATACTCAGTAAAACTGTTCTTTTTAACAAGACTGGGCACAGTGGCTCACACCTGTAATCCCAGCACTTTGGCAGGCCAAGGTGGGTAGATCACTTGAGATCAGGAGTTTGAGACCAGCCTGGCCAACATGGCGAAACCCTGTCTCAACTAAAACTACATCAATTAGCCAGGCATGGTGGTGCACGCCTGTAATTCCAGCTACTCAGGAAACTGAGGCAGGACAATGGCTTGAACCTGGGAGGCAGAGGCTGCAGTGAGCCGAGATGGCGCCACTATACTGCACCCAGGGCAACAGAGCAAGACTGTGTCTCAAAAGAAGAAAAAAAAAGAAGTATTCTCTTTAACAAGAAAAGAGACAGAGACAGAGACCAAAAAAAAAAAAAAAAAACGTGAATGGGAGGTATTGCCACCATGTGGACCACTGAGCCACATTACACTAGGAAACACACTTGCCCAGAATGTCCAACAATGGTCAGAGAAATTTGTTCCTCAGAAGAAGAGTTTCAGAGAGAATTAAAATAGTCATTTGAAACATTGAGTGTATAAATCAGGAGCGGGGAGACATAAGCATGAAGGGCGGGCCTATACACCTTCATGAGTGTGCTCGCTCTTGACATGAGTGTGGACAAAGGAATGTCCCCACTAGAGAGTGTCCTCTTTTTCCCTGCTGGATCAGGGAAAGGTGCTGGTGTGATTCTACATACAATTCTTCCCTAAAAAATAATAAATAAATAAATAAATAAATAAATAAATAAATAAAAACAATCCTTCCCAAGGCCAGAAGACACTAGAATTATGACTATACTTTACCTCAACTTGCTTTTCTCATACCTGATGCAGTGGTCTCAGGACTAGGGATGCAAATAAAAGTCCAGGCACAGGAATTATTCCTGAGCAAGAAACCGTTAACATATTTAAAAACCATTATGCAAGACTGCCTAAGGGCCTGGAGTAGATGTGCCTTCACTGCATCTGGCAAAGTTGGAGCTAACATTGAATGCAGCTGTATTGCCTGGAAGCCAGATAGCCAACCAGTTCTCTGCCTGAATAACCCTAACCTCTATGAACTGGAATGGACTGATGGGAGACACTCGCTGTTACTAGCATGGTATAGCTCCCTGCATAGGCCAGCACAGCAGGAAAACCTAATGTCCCTTCCAAAATGAGAAATATTTGGTATAAATGCAGAAGAGGAAGAATAGTAGCTGAGGTGAAATGAATGAATAAATGGGGTATGTAATGAGGAAAATCCAATATAACATGATCTCCTCAAAAGAGGTATAAACAAATGATGATATTGTCTTTTATCTCATTTTTACCAGATGTCTGAAAGGTTGAAGCCGTATGTTGCTGAGACCATTGCTATTTTTGGACTGCAATGGGCGAATTGATAATGACTAAACAGGACTCTGGTAATGGGCCAGTATCTTTTTACTGCTATGATTCTTCTGCTATAGGAGATCTGTGGTTGGCCAAGCAAAGGGGCTCACATTTATAATTTCACCACTTTGAGAGGCCATGGTGGGAAGATTGCTTTTGAGGCCAACAGTTGCAGAACAGCCTGGGGCACATAATGAGACTGCATTTCTACAAAATATTTAAAAATTAGTCAGCCATGGTGGTGTGCACCTATAGTGCCAGCTGCTCAGGAGACTTGAGGCGGAAGGATCACTTGAGTCCAAGAATTTGAGGTTACAGTGAGCTATGATTGTGCCACTGCATTCTACCCTGGGCAACAGAGCAAGACATTGTCTCTAAAATAAAATAATAAATAAATAAATAGAAATTATAAGAAGAAATAATGTGGTTAAAGACCAGGAAGTGATCTGTGATCCAATAAATATATTTGGTCTTTGCCCCTAGTCCCTGACAGGCAGGTCCTAAAACGCTTGCAGTCCCTCAGTGATAAGCATGATTTTAATATGGCAATGAGATGACTATGGGGTGAGGGGCTCCTAGATAGTTTCAGGATGGAGGCTGCTTGCCAGAAACACCAGCTGTGATTAGAGGATTGGAACTTTCACTGCCATCCCCATCCTCTGGGGAAGAAAAGGGGGCTGGAAGTTGAGCTCAGTCATCAATGGCCAATGATTTCACCAATCTTGCCTACACAATGAAACTTCCATAGACACCTCTAGACAGTGAGTTTTGGAGAACTTCCCAGTTGGTGAGCACATCCGCATGTCCACGTGCTGGGAGGACGGCACACCTCATCTCCATAGAGACAGAGGCTTCTGCGCTTATATCTTTCTGTAAGGCAGACACCCTTGTTTCTAGGAGGGACCTAGGGTGGACTGTGGATTCTTTCTCTGGGGCAAATAAAAATGTAGAATCAGAAAATTCAGGCACTTTGCACTCCTCATGGGACACTCCAGCAGCACTCACGTGACCATCCTGAGAATGGACAGGACACCTGAGGTGGGGAAGGGAGCACAGAACCCAGACACCAGCCTGGACACAGGCACCTGGGATAATCTCCTATTCCTTGGAAAGTTCCAGTATCTGAGGGAGGAACAGTGACTTCTGGTCCTGACCTGAGTGGAGACCGAGGGACTCAGAAGAGCTGGAATCAGACCCCCACACACACTGAGTATGAGTCAGAGAACAAGGCCTGAGAGAAAAAGTCACAGTGCCCAAGACTGCTGCAGGGGTCAAAGGGGACTGCTGATCAGTGTTCCAGGGATTTGCTCCAGATTAATCTGAGTCATGGAAAAACTGCCTTTCTTTTGTTTCTAAACAAATACCTGCAAAGACAAAAGACCACATAAATCCCCAGGTGCACAACTTTTTCAGATTTAAAGAAAAAACAACCCCCGTCTTTCCCTCCATTCCCAGGAGAAGCTCACTCTGTGGCATCAAGCTGCCTGGGTGAGCTCTCTTCTAGAAGAGTCCAGGGGGACAGGCAAGGAATGGGAGGCAGGAAGTCCAGTTCAGGGAGGGGGATTCTGGGATGAAAAGTGAAGGGAGAGGGACTGAGCCCATGCTGAGGGTTTTTCTCTGGTTTCTCAGACAGCTCCGGGGCCAAGATTCGGGGAGACATTGAGACAGAGCGTTTGATATAAAAGAAGGGGGTAAGAGCCAAGTCCCAGGGCCCGGAGCTTGGCTCTCTGGGCTTCAGGCCCCGAGGGCGGTGCCTGGGATGGGCCGGCTCAGCTTTGGGGTTTCCCGAGCTCCGCTCTCTCTCTTCCACCTTTCCCAACCTGTGTCAGGTCCTTTTACCTGGATACTCATGATGCGGCCTCAGTTCTCACTTCCATTGGGTGTTGGGTTCCTAGATCAGCCAATCAGTGTCGCCGCGGTTCCTGGTTCTAAAGTCCTCGCCGGCCCACCGGGACTCAGATTCTCCCCAGACGCCAAGGTTGCGGGTCATGGAGTCCCGAACCCTCCTCCTGCTGTTCTCGGGAGCCGTGGCCCTGATCCAGACCTGGGCAGGTGAGTGCGGGGTCGGGAGGGAAAAAGCCTCTGCGGGAAGGAGCGAGGGGCCCGCCCGGAGGAGTAAATCTGCACATATATTTAATTACAGATTACAATTACAATCAAGGCAGAAATGATCTCATTTTTACATTACAACTCTGGAAAAGGCAATAGACTGAGATGCAAGTGTGCCCCCAAGTGATGGGCAGAAGGAGAGAAGGTGTTTTGGATGCATTCTAGAACACAGGTAATCTAAGGAGAGTTGATCAAGGCCGTGGAAGAGTCCTCCAGCCACTATTGGCCATCAAAGGAGTCCTCTGTGTCCCAGGAATGGTCCTGCTTTGGTGTCCCTGGTGTGACCCATCACCCGCTGGGAACAGCCTGAGAGAAGTAGGGCCTCTGCACCAATGCTGCTGAGGATGTCAGAGCACAGGAACGAGGCCTTGGGAAATTACCTGGAAATGCGACTGAAATCTTCCTTCCTGAGGGGTCTGGGCTCTTGGAAATCAAACCCTCTCAGGTTGGGTGGCTGGACGATTCTCCTCACACTTACAATGGGACAAGGGGAACCAGGAGGCCCCCAAGGGGATCCCTGGGTTCCACACGAACTCCTCCTACCCTCATTGTGTGACAGCAGCCATGCCTCCTCCTGGGGATCAGGATCTATTACCTGTGCCTGGAGAGGAGGGGACTCCTCTTCTCACCCGCTGGTCTCTGGACACATACTGTCCAATTCCCCTGTGGCAGCTGTAATGTGTAGTTCAATGGGCACTCATTTGTCCCCTTTTAAGGGTACCCTCCTTTAGAATCCAGGACCTTCTACCCTGCAGAGTGTGGTTTTGGGAGAGAAGTGCAAAATCCCACGACAGGTGAGTTGAAGGAATGGGATATGGAGCCACATCCACTTCCACCCCTTGGTATCTGGACCCACGTGTTCTTCCTACTGAGATTACAGAACTGTAGAGATGTCTTTGATTTTTAAAATGCACCATGTCCTGAAAGATGGCACCCTCCCACCCGCAGAGTGCTTCCTGCAAGCTGGCGTTGAGCTGTGCCTATAGAAGCTCTTTTCAACATTCTTTATGGCCAGCAGCCCTTGGTTGGTGCAGATGGTGATAGGACCAGTGGGTCCCACAGCATGGCCACACTGCACCTCCTTCGCTGTCAAGTGGGTCCCCCACGAAGATACTGCACGGAGAGCAGTGCCAAGCCTGTGGATCAGGAATATCAACAGCCCCCAGAGAGTGGTGCTGGCTGAGGGTCTGAGAGCAGGACAGGAAAACCCACCTATGGAATAGGTGCCTATCCCTGTGAAGATGAACCTCTGGCCCTTCCAGGATGGAAGGAGTGCAATGTAGTCAACTCCTCACTTAGGGTCTGGTTGGTCACCTAAAGAAATAGAGCCCTACCAGGGAAGATCATTGGGTTCAAATGCTGATGAGTAGGACATTTAGAGGTGGCAGTGTCTGGATCTACCTTGGTAGGAGGGAGTCAGTACTGTTGGACCCATAGGTAGCCTCATCCCTGCCACTGTGTTTGCTCCATTTATGTACCCATCCTACCCGGCCTGGGCTGACCCATGGGGAAGGCTGGCTAATTTCAGTGCTTCTGCTTGGTTGTTCAGGGCCATTTCAGGTTTGGGTGTTTTCTGGGGATGTTAACATGGGATTCAGGCTCAACTCACAAGAAACTTTTCCATCTCATGATGGATGCTGTTGGGCATGTCCAATGTATGACTTCATGAGTTACACAGATGCTAATTCGTAGGGGCACTTGGAATCACATGGTTGTTTTGTGTCCCATGGTCAAGCATTCTATCTTATCAGGGCCTACAGTAACATGCCAAAAGTTGCTTCCAACATATTTCTCTGCTTTGGATGGGGCATATTTCTGTGCTGTGGATGACATGGCCTTACTCCAGAATCCCAGGCCCTCCACTGTGACTCTCCTACTGGTGCTTGGTTCAGCTCCACCCCAAATCTTACCCCACCACTGGCACTTTCAGCACCAGGGGGTCTGAAGGATGGTGACTGCGCCATGGCCTGGATCTGCTGCAGTGTCCTTTCCTGTGGAGGCTCCACTCAAAGCTGGCATCCTCCTATGTCACCTAGAGTGTGGGTCAAAGCAATACACCTACATGTAGAATGTGATGTCAGAACTCAAACAGGCTCACCAGGCAGTGTGCTTCCTTCCTTGCATGAGGATGCAAGATGCAACAGTTTGTCTTTCACATTGGAAGGGACACCCCTGGATGCCCCTAACCACTAGACCTGTAAAACTTCACTGCAGTGGCCACTTCTGAATCTCTGTAAGGTTTATTTATCTTCACCCTCTGGAGAGAAGATGTTTTACCAAAGCCTCTAGTGTACCTTCCTCCTCTTACTCATCCATCCCAGTCAACATGATGTTGTCAATGAAATAAAGGAATTTAATATTCTATAGTATATCCAGGTTCTCCAGATCTCTTAAGACTGTACTATAGAGGCCTGGGGAATTATAATAGCCCTGAGGCAAACTATGAATTAAAGTGTTGTGGATCCCACATGAATCACTTTATATCCACTTTTGTGTGTGTGTGTGTGAGGCAGAGTCTTACTCTGTCACCCAGGCTGGATTACAGGTGCACACCACCATGCCTGGCTAATGTTTTGTTTTTGGTTTTGGTTTTGTTTTTGTTTTGTTTTTGGACAGAGTTTCACTCTTTTTGCCCAGGCTGGAGTGCGATGGCATGATCTCAGCTCACCGCAATGTCCGCCTCCCAGGTTCAAGTTATTCTCCTTCCTCAGTCTCCCAAGTAGCTGAGATTAGAGGCATGTGCCACCACGCCCGGCTAATTTGGTATTTTTAGTAGAGAGAGGTTTTCTCCATGTTGGTCAGGCTGGTCTCGAACTCCCAGCCTCAGGTGATCCGCCCTCCTCTGCCTCCCAAAGTGCTGGGATTACAGGCATGAGCCACCACACCCGGGCTATATCCACTTCTAATTGGAATGGAAGGGAATGCACTCACCACATCCACAGCTGCACACTGTGTGCCTGAGGCCTTATTAATCTGCTCTACCAGATATATCCAGCCAGCATGCTAGCTGCAATCAGGACTCCTACTTGGTCACATCTGGAGTAATCCCATTCATTCCTTAGTAATCCCATTCATTCCTTAGGCTCCATCAGGCTTATTTGCTAAATTACATGGAGATAATAGGCAACCCCAACACCACCCCACATCCTCCAGCTCTCTAATGGTGGTGCTACCCCCACAGCACTTGCAGTGCCTTCCACAAGATTCACCCTGGGACATACGATCATTTTTGATTTGGCCAGAATGGAGGCAGTTTCAGAGGTTTCCCTTTGGCCTTCAGCACAATGAGAGCCCTTACTCCACAGACTAGGGATGCAGTGTGGGGGTGACTCCAGCTGCCAGGGCATCAGTGTCAATTATGCACTAGGAGAATGGGGAGATAACCAGGGCTGGGTCTGTGGACTCAGTGACCCCATGGTGAGCCGTGATGTGTCCAGGTTTATTTCGTGGTCTCCGTAATCCCCAATGTGAGGGGGTCATGATGATGCTGTGGGCCTCTGGGCATCAATGTCATCTCACACCCAAAGTCAGTACTCCCCCAAGTTCTCCCTATTTCCCTTTCCCAGGGTACAGTCTCTAAAGTAAATGGCTGTAGGTCCCTTTGCACAATGGCTCAGGGAATTGACCCAGCATACACTTGCCACAGGGTTGCAGGGTCCTTCCTCCTAGGAATATGGACACCTCCTCCGTCACTGGGTTCTGAATCTGAAGCTTGGCTGAGATCTAGGCACTGAGAATGGATCATGATTTTGTATTGGTTCAAACACCCTCAGCCTCCTGCTCCTCAATTCTTGCTTTCTTATCATAGATACCAAGCAGTGCTCTTGCTGGCTGCCCTTCTGTTCTGACCCTGGAACACCACCCTCTATTAACCTTACCCACAACTGCAGGCAGGTCAAGCCCCCTCGGCTGCTCCTCTGGGGTTGCCATGGTAACCGTGTCCTCTGGCTTTTGCAGGTCACTGCCACCACTTGTTCTCTATCTCTTCAGGGCCACACCCTCTCCGTGGATATTAATGAGCCCAACTCTGGGACATCTTTTCCTACCATCACCCTCAGCCTTCAGAGAACAATACAATGAAACTTCTTAGTGATGCAGGTCCCTGTTGCCAGCACGTTCCTGAGGCTCTGGTGGAAGGTGGGCCCCCTGGGTCCTCTTATAAAGCACGGTTCCGGTGGGCTTTCCGGCCTCACGTAATGTCTCCATCCCACAGGCCAAATTCCCCCAGCCTCATTATTCCCTCTTCTACATGTTCCGGGGCAACTAAGTCAGGTCTAGCTTGTGAGATACCGGCATCATTTTTTCCCAGTCTACATGGATCACCCCAGCAGTGGGTTTGCCCCATGCCCTGGGGTCTTTGAAAAACCCATGTGATACGGTTGGCTGTGTCCCCAACCAAATCTCGTCTTGAATTTCCACGTGTTGTGGGAGGGACCAGGAGGGAAGCAATTAAATCATGGGGGCAGGTCTTTCCCATGCTGTTCTCATGATAGTGAATAAGTCTCATGAGATCTGATGGTTTTAAAAGGAGAAATCCCTTTCGCTTGGTTCTCATTCTTCTCTTATCTGCTGCCACGTGAGACATGGCTTTCACCTTCTGCCGTGATTCTGAGGCCTCCCTAGCCACATGGAACTGTGAGTCCATTAAACCTCTTTTGGTAAATTGCCCATTCTGGGGTATGTCTTTATCAGCAACATGAAATGGACTAATACATCATGCCTTGAGAAAGTGTTCCCAAGTCAAAGGATTTTTATCTATCTAGCTTGAAATTCTGTCCCTTTGATCAAATGCCCTCAAATTCCAATCCCAGAAGTGTTCCCCAGGATCCTATGTGGACATGCCAGCTAGTTCCTGCAAAGCTCCTGAGTGGAATTCCCGCTGCATTATAAGGGTGAGGCTTCTGCAGCATCTTCCAGCGTAGGAAGTGGGAACTATTACTGGAAAAGGCGAGCCTTCTCTGCATGCCCAGAGGGTACTGGAGGGCACCCATCTGATAATGCTGTCCTAGTTTGCAGAATCTCATGTTTCCCCACCAGGGCCCTGATTTTCCACAACAGGCCTGCCTTGGCTGAATGTCAAACATCTCTGGAGGTCTGTAACCCTCACAATGATATCTTCAGCTACCATTCCACACTATCTACCCTTTCGCTACAGGAAACAAGGGCCTCTCCATGAGACACTGCAGAGGCCCTCACACATAGCCAGTGACAGCTGTTAGAATCCCTCAGATTCTCATTCTCCTTTTATAGGGCATCAACACAGCTGAGCAGTAACCAGCCAGCTTCCCTGTTGTAGGTTTTCCCTCCCACCCTGTCATTATTGTGTAGAGGCTTCTATCACACCACCTGCCATAGCACCCGGTAACCAGGGCATCTTCTCAGGTCGGTGCTGGGGATATCCACAGCAGCTCAGCTGCACCTTGTGCCATGGACTTTCTCTGTCCCCAACCAACGTGGATGGCATTCTTGGCCTGCCAGGCAGTGGGCAAGCTCAGGCCCAATCCCCGTTTTTGTCTGTGTCTATGGACCACTCCTGAAGCCACTTGTGTTGGTTAGCATCCCCTGAGGAGCAGACTGCAATACAGAATTAAATGTGCCAGGATTTATTAGGGGAAATAGCCATGAAAGAAATTGGGGAGCAAGACAGAAAAGACTGGGAAAGCCATAAGACTGTGATGCAAGTGGCTTTTTTATTTTTATTTTTTGAGCAATCTCAGCTCACTGCAACCTCCACCTCCCAGGTGCAAGTGATTCTCATGCCTCAGCCTCCCAAGTAGCTGGGATTACACGCATGCACCACCAAACCTGGCAAATTTTTGTCTTTGTAGTAGAGGCGGGTTTTCACCATGTTAGCTAGGCCGGTCTCAAACTCCTGACCTCATGTGATCTGCCCACCTTGGCCTCCCAAAGTGCTGGGATTACAGGCGTGAGCCACTGTGCCCAACCAGACTGCAATGCAAGTTTAAACCCCAGTGAAGGAGAGAGGGAAGGAAGTTTGGCTGAAAGTATCCTAGACCCAGTGCAGGTTAAGAGAAGTTCAGTAATGGTGAGCCCTGGAGCCTCAGTGGGCCTTTAAAGGAGAGACAATCCTGTCTTTGTTTCTCCTGTTCTCTCAATTATTGAATCGAAGAAGCCAATGGCAAGTATGGTCTGAGAGCAAACGTAGCAATAGATTTCAGGCGGCAACAGCTGGAGCATCATCAGCTGTGCTTCCTCTAGCTGAGGGGCTGGGATGTGCATTCTCAAGACTGCCACAACAATCCAGTGGGGAGAAAGGACAAAGGGTAATGATCAAAGAGAAAAAAAGGTATGAACTGATGAACTGATACCTTTAAGTAGATGAGAAGGATGATGTTTGGGACACCAGTAGAGGGACTGCCTCTGGCTGGGAGCGGGAAGGTTAACCCACAACAACCATCCATGTGGTAGAAGACCCAGCATGCAGTGCAGCTGCAAATGCATGAGCAGATGGAATCTGTGAAATTGTCTTCTAGTGTGTTCAGTTTTCTCAGTGAAGTAGGAAGCAAGGTCATCAGCTGAAGTAAGAATGCAGATAGAAGGTTGGATGTGTGAGCAGAGAGAAGGTGTGTGAGAGTCACCCAGACCAGTAGGAGGCTGAGGGTGAGCCATGCTTGGAGAGGGTGATTGCTGGTCGTGGTGGGGGGTCCCCATGAGGTTTGGGTCATGAAGTTAGAGAGAGAAGTCAGCATGCTGTGTGCTGCTTTCCAGCCTCCTTCAGCTCATGGGGGCAGGTGCAGCGTAGGCAGAGGTGGATTCCACCAGCTGTGTAGTTTTGCCAAACAAGTATGGCAACGCAAGGGAGGGGCAAGGGAGGGATGGAAATTATTTACAATAGAATTCAAAATGGCTGAAGAGGGAGGAGAGGACATCAAGGGTGAGGGACAGTGAGTAGATGGCAGGATCACTGGATTGGGAATCCCAGAGTGGGTGGAAGGATTGTTGGAATTGATGTACTACAGGGCAGACTCCAAGCCTGGAAAGCAGGCACATAGGCAATGAGTGGTTCACTGATATTACGTCACAGCATATGATAAAATGATAGTATAAGTATCCTCAGAGCCTGTGGCCTCCGTGCAAGGGGATGAGTGGAAAGATGGTCAGAGAATGGGAAGTGTGAGATAGAGAGTATGGAAGGGCTGGGGTTCTTGGCCATGATGAGACCTAGGACTCTTTAGGGGAGAACAACAACAAAGCAACAGGATCCTGGTGTCAGGGACAGACCATGGCCATGGCGGGATGATAGCAGCTCTCCTACAAAATAATGCTTATATGACAAGGGCATGAGATTCAGGCAGAGGGAGGAGAAGGTCATGGAGGAGAGGAGTCCCAGCATCTGAGAAGCCAGAGGGCGATGCATCCTCTCTGCTCTATGGGTGTTTATTGCTGCCATAAAAATTAACACAAAACAAGTGGCTTTAAACAGCATCTCTTTATCATGTCACAGTCATGTGTGTTACAACTTCAACAGTCTCATGGGGCTAAAATCAAGGTAAGGGGAGGTCTGTGTTCCTTCTGACTCTGAGGAAAAATCTACTGTCAAGCTCATTCAGGTTCTTGTCTGAATTCACTTCCTTGCAGATAGGACTGAGATCCCCACTTCCTTGCTGGCTCCTGTCCAGGGGCCACCCTTAGCTCCTAGAGCCCTCTCTCAGTTCCTCACACATATCCCATGCAACATATCCAATCCTCCTGCTTGGAACCTCTGACCTCCCCCTTCTGCGGTGTCTCCTCTGCCTTCCTCCTCTGCAGCATCTGACTCCAGCCAGAGCAGCTTCTCTGCTTTTAATGGCTTGTGAGATTTGATCGGGCCCACACAGATAGTCCAAAATAATCTTGCAATTTTAAGGTCCTTAATCTTCATCACATCAGTATTTTCCCTTTTGCCATGTAATGCAACCTACTCGTGGGTGCCCAGGATTGAGATTGGACGTCTTTGGGAACCATTACTCGGCCCATCACATCTGAGTATGTTGAAGTCACCGAGGATCAAGGAGACAGCACTGCTGGAGAGGGCGATAGTGAACCAGGAACTACAAGAGTCAGGACTGAGAGGAACGGCCTGGGGCCCACAGGGAATGGCTGCAATGAGGGGAGTGGGGCCTGAATCTGATGACAGCTTTGGGGGCTTAGGAAGGAAGGAGGCAGAAAGGTCTGAGAACCACAGTGAGGAGTGAGGATGCCACCCCACCTCTGGGCCAAGGGTACAAGGTCCCTGTGCAAACTCCCCCATGTGGGAGGACTTTGGAAGGGACCACATCCTCTGGCAGACACAGACATCGCTGGAGCTGTGAGGTCCAGGAACATCCTGAGACAGGATGTGGAGGTTTTGCTGATCATGGGCTGAGAATTCCAAGGGGCACAGCGGGAAGACTTCTGGATTTGGGAATGGGGTATGGGGAGACAAAATAGGGGTGTGCAGAGCCTTGTGGGGATGTGAATGCAGGGTGTTTGGGGGACCCAGTGTGACTGACACAAACAGGGAAAAGGCATGATGAGCTCAGTCCTGGTGGACTCAAGGCAGATGATGGTGCTGAGGCTGTGGGAGACGAGGGAGGAGGCTCAGGGGTGGCTTTCACCTGGGCTCTGTCCATGGAGGTGAGGACAGGGAGATAGTTGGGCCTCAGTGCTGTGTGGACCCTTTCTTGTCTCCCTGATGACTGGATGGAGGGCCTGGAGGAAGAGGGGTCTTAGAGGATTCACTCATGTCCCTGGGGGAGGGGGACTCACTCCAGGTCTCAGGTCTGCACTGACACATTTGTTTGTGGCTTGGGGCTGCCTGCTATAAACTATTGGGGGTTCGTCCATTTTGGAGTTATAACCTAAGGCAGAAACTCAGATGGTTCAAATGTCCTCTTCATGAAGCAATGTTATCAGCGTATCATTTAGATTGTCTTGCAAGAGTCTCATTTGTTGTTTTTCTAAATGCCTGCCAATATTGTTTGAAAATCTACAAATGTGATAAATGTATCTTCAAAGTTAACTGGTTGCAGGTTGTTTAACCTTATATGTACAGTTTCACATATGTATAAAAACAGTAGTTTGGGCCTCTTATATTCTAATGATTAAGACTTTAAGCTGTGTACACATTGCAATGCAAGTATGCGTCATGCATAACCCTAGCACTAAGAGTCAAGAGGGAAAGTACCTCTCCCCTAACATTTTACAAAGTTTCTGTGTTCTTTTTCCACTGAGTGGGAACAAGTCAGCTAGTGAGGAACATGAGGCCTTTGGCCTCATCTAAAGTTACTTTAGCTACCAATTGTGAGAAGCACTGACCACCGGGAAGGCCTCCCTGCCTGGTTCCTGGACCTCTATACCATGGCAGAGGCCATCTTCCCTCCTAGTGCAGAGTGATGTCCCAGGTAGTGACCTGGTTAGCCATTGTCCACTCTCGGGCAGTTTTGCCTTCTAAGACATTGGTTTTTCTCTGAGGACCTCCCTGTTTTCAGATGATCAAAACTGGGGCCATCCACTCCCTTCTGAACCACCTCTGCCCAGTGGCCTGTGGCTGTGCCCTCAGTCACAACAGGACACCCCTTCAGAACACGCTGCAGGAAGCCGACATCTCTACACAGGCTCACACATGCACAGTGTGTGCACGGAGCTTTGGTTCTAGTTCAGGAAGAATGGGAGGAGGCTCACTAGTCCAACAGAGCTTGAGCCCTGTACCAGTGTCATATTCCAGGAGCCAGAGTTACAAGGGATACAAAGTGCCCAGACCTACCAGAGAAGGCAAACCCCTACAGCATGCAGGGCTAGACAGGGGCAAGAAACAAGGTCATTCTGGGCCAGCAAGAAGAGGGAAAGGGAAATTACAGTCATACTTCAGATATATGCAGGTTTGGCTCCAGACCATGGCAACAAAGCAAGTCACACAAATTTTTCAGTTTCCCAGTGCATATAAAAGTTATATTTACACTTGACTGTAGTCTCTTAAGTGTACAATAGCATTATGTACAAAATGAACTATGTACATACCTTAATGTAAAACTACTTTATTGCTAAAAAATGCTAACAATCACCTGAGGCTTCAGCTAATCCTAACCTTCTTGCTGTGGAGGGTCTTGCCTCAATGTTAATAATTGCTGACTGATCAGAAGGGTGGTTGCTGAAATCGCTGTGGCAATTTCTTAAAATAACACAACGAAGTTTGCAGCAAGATTATTCTCCTCACTTGGACACTTAGAGGCCATTGTAGGGTTACTAATCGGCCTGCCTTCAATATTTTTGTGTCTCACAGAATAGGGAAGGCCGGGAGAGAGAGAGAGAGTCAAGAAACCAGCCAGTTGGTGGAGAAGTCACAACATACACAACATTTATCAATAAGGTTCACCATTTTATAAGGGTGTGGGTCATGGTGTCCCAAAACAGTTACGAGAGTAACTTCAAAGATCACTGACCACAGGTCACCATACAGGTGTAATAATGAACAAGGTTGAAATACTTCAAGAATTACCAAAATGTGACACAGAGACATGAAGTGAGCACATGCTGTTGGAAAAATGGTGCCAAATAGACCTGCTTGACACAGGGTTGCCACAAACATTCGGTCTATAAATAAAAAAGCAAGAAAAAAGAAAGAAAGATGGAAAGAAAGAAAAAGCAAAGGAAAAAATGCAGTGTCAGCAAACAGTAATAAAGGAAAGCACAGTGGAAGGTGCACCTGCAAAGGGGAAATCAGCACTGAAGCAAAGTCAGGAAAAGCTTTCAAGTCAGATGGGCCTGGACCTGGGCATGAACCCTCCAGGTCCTCCCACCAGCCAGCTGAAGAGGCCTGAGCACATCTGACCCAGAGCTGGCCCCGACAGACACTTGCCCAGTGAGTGAGTGCTGAATGAAACCATCTGAGCCAGTTTCCTCATCTGCAAACCAGTGACATAATTCCTGCCTTGCAGAGTTTCAGAAGAATAAGTGAGAAAAGACACAGTGCCAAGAGAAACAGACACAAGACCTGTGGCGGGCTGGACACCAGGGCTCTAAAGCAAGTTCTGCCTAAACTGGCAAGAACATTTTTCAGGTCAGGAACAGGAGTTGTTCTGGATTCTGTCTGGGGTCAGGCTGGGAGGGAGCTGGGGGTGGCAGAGTAGGATGGGGGCAAGGGCTGTGGCAGGGCCTGGCACTGAAGTGAGGCCAAAGCCTGGAGAGAGTGGCTCCTGGTGGCTTTTGGGCAGCTCACGCAACTCCCTGCCTCACCCACTGTGTGAGTCAGCGTTCTCTAGAGGAGCAGAACTAATAGGATGTATGTACATATGTAAGGGAGTTTATTAAGGAGAATTGACTCACACGATCACAAGGTGAAGTCCCACGACAGACCGTCTGCAAGTTGAGGTGCAAGAAAGCCAGTGATGGATCAGTCCAAGTCCCAAAACCTCAAAAGTAGGGAAGCTGACAGTGCAGCCTTCAGTCTGTGGCCAAAGGTGTTTGGCTGCAGATTCCAGGACAGGACCTTCTTGTCCTCTGCAGTGACCCCCCACCTCGCCTGACTATATCTGTCCAACTTGATGGTGCCACCGAGGGTTCTGATGCAGGGAAGGAGCTGTGTGCTCTGTGTGGGAGGATGCCTTCTGCCTTTCTAGCTGGGCCTCAGGTCAGGGCTTTGAGCCTGAGCAGGGAGAGGAGATGGAAGGGAGATGGCCTTGGAGCAAACGTCTGCCCCTGCCAGTGCATCCCGTAGGTATCATCCCATCCACCAGTGCCTTGGCAGGACCCCACTCACTCAACCCTCCCCCTGGTGGTAGTCCCTGGTGGTGCCTCCTCAGGACCTCCTGCCTCCAGCCGCACAAATCCCCAAGAATGGCACGTGGGTACAAGGGTGTTGGGAAGTGTCATCCTCCAGTGCTGACTTGAGTGTGTGTGTGTGGCTGCACACGTGTGTGCATGTGTGCACAAGTGGGAATTGGAGTGTGTGTACACGTGTGTAAGTGTGAGTGTGAGAGTGGAGCATGAATGTGCAGGTGCCCACAGGCAGCAGTTGGGGTGCCAGTGTCCTCACTCCTGCCTGCTTTCCTTTCTCTCCAAAACGTGACCACACAGCAACTTAGTGACTATCTAGATTTAAGTCTATCAAACAGAAGGGAAACACAACTAGGATTCCTGTAGTGTAGGGAAGGGAAATGCCTAGCCCAGCTCTCTGATTCCCCTTTTAATGGGTTTGAGCTGCAATATGGGTGCAGAAGAGCCTCCCACAGCGCCACTGGTGGTGGAGGAAATAGCCCCTCTCATTGGCCCATTTTCACGCTGCTGATAAAGACATACTGGGAAGAAAAAGAGGTTTAATTGGACTTACAATTCCACATGGCTGAGGAGGCCTCAGAATCATGGCGGCAGGTGAAAGGCACTTCTTACATGGCAGTGGCAAGAGAAAATGAGGAGGAAGCAAAAGCGGAAACCCCTGATAAACCCATTAGATCTCGTGAGACTATCACAAGAATACCATGGGAAAAACTGGCCCCAGTGATTCAGTTACCTCCCCCTGGGTCCCTCCCACAACATGTGGGAATTCTGGGAGATACCATTCAAGTTGAGATTCGAATGGGGACACAGCCAAACCGTATCACTGGATGAGAGCAATTAGATTGATGTCATGATGTATATGGGTCCATGGGAACTTGAAAAAGTCTTCCCCTTCCACCTAGTTTAACAAGATAAACAGGAAAGGAACTTCCCTTAAGGGAAGATATTGACTCTATCCCTGAAATTAAATCACAAGAAAATAAGAAATGCATGAGATCTAAACTAAGCCATTTGGGTAAACTGTCTCAGAATTTAAAGCATCAGCAGTCACAAGCTATCAGTATCAGTGACGATTCTTTCACTCCATGGTCTAGTCCAACGAGACTGGTCAGGGCTTGCCGCCTGCTCCTCGGTGCTGTCCTGGTACTTTGAAAGTATCTGTGATTCTGTGAACTGCACCGCCAGCTGCCCAACAACTTCCCTTTGCTGATCTGAGCCAGACTCTGCTTTTATGGCTTACACCCAAATAATTCAAGTTATTTTAAAAAAATAATAATAAATCAAGTTATTCATTTATGAGTTATACAGTCCCATGTGGGGAAAGGGAAGGAGAGTGAGGTAATACTCAATTTTACTACCTGCTATGCATTTATAAGTGAGATACTTCTTTTTAAAGTCATATTTTTGGATTAGAACAAACTCTGGTATATTTAAGTAAATTCCCTGAAGAATGTGAACACCGTAAGCAGGTGAGTGCATTATTCTCTGCTTCCCCTCCACAGAGCTGTGGTTCACTCTCCTCCATCCTGCCCCCTGCACTGGGGGCACCACAGAGACAGCACGGCCTGTGCTCCTGCACCACCTGCTTCTGCTTGGGTGTGGATGATAACAGGCACCTGCAGGAGATGGGAGCGTGGGGGGAGAAGTAACTCAGGGTTTTCACTTCCCTCACTCCCTTTGGACAGCTCTGCGGTTCTGTAATCATTGCCGTCCTCTACCTACAGCCACAGGCCTGCAGGGCTGCCCCTAGTGAAAGCTACAGATTTCCGTGAGTTCTGGAAACTGCTCCCTCTTCCTTGTTCTTTCAACTCAGAGATGGAAACAGTTTCCTGCCACTGATCATCCCAGGGAGCTTCAGCACCCCTTGTGGCTTTCTTAGGCCTGCCAGCACCTCTGTAATGTGTGTCTTCTTTCTTTGTCATCTCTTTCCTGCCAGGACCCTGACTGTCCCACAGAAGAAGTGACAAGAATTTATTTATGACATGACAATAACACATGTATTCATGGTGTTAATTCGATTTGTTTCATAGAGACAGGGTCTTGCTATGTTGCCCAGGCTGGTCTTCCACTCCTGGCCTCAAGCAATCCCCCTGACTTGGACTTCCAAAGTGCTAGCATTACAGGTGTGAGCCATTGTGCCCAGCCCTTAACTTGAAAATCTGACAGTATAATAAAAGAAAAAAATAGAAGTATTCTGGAAATGGAAGAGGAAAGAAGGCTAAGGTGGAAATCATCAATCTGTGTCATCTGAGAAGCCCCACGTGCAGAGGCTGTCCCGGGACTTTAGGGGAGAACAAAAACAAAGCACCCAGGATCCTGGTGTCAGGGACAGAGCATGGCCACGGCGGGATGGTAGTGGCTCTCCTATGAAATAATGCTCATAAACATCCCTTGTGAGAAGGATCAGATCAACATATAAAAATATGCCAAATAAAGTGAAACTCAAGGCAGGAGTGGGACTGGCCATTCTCAGCCCGTGACCTCCATGGACTTGGAGAAAGGCTCAGCCTGGAGATGTGTGAGGCCTCCGACCTGGAGCAGCACCCGCCCCTAAAGACCAGGCACAAATCCCAGCACATGGAGGGATCCAGACAAATACACAAGAGATGACCACAGCAGGAGCTTTACTGGGCACAGAGCGAGGCCACACACCACTCAGCTCCTGCCCCTCCACCTGCCCTTCTCTCCCCACCTGCCCCTGCCCCAGCACAGCAGATCCTCAGAATCCAAAAAGAGAACCTAACTTCCATGTTTTATTAATGGCTTATAATATTTTATCACATCTTCAGAAAACACTATGCAGAAGATAACTGTAGAGCAAGACATCTATTTAGGGTGAGTGAGTCACAGTGGAGATCTGGGAGGGAGACCCTGTAACCCTTTCATTCCAAGAAAAGAAAGGTCGATCCAAAGAAGGGGACCCCAGGCCTGGATATTGGGATTACATGAAAGGGGTTCTGGGGCATCAGGGGAATGGGTCCCTCTCCCTACATCCTCCCGGGGCTGTGCTTGGGAGGACAGCAGCTGGGGGAAGAAAAGTCAGGGTCCACAGAGATATAAGGGGGCTGAGAACTATCTGTGTCTTGCTGGTCTGCACAAGGCAGCTCTCAAACTGTGGAGAACATGGTAATGACCAGATTCAGCTCAGCCACTCTCAGCCTTTACACCTAGAGCATTATGGGCAGCCCATCACCATCCCCTACCTTCAAATCCAAAGATCGCTACAGCCCAAAGCTGCTCCCTGGCCTCAACTCCTGTTGGTATCAGGCCCCAAGGAAGCTGTGAGCACGTCTGCCTGGGACCCTGTCACCATCTGGAGAATGACAATAAAGAGGACCCAGCAGCCTGCAGGAGGAGACTGTATTTGAGGCAGGACCATGGGATGGGTGAGGCACAGGACTGTGGCTCCATCCTCTCTATTTGAGGAGTTAGAGATGAGCTGCCTCTGCCACCCCTTCCATGGTGATATTTCTAGAGTACACCCCTGTGCTGAAATTCTTATGAGGAAAGAGACCTGATGAGATGCTATGGTGAAGAGGGGCCATAAGGGTCTTGAATACCAAGTTAATTTTGCTACCAGCTGAGATTAGGAAGTGAAGCCCAGGACCCAGGAGAGGAGGAGGAGGAGATAACACAGGACCCTGTGATCACTCTCCTGGCCATCTGTGTACAGTGAGATGCTTCCCTTCGGGGTTGGGAGCACCCAGTGTCATGGTCCTGAGTGTTGCTACCCTGCTGTTCTCATCTGTGAATGCAGCCAGACCACTTTCTTCCTCTGATATAAATAACTTGGAGGATCTGTCACCAGACACCTCATATCTACATATTAATAAATTCTGTACAGTGGTTTGGCTTAATGTTTTATATGTTATAAGAAATAAGCAAAACATAGGGATGATATTTTTAGTAAAGGTATTTCAGGGTATATGAGAATCAGATTCCTAGGGCCCTGGGTACCTCATCTTGCTGTTTAAAGTCCTCATGGAGGATCAGTGGAGTGCAGAGCCCAGAAATCATCCTGAAGGCTGAAGCTCCCTGGTGAAAAGGACCCTCTCCTGCACCCTGGGGCTCAGAGGGAACAACAAAGCTCCCTCCCAGGGTCTCCAGCCTCTGGCCTATACTGTCAGCCTGCACTTTCTTGGCCTTCCTGGCTGCTAATATTCCAGTTCCCAGCAGCCTCCTCTCTCACCCTTCACCTCTTCTGACTGGGTGCGAATGGTAACTAGACCAGGCAGTGCCCTCCTTGTCAGTCTGCCTGTCTGCCTGGTTCCCTCTCAGAGTTTGTGTCTTCACTCGGTTCATCATCCCCAGCCCCAGCAGGAACAGGGAGAAGTGACTTGGCAAATGCCCCACTCAAAATGGGATCCCTCAACCAGAGACCACTTGTGAAAGTCAGTTTTCCCTGACTAAAGAAACAGGACATTTACCCTGTTAGAAGTTGATGTCTGCCAGAGACCTCCACCTGGGAAATGCTGGTTCATGGCAGGGTCTCTCTTTTAGTAAAGGGAAAAATTCCTGGCTAATTGATAGCTAATAAGTCATTTAGAATCCAGTTCATGTAAAAGGATTACCTACTTAAAGGATTAACTCCATTATAATAAGGACACACATCCCACACCGCACATCCAATGTCATTTGTGAGATTGCTTTGATTCGCTCATGTAGAATGTTACTCTGCTGCTTTGCAGAGAGGCTTGCCACACATTTCAAATCTCTGCTCCTCATTTCACACCATCTGGCTCATGAGGTGAAGGTGATGAGAAGTGTCTTCAGACAATACTCCGAGGTTTGTCTATCAGAGTCATAGTCATATATTACATATAGAGATTATTTTCTTAGAAGTTGTAATTTATTGATATGTATTTTACTCATGGCATAGATAGATACTATCCAACAATTCGTTTTTATTACCTCTACATTACACTGCTTAGGTAGCCACTACTGGTACCTCTGCATTTTCTTTCTTGTATGTGACATTAACGTATAAGATTGTATGTACATGGTGGCTTGGTTTCCAGGAATTGCTGATTAGGTAATTTAGACCATTCCTTCCACTGAGTACAATGGGAAAAGGAGGAAAACATACATATTTGAAAAATCTGGTTGAGCAAATGGATGGGCTAACAAAGCAGTGAAGATTTGCCTGGCCAGGAACCAGGAGAGGGGAGAAATCCAGAAGAGCAACTTGAGCTGTGGGGCTGCTTTTGTGGATCAGAGGCAGTAACACCTGCTCCCTGGCCAGAAGCCAACTTCCAGGATTCAGGACTCAGAATTCAGAACTTAGACAGTCCCTTGGTCTCTCTAGAATTCAGTGCTCATTTAGACCGGGCTAAGACCCTCACACTCAATGGCTGGAGGATCCAAGCTTATGGCATGACTGCCTCTGGAGCATTTCATGCTAGAGAGATCCCAACAGGTGTAGGTAAATGGTCTAGAGGGTACTAGCCAGGCTTCCATGGAACTCTGTGTAAGGCACTTCCCTGTGTTGTTACTCATGTTGGCCATGTCCTCGGGAATTTAGTGGAACGGCCATGTCGTCTTGAGTGGAAGTGAGGACGGTGAGGGGGTCCCTGGGCAGTCAGAGATTTTGTGTCCCTGCGTCCTTTCCTTCCATCTCAACCAGAGACCACTTGTGAAAGCCCAAGAACAAATGTCATTAAATGTCCGAGGCGAATCCAAGACCACCGATCCATTGCGCCCAGGAGCCTTGGGCCATGTAGCCCAGCAGTAGTGAGGTCTGTGAGGCCTTGGTCACCCCCAAAGTGTTGCCCCAAGAGGAGCTGCCGCTCGTTGCCATCAGGCACCTCAGGAGCTGGACATGGTATTCATTATAATTTCTGATGAGGAACTAGAGAGGTCTCATAGCATATAGACCTTGATCAAATTGGGTCATGGTGGAGTCAGGCAAAACTCTGCAATGACTCACAGGTACCTAAGTATAAAACAAAGTCTCAACTCAGAGCATCCATCAGAGCTTCAGGCTCAGTAGTCATTCCTTTATGCTGTTGCTGTGTTTGTACTGTGATAACTGGTGCTTGAAGGGAGGACATATAGTTACATGTTGCGGGAAAACACATGTCATTAGAAAACTTGGCATGATTTAGGGACCATTGCCTTTTCCATGGTAGATGTGGGACTCTCTGTCATCTTCACCTTGTTGTTCCAAGTGCAGAAGAGAAAGCTTCTTCCTGCTTTCAGCTGCGTGACTGACAAGGGAAGCTGGAATTCAGAGAATCAGTGGCAGCCTCTGTCTCTCCAGGCCCCAACCCTGCAGGTTTAAGGAATGGACTTAGGTCTCTGGCACTTTGTTCTCAACACACATTTTCCTTCACTCATTCAGAAAAAAAAAAATAATAATAGAAAATGAACCAAAGGCTGCAATTCTCATGGCACCTAGAGAACTGGAGTACGGACCAAGGTTGCCACATGCCTGTCATTGCTCCACCACACTCGGTTGCCATGTGACCTCGGGAGAAGCTCTCTACCACTAGGGACTTTTAAACTCATCTGTGAATCCTGGATAAACACAGACATTCCGGTAACCTTACTGAAATGAAGTGAGGACCAATGAGTTGACAGGTGGAGAAAAATTTTTTTTTTTTTTTTTTTTGAGACGGAGTCTTGCTCTGTCACCCAGGCTGGAGTGCAGTGGAGCGATTTCGGCTCACTGAAAGCTCCACCTCCTGGGTTCATGCCATTCTCCTGCCTCAGCCTACCGAGTAGCTGGGACTACAGGCGCTCACCACCACACTCGGCTAATTTTTTGTATTTTTAGTGGAGACGGGGTTTCACCATGTTAGCCAGGATGGTCTCGATCTCCTGACCTCGTGATCCGCCCGCCTTGGCCTCCCAAAGTGCTGGGATTACAAGCGTGAGCCTCCGCGCCCGGCCGCAGAAACAGAAAAATTTAAGTGATGGCCTTTACTCCTAGACAGGGCTTTTTTAGGAACATGCACCTTAAAAGTAGGAGGAAAACATAATGCCAGCAACACCCTGCCTAAAAGCCCCTTTAGTGATGATAATTATCATTCATCTTTCTATAAAAGTACAGCAAGACTTTCTACCTCAATATCTCAAATCAGTTAAATATATCTTCTGATCATATACCAGTGTGGACCCACATGTTTTGCTCCAAGTGAAAATGAAAAGGAATGAGAACATCTCCACCTTTGTGTGGTGACCATGGGACCACGGAGGCTTGGAAGCCAGCCTACATCTGCCCAAACTCTACATCACCTGCCATTGTCAATTTTCAATCTATCCGTTCTATGCTTTGGAATCCTACATAATTCATACTCTTGAAAAATCTCATTTTCATATGTAGGGCAGGGTAGAAAAGGTGATATCTCTGTTTTAATTTGCTAAGACTTCCATAATAAAGTGGCACAGACTGGGTAAGTTAAACAGTAGAAATGTATTATCTCCCAGTTCTGGAGGCTACAGGTCCACGATGGAATGTATTGCAGGGCTGATTGCTCCTGAGGCCTGTCTCTGGCTTACAGATGGCCATCTTCTCCCTCTATCTTGTCAACATTGGCCTCAAAATATGTGTACAGGGACACAGTTTAGCCCATAAGAGTCTGCGCCATCCTTGGCGGTGCATATTATAAGAAATAAAAGAGAATACAACCCTTTGGCTGGACTCTGTTGATATTTTGAAATGTTGGTCTTGCAATAAGAACACCACCAAAGGCCAGGCGCAGTGGCTCACGCCTGTAATCCCAGCACTTTAGGAGGCCGAGGCGGGCGGATCACGAGGTCAGGAGATCGAGACTACCCTGGCTAACACGGTGAAACCCCTTCTCTACTAAAAATACAAAAAGAAAAATTAGCCGGGCGTGGTGGTGGATGCCTGTAGTCCCAGCTGCTCGGGAGGCTGAGGCGGGAGAATGGTGTGAACCCAGGAGGCAGAGCTTGCAGTGAGCCAAGATCTCGCCACTGCACTCCAGCCTGGGCGACAGACCAAGACTCCATCTCAAAAAAAAAAAAAAAAAAAGAACACTACCAAAACAAGGGAGCCGAAGTTTAGTTTTCCCTGGAAGGTGAGCACTCCCTGAGCCTGGCCGCCCCAGGGCAGCAAGACCCAGTGCTATGTAGTTCTCCAAAGTCCTATTTACTTTAGTGATTCTGATTCTGTATTTTTAACTGGGAAAAGGATTCTCTTTCAGGAAAGCAACCACTTCTGATGCTATTTAGGTATTATTCTCCTTATACTTATAGGAGAAAAAATTGATGTTAATGAACAGGAAATATTTGCCAAATTATCACACAAATAATTTTTGTATCATTTTAAAATACTCCTTATTGTACTGAGCTTGTTGGTATTTTAATAAAAATTATTGGCATATAATATTTATACATACTTTGGGGTACACATAATATTTTCATGCATGTGTAGAATGTGAAATGATCGAGTCAGGATATTTAGGATACTCATCACCTCAAGCATTTATCAGTTATTTGTGTTGGGTGAATTTCAAATCCACTCTTATAGCTATTGTGAAATACACAATACATTGTTGTTAACTACAGCCAGCCTGCTGTGCTATCGAATATTAGAATTTATTCCTCCTATTTAACTGTATCTTTGTACCCATTAAGCTACCTCATTTTATCTCCCAGATCCCCCACACACCCTTCCCAGCTTCTGGTAACTATTATTCTACTCTCCACCTCCATAAGATCAACTTTTTTTCAGTTCTCACATGTGAGTGAGAACATGTGATATTTGTCTTTCTTTGCCTGGTCTATTTCACTTAACATACTGACCTCCAGTTCCATCCATGTTGCTGCTAGTTATTATGAGGTAGTTCTAGCTGGAAGAATAGAGAATTAAAAGAAATCTTTGTGAAGCCCCTACCCAGGTTTGTCAATTTGTAACATTTTAATATTATTGGCTATATGTAGTATACATAGAAAATAATAGAAATATATGCAGATAGCCCTGATTCTCCACAGTTCTGTTATGTATGTGTTTCCGCTGAAACACATACAGTACAGTACTCTATGTACTGTACAGTACTACTGTACTGAGTACTGGACTGCCAGTGGGGAGTGGCGGATGTCTTGAATTTGGTGAATGCCTTTATATTGCTACAAAGTGTTTTTTTTTTTTGGTTGTTTGTTTTGAGACGGAGTCTCGCTCTGTCGTCCAGGCTGGAGTGCAGTGGCGGGATCTCGGCTCACTGCAAGCTCCGCCTCCCGGGTTCACGCCATTCTCCTGCCTCAGCCTCCCAAGTAGCTGGGACTACAGGAGCCCACCACCACGACCGGCTAATTTTTTTGTATTTTTAGTACAGACGGGGTTTCACTGTGTTAGCCAGGGTGGTCTCGGTCTCCTGACCTTGTGATCCGCCCGCCTCAGCCTCCCAATGTGCTGGCGTGAGCCACCGCGCCCGGCCTACAAAGTTTTTTAAATCCTTTCGTTTGACATGATTTTAGACTTTGTAAAAATTGTTTTTTGTTGAATGTATCATTCTGTGGCTTGCTTTATCGTTTAATATGGTCTATGAGGTGAACCCACACACCCATAGAAACAGTTCATTTGTTTTCAGTGCTGGATAGCATTTATGAGACGAATATCCCACAATTTATCTCTTCTCCTGTCCGCGACCTTTAGCTTGTTTCTGTTACAGACACTGCCACAATGAACATCCTGGGTCATCTCTCTCTGGTCCCCTGTGTGAGTTCCCCAAGATACGGATGTAGGAATGGGATTACTGTGCTTTTACCATGTGATGTTATAGGATGTCAAATTGTTCTCTGAAGAGGTTGTATCAACTCCCCCCTTTAAAATCTTCTTTGACATTTTACAGGTCAAGTTATCTTCCTCCCCAACTAGCTGCTCAGCCTCAGTCCCCCTTCATTGGCTCCTTTTGCTGTAGATGCTGGAGCACTGTGGGGTTTTACTGCCTCCCAATCACTCTAGTGTCCTCCACTCCCAGGATTTTAAATATCGTCTAGACACAGATGGCTCCCAAATGTATATCTCTACATATTTCTATAATCAAAAAACTAATGGTACCAAAACAGGTACTCTGATATATTGCAGATGGGCCTGCAAACTGGAAATGTTTTCAGGAAAGGCAGTATGGCAATTTCTGTCTAAATTAAAAATGCATACACCCAGTAGTCCCACTTCTAGAAATGTGTCCAAAAATAGACCTGCATTCCTGAAAAATGACTGTATTCAGAATTATATGATGCAACCCTGTTTGTAAAATCAAAAAGGAAAGAAGAAAGAAAATGAAAGATAAAAGAAAAAATAATCCAAATGTCTGTCACTAGCGGACTAGTTAAAAAAGCATTGCAAGCTGGGCACAGTAGCATTCACCTGTGAATACACTCTACTCCACTCTGGGTAACATGAGGAGGCCTCCCTACCTTCCTAAGAAAACCCAAACAAGCACTGCATATCTACACGGCTGAGTCTACAAACATTTAACACAAAAGAAGAAAGACATAGGAAACTCTTGATATTCCCTCATGGGATGGTCTCCATGATACATTGTTAAGAAGAAATAAAGCAAGGTGTAGAATAACATATAGAGTCTGCTAAAATTTGTGTGAAAAGGGACAAAGAGATATATATACACATTTATATTTGCTTGCATATGCATAAAATATATTTGGAAGAATAAGCAAGAAGATATCCCTGGTTGCCTGTTGGGGATGAGACAAGGTAAGAAAGAGACATTTTACCTTTTGAATATTTTGAATTTTGAATTTTGAACTATATCAAGAAATAAAAGATAATTCCTAGGGCAACCAAACAAACCCCAAAAAAATTCAAAATGAAAAACCTTTTAAAAACTAATAGAATTTTTTTACCTTTATTAAAATAAATTTTAAAAATTTTCTAAATATTATATTATTCCTTTAACAAGGAGGTTTACTGCCATTTTAATTCAGTACGTTGTTTTCTTTTTAATCGCATGATCTTTCTTTACATCTATCTTTTTTCCATTACAAGGTAAAATAACAGCATGATTAATTAAATGCAATTTGTTTGGTGAAGGAAATTTTGTTCAAATCTTGGTCTAAGTGGGAAAGGGATTCTAGGGGATCCAGTGCAGCAGTTATGGGTTTCAGTATGCTCACGACGCCCTCCAGTGTTTGTGTGGGCTCATGGATGCCATATCTAGAAAACACTGGAATTCTCAAGCACACGTGACTGAAGCCATTTGCCAAATGTTCAAGGTCCTATTAATGGCCCATCTGAGTACTTGTCATACGCGGTCACCCTATCTTTGGATCAGAAGGTACACTCAGAGCTCCTAGTGTCACATCCCAGGCCCAACCTGCTGAGATTAGTCGAGGAAGGTCTGGAGGTCAGTGTCGTGAGGGGTGGGAAGACTGAGGGTGTGGGGGCCAGTTGTGGAGTGGCGGGAGCCCCAGGTGCTGTATGAAGCCGAGCCTCTGGATCACCCTGTGACCCCACATTTGGTCCCTTCCTGGGTGTCTTCCATTCCCAGGACTCCCAGGAAATAAAATGCTGCAAGATTGGGGTGGGGAGCTGTCCAGGGTAGGTCAGGTGTGTTCTCACTGATCCCACACCTCTGCCTCCCAGCCCACTCCCAGCCCTCTTCTGATATTAGAAACCAACACAGATTGCCTTAGGGTGGTGGTTCTCAAAGTGTGGTCCTGGGGGAAGCAGCATTGGCATCACCTGGGAACTTAGATATGCAATCTTCAGGGCCTGGCCTGGACCTACTGTATCAGAAACTCTGCATTTAACAAGCCCCCAGCAGAATTCTGCTTTTCAAATCAGATCTCTCTCTCTCTCTCTCTCTCTCTCTCTCTGTTTCAAGTCTCAATATTGAGTAGCTGTGACTTCTGGATAGTCAGGTGTCAGACACCCTTTCTTGCCAGGAGGCACCAGGCTCCTCAATCAGCTTAGTCTCATTCTTGGCCTGGCCCAGGGAAAGATGTTCACTTCCTGGATTCTGAGCAAAGCTCTCCTATCCTGGGTGCCTGTGGGGCTCCCACTTACACCACAAAACAAAGCTCAAATAATATTTTTTTCTTTTATGAGATTTTTGGTATTCCTTCATTAGTCAGAGCTGAAGATCTACATATATGTCTACCAAGCAAGTGTGCATGTCCCACTAGCCAGTTTGTTAGTCTTGCCAATGCACCACAACGTAGCAGCCTCTCAGTCTCTCCTTGTGAGGTGTTACCTGGAGTTCTTTGTCTCACCACCAAGAGAATTAAGGAGCGTGGATACAAAGGGTGAGGTTGGAGCAAAAGTTTAATAAGCAAAAGAAGAAAGCTCTCCCCTGCAGAGAGGGGACTTGGAAGATGGTTGCCATTTTTACAGCTGAATGCAAAGGCTTTTACAAGAAACTGATGAGGGCTGGGTGTCTCATTTGCATAAGGCACGAATTTCCGGTAGCTCCACCCCATCCTCCTAGTGCCCATGCAGGCCCTTAGCTTGAGTTACTCCATATTGCTTTGTTTCCCTGACTGCCCACGTATCGGGGGACAGAATTTTCCATTGCGGGCATGTCTGGGCAAGTCTCCTGTGCAGCCTTTCTTATTTGTGCAGCTGTGGGCATGTCTTAGGCAAGCCCCCCTGTGCAAGTTCCCTTCTCTGTGCCTGCAGGCCGTTCTTTTGTTTGAAATAATTCAACTGAGGACCCACCATAACTGCCCGCCTGACCAGTTTCTTCCTTTTTTCTCTCTCAATTTGTGTTATGATTTCCTTACTGATCTCTGCCTGAGCAAGACTGGGCACGCCTTGAGGGCAAGGAGGGTTTATTTGCTCTTACCTCAGTTCCAGCTCCTCTTAAAACAATGCCCCACGCACAGTAGGTATTTGATAAATGTTTACCAAATGAAGGGATTGCCTGGAATGGCTTGGCAGACAGGAAAGCAGAATGAAAACCCACAGGCCAAAAATGGCTGGGAAAAGATTTTCCAAATCCTAGTGCTGGGCACAGGGCCCACTGAAATTCACTTTCGGAAACTTCCCATCTGTCTCGTTCTCCTCTCATCAGGATAGAGCCCACCTAGTCACACACTACCTTTCAGGACCACCTTCCAGATCAGCCAGGTACAAATCCCACAGACTTCCTGCCTGTGGCTCCAAATGCTCAGCTGAAATTCTGAGGCTAATTTCAGTGGAGTTAGAGGCTTATCCCTTAGGAGTGGCAATGGCTGGCTTTAAGATTCGAGAAGTAGTGTTTACATCTCAAAAGAGAAGACCGCTCCACCAGAAATGCAGAGTTTTTGTATGTGCGGGTCCGGGGTCTTCAGGAGATAAAGAATGATAGCTCCAGGAGCGCTGGGACCCCCGTGCAGCCACCAGTCACCACAGCCTAGGCAGGGGTTGGGCTCTCACCTCGGCCCCTCCTCTGCACGTCCTGGATGTGGATGGTCCCCGAGTGTGAACTAGCCTGGGCTCTGACCCTGGGTGCTCTTCCCGCCGTTGTGGAGCCTCTGCGGGTGTGGTGCATGCACAGGGGGCTTCACAGGAGACCCGGGGCCCTTTAGAGTCTCAAGGCCAACATTCTTGGAGAATCCATGTCAAGCATTCAGGCTCTCAGGGACTCAGATGCCCAAACTATGAAAATGAGGGAATCTATCCCACTCTCTCAGGTGTGGTGAGATTCCTATTATATGACTATCGGTCATCTATACATGGATTGTACTCTCAGAGTTGCCTTTATCAGTCGGCCAATGCCTAAAACCCAAAGATAGGTCAGGCATGGTGGAGGACGAGTTCCTTTCTTACCTTCTGAAGGTGCCATCAACAGGAATTTCTACCCTGTGGAGTCTAGAGGAGACTTTCCTTGAAGCTGAGTTGGGAATGGACATTTGGACTTTTTTTTTTAAGAGTTAGTAACTCCGTGGAGAACCACACATTTATTTGCTTACTTTAATTCTACAGCAACATTCGAGGTGGCTTACTGCAACAAACCCAGTGTAATAAATACATACGAATTACTTTAAAATAACACCAAGGAAAATATACATTTTAAAAGATTAAGGCTGGGGTAAAGCTGGAACATTACTAGGCGGGAAGGAACATCTGAAACATTTGCTGAAATGGAGTTGACCCTTTACCTGGCCATAGATTTGTTGCCTCACGATTTCATTACATCTGAGCACCAGGGAGGGGGGTGGCAGTTCAGGTCACCAGTCCCTTGTTTCCTGCTTCAGGAACAGTGTCCTGTTCTACACTTACAGTCAAAGCAAATTACATCGTTGTAAGATGTTTAATGATGAAGTCAAAGTCCACAGAGTCAGCAAGTAAGTGTAAAAACCTCAGGAGTCCAAGGACAGTCTACGTTTCTCCCCAGAAATGGCCTCACTATGCACTGTTGAAGGGAGAGGGTCCTTTCAAGGGGCCCCAAGATGCAGGAGCAATTGGGCTGCAGCTCTAAATAAAGATGTCCTTTCTACCTGCAGATTCCACAAAACCTCACAGGCAAATTTGGTGATCTCACCTGAGCTAGGAATTCGGTTTTTTGATGTTGGTTCTCTTTGAGCCATTGTGTGAGCTTTAAAATGTGATGTGGAGATTTTGCTATACTGGTATTTCCTTGCTGGAATTTGACATCCACAGTGGCTCTGGCTTCCCTGTCTGGTCCCAGGAGGAAATGGAGTGTCCTGCACTTTTTTTCAGCATCGCTTTGTGTAAGAAGGATCAGGAGACCTGGAGTCAGGGGCTCCTCCAATCTCACTCTCCTTCATAAAACAGTGTCCCTTAAGCTTTCTGGGGGTGAGGGCCTTAACACCGTGCTGTTCTGATGAATATAATTGTCCCAGCTCCCGAAACAAAAGCACAGGTGCACAAAATACCGACTGTTGCAAGCAATGCCAAGGTGGGGATGTTTCCTAGGTGCCAGGTTTAGCACTTTGACTTTGTATATACACACACAGGGGCCAGGCGTTGTGGTTTATGCCCGTAATCTCAGCACTTTGGGAGGCTGAGGCATGAGAATTGCTTGAAGCCAGAAGTTCAAGACCAGCATGGGTAACAAAGCAAGACCCAGTCTCTACCAAAAAAAAAAAGAAAAGAAAAGAAAAGAAAAAAATACACACACACACACACACACACACACACATACTGGGTGTGGTGGCTCCAGTCTGTAGTCCCAGCTACTCGAGAAGCTGAGGTGGGAGGATTGCCTGAATCCAGGAGTTGGAGCCTGCAATGAGCTGTGATCGGGACACTGCTCTAGCTTGACCATCAGAGTGAGACCCTGTCTCAAAAACAAACAAACAAAACAAAACAAAATACATACACACACACAGCCAGAGCCAGCACTGAGGGAGAGGCTGGCCTCAGGGGTGGGGTCACAGGCATTTCTCAGGTCCCTCTCAGTGGTCTTTGTCTCTTTTTCCTGGAGGTGGAGGAGTCTGTACTTCATGAGGAGAAGTCCTCTGAAGAAGGCGGGAGATACTCAGGAGCGGGGTCCGGAGAGGGAAAAGGATGAGGAAGTGGAGACAAAGTGGAGGGGGCAGGGCAAGAAGGGCACATGTGAGGAATGGGGAGGGGGAGGACCTTCCAGCTGTCAGAAAGGTCCCACGCAGAATTTGGCTCTTGGTTTTTCTGCTTTATCAGGATGGATTTGGGAAACCAGCCGGAGCGGGAGATAAGGAGTCTACTTTGCAAAGGACACGTGTGAGTCTCGTCCTAATTTGAACTCATGAGTAGCAGCTGACAGCCAGGACCCTTGCGTGGGGCGCGTGACGCCCCTTTGCAACCAGGGCGTTTTCTGCACCCCACCAGCCATCCCTCCTGGGACCACGCTGGTCCTCTCCAACCCTAACAGGGAGAGAAGGAAGGAGAGGTCTGGAGGCTTTGGGTCCTCCCTCGTGCTCCTTCTTCCTCTGCCATTTATTCCCTGAGTGTCCTTGACTTTCCTCCGCTACCCGGACCCCACTACAGCAAAGCACATCCTGCACACTGGCCTGGACTCCCTTTGTAACCACCCAGTGTGTTCACCTTGCTGACTGCCTAGACAAAGCCGATTTATCAAGGCAGGGGAATTACAATAGAGAAAGAGTAATTCATGCAGAGCCGGCCGTGCGGGAGACCAGAGTTTTATTACTCAAATCAGTCTCCCCGAAAACTCTGATCAGTTTTTAAGGATAATTTGGTGGATGGGGGGGGCCAGTGAATCAGGAGTGCTGATTGGTTGGCTCCGGTATGAAATCATAGTGAGTGGAGGCTGTTCTCTTAGGCTGAGTCAGTTCCTGAGTGGGGGGCCACAGGACTGGTTGGCAGGTCCAGATGGGGTCCTCCAGTTGTTAGAAATGCAAAAACCTGGCCTGGCGTGGTGGCTCACGCCTGTAATCCCAGCACTTTGGGAGCCCGAGGCGGGCGGATCACGAGGTCAGGAGATCGAGACCATCCTTGCTAACACGGTGAAACCCGGTCTCTACTAAAAATACAAAAAATTAGCCGGGTGTGGTGGCGGGAGCCTGTAGTCCCAGCTACTCAGTAGGCTGAGGAAGGAGAATGGCGTGAACCCGGGAGGCGGAGCTTGCAGTGAACCGAGATCGCGCCACTGCACTCCAGCCTGGGCGACAGAGCGAGACTCCGTCAAAAAAAAAAAAAAAAAAAAAAGCAAGAAAAGAAAGAAAGAAAAAGAAAAAAGAAATGCAAAATACATCTCAAAAGGCCGCTCTGAGGTTCACAATAGTGATGTTACCTTCAAGAGTAACTGGGGAAGTTGCAAATCTTATGACCTCCGGAATAATGGCTGGTAATATTCAGAATTCCAGCCCCTCTCATCCTAACTTAATGGCTGGCGGCCTTTCATTCGTTTTAAAAGAACACTTTCCCTTTAAACTATAAATTCCTTCCCAAGGCTAGTTCGGCCTATGCCCAGAAATGAACAAGGGCAGGTTAGCGGTTAGAAGCAAGATAGGGTGAGTTAGGTTTGATATCTTTCACTGTCATCATTTCCTTACTTATAATTTTGCAAAGGCGGTTTCACCTTGGCTTCAGCCCCACCCATGCAGTAACACTGTGCCCTGTCCTTCCAACCACTGCCACTAGGTGAAAGCAGAGAGAGCATCGCCCAGATGGGCTAGATTCTTCTCACAGGCTCACTGCTAGAACGAACATTCTTGAGACTTTAGATCTAAGCCAGCCTGATTTCTGAAAGCCTTGGACCGTTTCCAAAATCAAATCAATACTCCAGGAACAAGATCTGCCTCGACTTTGTCTCCATCCAAGGACGCTATGGCAACGCAGTTTTCAAACGTGCTTTGAGAATAAATGGAACAGGGTCCCCTGTGTCCCCACTCATTTGCGTTTTCCTTTTTATTACAGCCAACCCCTTTTGTAAATATTGTTACACATCTCTCTATTCCACTGAAAACATCTCTTTCAAAGGCACTTTAAGAAAGATTCAATGACATGAAAATATGAAGGATCCTCTTGAAAGAGTTTCTGGTGGTGGGTTTTAAAGAACATTTTGGTTTTTAAAACTCTGTAACCATTTTGGTGTGGGGCTTAGCTTCGTATTTTCAAATTGAAATATTCTCTTCCTTAACGTCCGCATAAATCCAAGTTCACAATTTTTATTATTTTAAAATTTTATTTATTTTTGTTTTGGGGACAGGTTCTCCTCCTGTCACCCAGGCTGGATTGCAATGGCACAATCATAGCTCACTGCAGCCTGGAACTCCCCGGCTCAAGCGATCCTCCTGCCTCCAATTCCCAAAGAGCTGAGATTATAGGCATGAACCACTGCAACTCACCCAAATCCAAGTTTATACTAAAAGATAAAATTCCAACATTTCAGAGAAAATGAAAGTCACAAAGTTATCCCAGTCTCTGAAGTCACTGTCAAAACTTTGGTGAGGAATCTTCCAGGTTTTCCCCTACTTAAAATATATATTAATATTATGTAAGTAATATTAGCGGCATTTTCACCCAGGCTGGAGTGCAGTGGCACGATCTCAGCTCACTGCAACCTCCACCTCCCGGGTTCAAGCAATCCTCCTGCCTCAGCCTCCCGAGTAGCTGGGACTACAGGCGCCGGCCACCATGCCTGGCTAATTTTTGTATTTTCAGTGGAGACAGGGTTTCACCATATTGACCAGGCTGATCTCCAACTCCTGACCTCAGGTGATCTGCCCACCTTGGCCTTCCAAAGTTCTGGGATTACAGGCGTGAGCCACTGGGCCCAGCCTCCTTAACCTTTTAAAAAAGGTTAAAAGTATGCTGGGCACTTCTTTTCATAGCAATACTTAAAAGCAATCTTACTCTTTTTAATGACTGTATAGAATTTTATAATATAACTCTTCTTTGGGAGACAATTGAAATGTTCTTTATCTTCACTGTGGTAGTGGAGATGTGGGTGTGTACAACAGCTAAAATTCAACAAGTTGAACACTTTAAATAGATGCAGTTTATTGCATGCAAAGTATGTCCCAATATGATGATTTAAAAATATTATCGTCTTTGAGATTTGTACTTTGCTTATGTGAAACAAAACAAAACAAAAACCCTGTTCTTGTGCCCAGGAGACACACCCTGACACATCTGGAGGTAGAGGGTCATGCTGTCTGCAACTTACCCTCACAGGCTCTGAAATAACAATAATAGCAGTATATTTACAGATTCAGAAAGAGAGAAAGCTATAGTAAAAATGTTCATAAGTAAAACTAGATAAAGGGCAAAAATAAATAATAAAACTACGTCTTTTAAATTTTATCTCTCCTTTATTTTTTCTCTCCCCTTTTCTTCCTATCTCTTCCCTCCTTTCTTAACACGTCCCCCTATCCTTCCCTCCTTTCACCACTCTCTGCACTTGATCCCCGGTGTATTCCAGCCTCCAGGCCAACACACTTCACCGCGTCCGCCTGGGGCAGGTCAGAAAAGGGACGCGAGGCGGCGCTGTCACAGCATTCTATGCGCCCCAGCGCCCTGGGCCGCGCTGGTCTTGTATCATTTCAGTGGTCCCTCCCGTCTTTGACGGGGCCAAACTCGGGGTGTAAATTAGGATCCTCACTGAAGCGGCGGGACCCTGAGAGGCTTTTTCCTGGCCCCTTAGTTGTGGGTTTTCCTGCGGGCGGTGGAGCCCGTTTCCATCAGAACCGCCCAGAGGCGGGCGCTGCCTTCCAGGGGTGAAGTGTTTTCGGACCCCGGAATCTGTGGGCGGCCTGCGGGAGGGGCTGAGGCGCAGTTCCCTACTCACCCAGGTCCGAATCCACCGCGGTGCTGTTTCCAGCGAGTCAGATTCCAGATCGCGCTCCAGCCTGGACTCGGAATTCCTGCCCCGCGGGTCTGCATTTTCACAGCGGCAGGTGTGAGTGCCGCGCAGCTGGAGACCAGAAGCCTGAGGCAGCTCGGCCCTCCCCAGCCCAAAGTGCCGTTATTCCGTTTCTGTATCAGTAAACACGTTTCATTTTCCGTAGACCAGGGAAGGGTGATGGGTGATCCCAGTCCTCGCAGTGAATTCCGGGCCACAAAATTCAAAACGCTTGCGGGCAAAGCCGTGCGCGGTGGCTCAAGCCTGTAATTCCAGCACTTTGGGAGGCCGAGGCGGGCGGATCACCTGAGGTCGGGATTTCCAGACCAGCCTGACCAACATAGAGAAACCCCGCCTCTACTAAAAATACAAAATTAGCCGGGGGTGGCGCATGCCTGTAATCCCAGCTAGTCGGGAGGCTGAGGCAGGAGACTCACTTGAACCCGGGAGGCGGAGGTTGCTGTGAGCCGAGATCGCGCCACTGCACTCCAGCCTGGGCAACAAGAGCGAAACTCCGTTTCAAAAAAAAACAAAAAACAAAAAGCTTTCGGGCGCCGAGGGCAGCCCCGCCCTGAATTTTGTGAGCGACCGCGCTGGGCCGTTTCTCTTTCTTTTCCGGACCCTGCAGTGGCGCCTAAAGTCTGCGAGGAGGAAGTCGCCTCTGTGCTCGTGAGTCCAGGGATCTAAGGCAAGTGCTGAGGGAGAAAACATAGTTGATGGGGCAGAGCAGAGGGGGCTGGAGGTGGGGTGGAGGGGGAGGGCTTTGAACAGAAGACCTGGGAGGCTTGGTGGGGGAGGGGACCCAGGCCTCGGCGCTGAGAAGCAACTCCCCTGGAGCTCAAGACCTTCTTGGCCTCCCCTAGCCCAGGGGAGGACTGGCTTCATGTCTCCCTGAAACCGCTTCTAAATGCCTTAGAACAAACCTTAAATATTCATTATTATTATTGAACTATTAAAAGTCTTTTTTGGAGGCGAGCTGAATGAGACCCTTTGCTGGAGCTGGCACACGGAGGAAGTCCTGGAGGGAGGGTAGACACCGTGGAGGGAAGGGCTTGGGACCTGTGTCAGGAGAGCTGGGTCCATCTGCCTCTCTGTCTCAAACTATGCTTATGATCTTTAGCAGTGAAAATAATCTCTCTAAGGTGGGGACAGGACCCCAGTCCCTGCTGTGCTTAATAAATTATGAGGATCAAAATAAATTATCAGTGAATGTGTATGGGAAGACTAAGAAATTGTTAAAATTCTCGAATACATTACATTTTCATCCACAGAAAAGTGTAGGCTAGGGATGATAGGGGAATAGTTAGTAATGACAGGGATAGTTGAACTTAAAAAAAAAGGTTGTGAGGCCAACAAAAAAGAAATGGACACAGTTCCTGATCCTGGAGGGTTCATAGTCTAATGGGGGAGGAGGGTAGAAGATGGTAGGTGATGGCTGGGTGTGTGGCACTCGCCTGTAGTCCCAGCTACTCAAGAGGCTGTGGTGGGAGGATTGCTTGAGCCCAGGCATTTGAGGCTGCAGTGAGCTATAATCACACCACTGCATTCCAACTGAGTGACACAGCAAGACTCCTCTCTTAAAAAAATAAAATAAAGTAAATGAAAAAAATAAGATTCAAGACAGGGCACAGTCGGTACCATCAGGAAGGTTCAAACCATGGGCTAGATCAGTAGTTCTAAAACTTGACTACACATCGGAATCACGTAGGGAACTTTAAAAGATACTAAGGTTTAGGTCCAACCTAGGTTTACTGATTTAACTGGTTGTGGCTGTGGCCTGGGAACATGGATATTAAAAACTCTCCAGGTGGTTCTACGCAGTGGCTAGGTTTGAAGACCACTGCCTAGATGTCCCAATGACTAAGAATGTGCGCTGGGGACAAGCCAATTCTCTTAGTAGAGGCTTTCCAGACAGAATTCTTATTATTGAGAATTGAGAATTCACATGCCACACATAATTTATCGTTTTAAAGTGTACAGATCAGTGGCTTCTAGCATAATCACAAGGTTGTGCCACCGTCACCACTATCTACTTGGGAAGATTTTCTTCCTTTTTTTCTTTTTTTTTTTTTTTTTTGAGGCGGAGCCTTGCTCTGTTGCCCAGGCTGGAGTGCAGTGGCGCAATCTCAGCTCACTGCAAGCTCCGCCTCCCGGGTTGACCCCATTCTCCTGCCTCAGCCTTCTGAGCAGCTGGGACTACAGGTACCCGCCACCACGCCCAGCTAAGTTTTTTGTATTTTTAGTAGAGACGGGGTTTCACTGTGTTAGCAGGATGCTCTCGATCTCCTGACCTCGTGATCTGCCCACCTCGACCTCCCAAAGTGCTGGGATTACAGGCGTGAGCCACCGTGCCCGGACCCTTTTTCCTTTTTTTTTTTTTTTAAAGGCTAGTCAAGTGAAACAGTGGGAGTGAAGATGAAACAAAAACATCTATAACTGGTTGTGATCAATTAGTTGTAAACACCACTGCACTCAGACCAGCCTAACTGGGAAGATTTTGAGGATATGCTGTGGTCTGATGGGTTCCAAGGCAGAGGTGACAGTAACCTGGAAGAGGGAGACTGCTTAGGCAGTGGCATCCTGGTGGGATAGGGTGAGGAGATCCCAGAGCCCACGTTTACTGCAACCCTGGGGAAATGTCACCAGAGAAATGGGGGTGGTGCCAGACAATAGATTGTGGGAGCTATGGTTTCCATGGTAGAGTAGAAGCATCCACCATGTGTGACATTCAGCAGATGGGGCGCTGTGGGTGGCTTGGAGCACTCTGGTTGTAACTGAGGCAGGCACAGTGTTTAGGAAGCCTGTGCAGTAATCCAGACTGAAGGGAGGGGAAAGCCTAGACTAAGACTATGGCTGTGGGATTGAAATAGCGTTGAAGGAGCTGACTTTGACTCCCGGAGATGAAGGAGAAAGAGGAAATCAGAAGGGACCAAGGATGGTGAAGTTCTTAAGAGAAACTGAGGAGGAAGAGAGGATGATGTGGTGGGAGACGTGTAGAGAGTCCTTGTAGATCTGTCATATTGAAGGGGACTATGGTCCCAGAGGTACAGATGTCCTAAAACAGGCTGGAAAAGGGAGTCTGGAGAGAGCTTGGTGTTGTAATGAACCATGGGGAGCCGCCTCGTTGGCCCTGTGATTACCCAGGAACTGAATAGAGAGGGGGCCCTGGGAGACCTCAGACACTTAGAGGATATAAGGGGGTGAAAGGGGGGACCTGGCTTTGAGTCGAAGGGAGGAGAAGGAGATTATATAGCTGAAACGTCTAAGAGAATTTGTGATCTGAGCGTTTCTACTGGGGCAAGTGCTTCTGAAAGGCAGAGGCGGCTGAGATCTGGAAACAGGTCTGCAAATCTGGTCACTGGTCTCATTGCAGTAACGCTGTGCGCGGTTGAGGGAGTGTATTGGGAGAAAAACCACGCGTTGTCTGTCCCGGAAGGAACAAGCCAGTGAGAGCCGGCCTGATGGGAGGACCGGCGAAAGGGGCTTGGTGAAGCCCGCGCTCCTTGGGGGTGGGAATGCGGGGATGGGGTGGTCGCGATGCAGGGAGGGCGACAGGGTCCAGGTCGTGCTCATAAGTTTGGAGCTGTACTCTCAGCTACTCGGGGCTGGTCCTTGATTTTGGCTGCGCTCGCGCACGCTCCCCCTTTTCTGGCCGCCAGGTCCCGCCTTCTAAATTTCCCCAGGTCTCCAGGCCGCTAGAATTTTCTCTTCTGAACGTGGCCCCGCCCTCTCCACTCATGATTGGCCCTAAGTTCCGGGCCTCAGTTTTCACTGGATAAGCGGTCGCTGAGCGGGGCGCAGGTGACTAAATTTCGACGGGGTCTTCTCACGGGTTTCATTCAGTTGGCCACTGCTGAGCAGCTGAGAAGGTGGCGACGTAGGGGCCATGGGGCTGGGCCGGGTCCTGCTGTTTCTGGCCGTCGCCTTCCCTTTTGCACCCCCGGCAGCCGCCGCTGGTGAGTGGGGTTCCTGGCGGTCCCCGGCGGAGCGGGAGCGGCGGGGCGTTTCCGGGGGTCCGGGTGGGTTGCCGCGAGCGCTGTGCGGTCAGGGCGGGGCTCAGGTGTGCTGTCTGGAGTGCAGGGAGCTGGACGCCGCCTGTTCCCGCCACACCTCAGCCCTGCTTTCCCATCTCCCGTCTCTTTTTTTTTTTTTTTTTTTTTTTTTTTTTTTTTTTTTCTTTCTGAGACGGAGTCTCTGTCGCCTAGGCTGTAGTGCAGTGGCGCGATCTTGGCTCACTGCAAGCGCCGCCTCCCGGGTTCACGCCATTCTCCTGCCTCAGCCTCCCTAGTAGCTGGGACTACAGGCGCCCGCCACCACGCCCGGCTAATTTTTTGTGTTTTTAGTAGAGATGGGGTTTCACCGTGTTAGTCAGGATGGTCTCGATCTCCTGACCTCGTGATCCGCCCGCCTCGGCCTCCCAAAGTGCTGGGATTACAGGCGTGAGCCACCGCGCCCGACCTCCTGTCTCCTTTCAGTCCTCCTCGGGATCGCGCATCACCCGCATTTTCTGGTCTCTCCTGCACTTGCTCTCCTCGCCTCTCCTCCGTCTCCTCTCACTTTTCGGACAAACCAGTCCTTCTGAGGCCCCTGGGTTCCCGGGCTGCTCCTGTGAATGGCATTGGAAGGCCGTTCCAGCGCGGCCGCTGAGGCAGCCACTTCCCCCGGTGCTGGGGGCGGATCTCAGGTCCCTGAAGTCCTGTCCTCTCCCGGAGCCGATGTGTTCTCAGCTCCTGGGCCGCAGCTCCTGGAGTTGGGGCCCTCCTTTCTTGGGACCCGGAGGTGGTGCTTCTTGCTGCTGTGGGGACTGTGGGGGGTCCTGACTCTCAAGCTGAGGGGTTGGAGTCTGCAGGCTCCGGGCAGAGGATTCTTCCTGCGACTTCTGTCATCCCCAGCTCATTCTCCCCTCGCCTCCGGCTCCGGGGGTCCTCTCCTCTCTCGCATCCCACCCCTACTAATGACCAATGATCTAAGGACACCAGATTCCCTCTCACCTCCTCCCTGCCCATCTTACGGCGCCCTGGGTCCTGTTGCTCTCCCAGCTCCCTGCTACCCCTTCCTGTGTGCTGTTCTCTGATCCATTTCTAGGGTGTCCTCTGCCTTCATCCCCCGCCCCCGCCACTGAAGGTCCCTCCTGCCTCCTTTATGGGCCTTTCCTGCAAGCAGCCTTCACTCCGTGCTGCCCCTATGCCTCCCCATTCCCAAATGTCCCTGACTCTAACTTTCTGGTGCTGCCTTTTGTCCGGGGGGGTCTTCCCTCCATCCCACTCCCCTCCAGACCCCCAAGGAGAGCCCTGATGCTAATGGCAGTTGGGCCTTAGGCAGGGCGCAGGGCAGCGCAGATGCCCCCTCCCCTCCAGTGCAGGTGCCTGCTCTGGGCCCTGCCTCATTGTGGCCCCTTCCCCACTCCTTCATCCTCAGCCTCACCCTCTTGAGGACCCCACCCTCCAGCCCACAGGTGCTGGACCATCCCTCCCTGGTCCCTCCGCCCCTCTCCACCTTGGGACCTTGTGCTGCTCCTATCTCTTGCCCAGCTGCCTGGGGCCCTCAGCAAGTTCTCATCTTTCAGTGGGAAAGTGGGAGTGCTGGAGCATATGACAGTGCTGAGAATCTTTCCCAAGCCCCACCCTCCCCCAGAGCACCCTCCCCTCCTGTCCTCACCCTACCCCAAGTTCTCCCACAGTCACTCCTGCCCCATGCTCATGCCGCCCTCCAGTTCTTGCTCTGCCCATCTCCCCTCCCCAACCCAGACCTAAAACAGGCTGTTGGGCCAGCTGTTCCTTGACCTTCCTTCTTTTCTTTTGGTTCCTTGACCCCAGTGGGCTCTCACTCCCCACACCGCATATCTAAAATCTGTTTTGCCTGCTCTTGGGGTGCCACTGCTCCCCCTCCAGCATTACTCCTTTTGGCAGGTCCTTCCTCAGGCTGAGAATCTCCCCCTCTACCTTGGTTTTCTCTCTCTGGCCAGCACCCCCACCCCTTGCTTTGTTTTTAATTTTTAACTTTTGTTTGGGTACGTAGTAGATATGTATGTATATATTTATGGGGTACATGGGATATTTTGACACAGGCCTACAATATGTCATAATCACATCAGGGTAAATGGGTTATCTATCACAACAAGCATTTATCCTTTCTTTGTGCTACAAACAATCCCATTATGCTCTTTCAGTTATTTTTAAATGTACAATAAATTATTGTTGGCTGTACTCACCCTGCTGTGCTATCTACTAGATCTTATTCATTCTAACTATATTTTTGTACCCATTAACCATCCGCACTCCCCCACTCCCCACTACCCTTCTCAGCCTCTGGTAGTCGTCATTCTATTGTCTCTCCCCATGAGGTCCATTGTTTTAATTTTTGGCTGCCACAAATAAGTGAGAACATGCGAAGTTTGTCTCTCTGGGCCTGGGGCTTATTTCACTTCACATGATGACCTCCAGTTCTTTGCAAATGACATGATGGCTGAATAGTACTCCACATACACGTGTGCACCACATTTTCTTTCTCCATTCGTCTGTTGATGGACACTTAGGTCGCTTGCAGATCTTGGCTATTTTGAATAGTGCTGCAATAAACATGGAAAAGTAGATAGCTCTTTAATATACCGATTTCCTTTCTTTTGGGTATATGCCTAACAGTGGGAGTGCTGGAGCATATGACAGCTCTATTATATTTTTAGTTTTTGGAAGAACCTCCACATTATTTCCCACAGTGGTTATACTAGTTTACGTTCCCACCAACAGTGTACAAGGGTTCTCTTTTGCTACATCCTCGCCAGGATTCCTTATTGCCTGTCTTCTGGATAAAAGCCAGTTTATCTGGGGTGGGATGATATCTCGTAGGAGTTTTGATTTGCCTTCATCTGATGACGAATGATGTTGAGCACCTTTTGATATACCTGTTTGCCATTTGTATGTCTTCTTTTGAGAAATGACTATTCAGATCTTTTGCTCATTTTTAAGTTGGATTATTAGATATTTTTCCTATAGAGTTGTTTGAGATCCTTATATGTTTTGGTTACTAATCCTTTGTCAGATGAATAGTTTGAAAATATTTTCTCCCATTCTTGGATGGTCTCTTCACTTTGTTTATTGTTTCCTTTGCTGTGCAGAAGCTTTTTAACTTGATATGATCCCATTTATGCATTTTTACTTTGGTTGCCTCTGCTTGTGGGGTATTACTTAAAAAATCTTTGCCAGTCCAATATCTTAGAGAGTTTCCCCAATGTTTTCTTTCATAGTTTTCATAGTTTGAGGTCATAGATTTACATCTTTAATCCTTTTTGATTGGATTTTTATATGTGGTGAGAGATAGGGTCCAGTTTCATTCTTCTGCATAAGGATATCTAGTTTCCCCAGCACCATTTATTGAAGAGACTCTCCTTTGCCCTGTATGTGTTCTTGGTAACTTTGTTAGAAATAACTTCACTGTAGATATATGGATTTGTTTCTGGGTTCTCTATTCTGTTTCATTGGTCCGTGTGTCTGTTTTTATGCCACTACCGTGCTGTTTTGATTACTCTAGCTCTGTAGTATAATTTGAAGTCAGATAATGTGATTCCGCTAGTTTTGTTCTTTTTGCTCAGGGTAGCTTTATCTATTCTGGGTTTTTTGTGATTCCATATACATTTTAGGATTGTTTTTCTATTTCTGTGAAGAATGTCATTGGTGTTTTGATAGCAATTGCATTGAATTTGTAGATTGCTTTGGGTAGGATGGATATTTTAACAAAATTGATTCTTCCGGCTGGGCACGGTGGCTCACTCCTGTAATCCCAGCACTTTGGGAGGCCGAGTCAGGTGGATCACTTGAGATCAGGAGTTCAAGACCAGCCTGATCAACATGGGGAAACCCCGCCTCTACTAAAAATACAAAATTAGCCAGGCGTGGTGGCATATGCCTGTAATCCCAGCTACTCAGGAAAGCTGAGGCAGGAGAATCGCTTGAACCCAGGAGGCAGAGGTTGTGGTGAGCTGAGATTGCACCATTGCACTCCAGCCTGGGCAACAGGAGCAAAACTCCATCTCAGAAAATAAAAATAAACATTGATTCTTCCAGTCCGTGAACATGGAATGCCTTTTCCATTTTTTGTGTCCTCTTCAATGTTTTGCATCAGTGCTTTATAGTTTTTATTGGAGAGATCTTTCACTTCTTCAGTTAAGTCTATTCCTAGGTATTTTATTTTATTTGTAGCTAATGAAAATGGGATTCGTTTCTTGATTTCTTTTTCAGATTATTTGCTGTTAGCACATAGAAGTGCTATTGTTTTTTGCATGTTGATTTTGTATCCTGCAACTTTACTGAATTTGTTCTTCAGTTCTAATAGTTTTTTGGTGGAGTCTTTAGGTTTTCCAAATATCAGACCACATGATGTGCAAACAAGGATAATTTGACTTCTTCTTTTCCAATTTTGATGCCCTTTATTTCCTTCTCCTGTCAGATTGCTCTAGCTAGGACTTGCAGTATTGTGTTGCATAACTGTAGTGAAAGTAGTCATCCTTGTCTTGTTCCAGATCTTAAAGAAAAGGCTTTCAGTTTTCCCCCATTCAGTATGTTACTAGCTGTGAGTTGTCATATATGGCTTTTGTTATATTGAGGTCTGTTCCTTGTATACTCAGTTTTTTTAGAGTTTTTATCATGAAGGGATGTTAAACTTATCAAATGCTTTTTCAGTATCAATTGAAATGGTGATATGGCTTTTGTCCTTTATTCTGTTGATACGATGTATTACATTGATTGATTTGTGTATGCATACCTGGAATACATTCCACTTGGTCATGAAGAATGATCTTTTTAATATACTGTTGAATGTGGTTTGCTAGTATTTCATTGATGATATTTGCCTCAATGTTCATCAGGGATATAGGCCTGTAGTTTTCTTTTTTTGATGTGTCTTTGCCTGATTTTGATATCAGGATATTCCTGGCTTTGTAAAATGAGTTTGGAAGTATTCCCTCCTCCTCTGTTTTTCAGAACAATTTGAATAGGACTGATATTTCTTGTTCTTTAAACGTTTAATTGTGGTAAATTATACATTACATACATTTTACTGTTTTAACCGCTTTTAAGTGTATACTCGGTGGCATTAGATACATTCACATTTTTGTGCAACCCAAAACTCTGTACCCATTAATCAGTAACTCCCCATTCCTCCCTACCTCTGGCCCCTGGTAACCATCATTCTACTTTTTGTTTCTATGAATTTGACCACTCTAGGTACCTCATTTAAGTAGAATCGTGTAATGTTTGTCTTTTTGATTCTGGCTTATTTCACTTATAATATTTCGAGGTTCATCCAGGTTGTAGTATGGGTCAGATTTTCATTCCTTTTAATGATGAATAATACTCATTATATGTATGTACCACATCTTGGTTATCCATTCCTCAGACAATGGACACTTGGGTTACTTCTACCTTTTGGATATTGGCAAATATTTCATTTCTCTTGGGTATATATTTATTTCTTTTGAGTATTTCTTTTGGGTATATATCCAGAAATAGAATTGTTGGATCATACGGTATTTCATTTTTTAATTTTTAGAGGAATCACCATAGTGTTTTCCATTGCAGGCGTGCCATTTTGTATTTCTAGAAGCAGTATACAGGGGCTTCAGTTTCTCTACCTCCTTGCCAAACTTGCTGTGTGTGTGTGTGTGTGTGTGTGTGTGTGTGTGTGTGATAATAGCCACCCTGATTGGTTTGAAGTGGTATCTCATTGTGGTTTGGATTTGCATTTTCCTAATGAGTACTGATATTGAGCATCTTTTCATGTGTTTATTGATCATTTGTATATTTTCTTTGAAGAATTGGCCATTGAAGTCTTGCCCATTTTTCTCCCCCACATAGCTTCTCATGGCTATTTTGCCCATTTTTGAGTGGGTTGACTGTTTTGTTGTTTTTGTCAAACTTTTTTGCATATTCTGGAAACTAATCTCTCTCTTTTTCTTTTTTTTTTTTTTTTTTTTTTTGAGATGGAGTCTTGCTCTGTTGCCCAGGCTGGAGTGCAGTGGCACGATCTCAGCTCACTGCAAGCTCCGCCCGCTAGCTTCATGCCATTCTCCCGCCTCAGCCTCCCGAGTAGCTGGGACTACAGGCGCCCGCCACCACACCCGGCTAATTTTTTGTATTTTTAGTAGAGATAGGGTTTCACCATGTTAGCCAGGATGGTCTCAATCTCCTGACCTGGTGATACACCCGCCTCGGCCTCCCAAAGTGCTGGAACTACAGGCTTGAGCCACCACGCCTGGCCTTCTGGAAACTAATCTCTTATCAGATATATGACTTGCAATATTTATTTCATTTCAGGGGTTGATTGCTTTCTCACTCTGATTGTGCCCTTTGATGCACAGATATTTTGAATTTTTCATGAGTCCAGTTTGTCAGTTCTTTCTATTCTATCTGTGCTTTGGCGTCATATCCATGAAAGCACTGTCAAACCCTATGTCATGAACATTATACCCAATGTTTTTTTCTAAGATATTTTTATGTTTTAGTTCTTGAGTTTAGAGTTTAGGTCTTTGATTCATTTTGAGTTAATTTTTGTATATAGTACAAATTAAGGGTCCAATTTTATATTATTTGAACATCCAGTTCCCCCAGCACTATTTGCTGAAAAGATGGACTTACTCTTTGAGACCCTGTCACCTGCCCACCCCAGTGGACACTAGCTGGTCCATCCAATTGCTGTCCTGGGGCCTTGTCATGCTACTCTTCCACTTTGGACCCAAGCCCACATCATTGCTCCCCTCTGGGATACTGACCCCACTATAAACTTCACTGGGGCTACAACCTTCCTACCCCTTGTGCCTCATGACCACCCCCTCCCTTGTCCCCACCATGCCCATGATGAGTCTTTTCTCAAGGCAGCTCGCCTTGCCTCCATCTCACCCTCACCTGTGCACCACAGCCACACTGGACATGGGTCCCTCTGAGCCTGAGTCCCTTCCCATTCCCACTGTCCCCTCTGGCAAGACCTTCCTTCCAACACTGCCTTCATGCTCCTCCCTTGCCCCTGCAGGGCAGCCTCTCCCCTTGGCCCCTATTCCCTTAGGGGGCTTGTGGCCACCCAGTCCTGGCACCTGACCTACAAGTTTGCCATCTTCATTCCCCCTTCTTCTGTTCATCAGCCCCCTCCTCTATCCTCCCACCCTCACAGTTTTCCTTGTATATGAAATCTTCGTTCTTGTCCTTTTGCCCATGCGCATTTCCTGCCTCCTCAGGGAGGTCGGGACAGCAGACCTGTGTGTTAAACATCAATGTGAAGTTATTTCCAGGAAGAAGTTTCACCTGTGATTTCCTCTTCCCCAGAGCCCCACAGTCTTCGTTACAACCTCATGGTGCTGTCCCAGGATGGATCTGTGCAGTCAGGGTTTCTCGCTGAGGGACATCTGGATGGTCAGCCCTTCCTGCGCTATGACAGGCAGAAACGCAGGGCAAAGCCCCAGGGACAGTGGGCAGAAAATGTCCTGGGAGCTAAGACCTGGGACACAGAGACCGAGGACTTGACAGAGAATGGGCAAGACCTCAGGAGGACCCTGACTCATATCAAGGACCAGAAAGGAGGTGAGAGTCGGCAGGGGCAAGAGTAATGGGAGGCCTTCTCCAGGAAAGTTGGAGACAGAGAGCAGGGACCTGTCTCTTCCCGCTGGATCTGGCTGGGGGTGGGGATGAGGAATAGGGTCAGGGAGGCTCAGCAGGGTGGTGAGCCGGAACTCAGCCCACACAGGGAGGCATGGAGGAGGGCCAGGGAGGGGTCGCTGCTGGGCTGAGTTCCTCACTTGGGTGGAAAGGTGATGGGTTCGGGAATGGAGAAGTCACTGCTGGGTGGGGGCAGGCTTGCATTCCCTCCAGGAGATTAGGGTCTGTGAGATCCATGAAGACAGCAGCACCAGGGGCTCCCGGCATTTCTACTACGATGGGGAGCTCTTCCTCTCCCAAAACCTGGAGACTCAAGAATCGACAGTGCCCCAGTCCTCCAGAGCTCAGACCTTGGCTATGAACGTCACAAATTTCTGGAAGGAAGATGCCATGAAGACCAAGACACACTATCGCGCTATGCAGGCAGACTGCCTGCAGAAACTACAGCGATATCTGAAATCCGGGGTGGCCATCAGGAGAACAGGTACCGACCCTGGCCAGGGGCTCTACTGTTCCCGCAATTCTGCTAGAGTTGCCTCGCCTCCCAGCTCTGTCCGGGGAAACCCTCCCTGTGCTATGGATGCAGGCGTTTCCTGTTGGCATATTGTGTCCTGATTTGCCTCTCCTGTTAGAGCCATTGGATAAAGACAGTGGGTCTGGGACTGAACTGTCCAGTGTTGTAATCTGGGAAAGCAGTGGGCCCTCTGACAGAAGCCTGAGCCTGGTGTGGGAGTTAGGCAGGAGAGGAAGCCCTCAGGGCCAGGGCTGCCCCCTCTGCCTCCCGGCCTGCCCATCCCGGAGAGTTCCCTCCTGGCCCCATGACCCAGGAGTCCACCCTTGACATCCCCCTCCTCAGCATCAATGTGGGGATCCCAGAGCCTGAGGCCACAGTCCCAAGGCCCATCCTCCTGCTAGCCTGGAGGAATTAGGCCCCAGGGTGAGGACAGACTTACAGAAGGTCCGGTATCTGTGAGGGATTCAGCCAGAGTGAGAACAGTGGAGAGGAGCAGCCCTGTTCCCTGCATCTCCCTTAGAGGGGAGCAGGGCTTCACTGGCTCTGCCCTTTCTTCTCCAGTGCCCCCCATGGTGAATGTCACCTGCAGCGAGGTCTCAGAGGGCAACATCACCGTGACATGCAGGGCTTCCAGCTTCTATCCCCGGAATATCACACTGACCTGGCGTCAGGATGGGGTATCTTTGAGCCACAACACCCAGCAGTGGGGGGATGTCCTGCCTGATGGGAATGGAACCTACCAGACCTGGGTGGCCACCAGGATTCGCCAAGGAGAGGAGCAGAGGTTCACCTGCTACATGGAACACAGCGGGAATCACGGCACTCACCCTGTGCCCTCTGGTGAGCCTGGGGTGACCCTGGAGAGGGTCAGGCCAGGGTAGGAACAGCAAGGACGGCTGTGGCTCTCTGCCCAGTGTATAACAAGTCCCTTTTTTTCAGGGAAGGCGCTGGTGCTTCAGAGTCAACGGACAGACTTTCCATATGTTTCTGCTGCTATGCCATGTTTTGTTATTATTATTATTCTCTGTGTCCCTTGTTGCAAGAAGAAAACATCAGCGGCAGAGGGTCCAGGTGAGAAAAGGGGACAGTTTCTGGAGATGGGAAAGCTCCTTTCTAGGCAGTAGGGTCTCCTCATTGCTCCTGCCCAGACAAGACGTAGGTGACAAGGCTGCTGGGACAGGGGATGGAAGCTGGGGTATTTGGGAGGGGAATGGGAGCTGCATCTCCATCTACACCCATAAGTGCTTCCCAAGCCAGGGCTGGGGCAAGGCCTTCGAATATCCAGCTGTGGCCTCCTCCTGCTGCAAGTGAGGAGTGGGCAGCAGGGAGGGCTGTGGCACCTGCTCTGTCCCCATCCCAGCCTCTCTGTCTCTCGGGCTCACTAGGGTGCGTCCAGGTGGGGTGAGTTGGGAATCACGTGCTGATTGCTGAGGGCCTGGATGATCATGGTGTCAGAGGGAGGAAATAGTAAAGGTGGCTGTGATCTGGGGAGGGCCAGAAACTGGAGAGGAATCCAAGGAGAGGCGATGCCCACCCGTGTGCCTCCTCCAGGAGGCACTTTCCAGGTTCCCACTACCTGGCCTCCCTGAGTTTCCTTGCAGATGACACAGATGAATAGATAAGCAGATGTCCCTGGGCCATTTGAGGAGCGGGGCCCAGCCCCTCATCAGGGCAGATGTGGTCCCTGTTTTCATCCTACCTCCAGCGTGTTTTCTTCTGCAGTCCCTGAGGGACACAGTCCCCAGGCGCCATCTCTTTGAGGCTTTGTTCTGTGCTCTGTGGCCTTACCTTGCCCTCCCTGAGCCAATTTCCCTTTCTCAAGGTGGTCACTGCCTGGTAAGTTTGGAGTAAGGGACAGTCAGAAGCATTTCCCCCACAGTCAGGTTGTTTGATGGGAGATGAAAAGAGACAGCAGAAGTTTTGTGTTTCTGCAAAAACAGAGGCAGTGCAGGGGACAGTGAGAGGCTGGGGTGTCCAGGAGACCTGAGTCTGGCGGTAGGGGCGCTGGTTTCTCATCCTTGAACCTAGTTGCACTGTCAGTCGGCCCCTCATGCCTGAGCAGATGGGAAGGTTCGTCCCCTGCCCTGCAGCAAGAGGGCCCCATCCAGGAGGCACCCACAGCAGGGGCAGTGCAGGTCTGTGGTCACTCCTGCTCTCACCTGCGGCGTCTCCCGTGGAGGGATTGTCACTTCTGGTTCCCTGTGGGCAGGAATGGTTTCCTCGTAGGTCACTGGGGTTTTGGCCAGGAAAAGGGTATGAAATTCATGTGCCAGTTTCTCAAAATTCCTGCTTTCAATGTTGATGTCCAATAAAGATGTTCGTAATTTCAGCTCTATAATCTTAATAGGATTTCCTCTAATACTGCTGTTGTAAAGCATATTAAATAAAACAGGAACTCAAATTTGGAGCCCCCTCTCCAGAAGGGTCTGTGTGGAGATGGTGGCTGTGGCAGCGGCAGTTCCCAGGTGCAGAGGGTGGGCAGAGGCAGCCTCAGGCTAAGGGGTCTCCCCTACTCCACGTGGAGAAAAGTCCTTGTAGGTTGCAAGGGCAGTGGCCTGGGTGGAATCCCTGCTAGGGACAGAGCAGGAAGGCCTCACAGCCTCACCAAGCAGCAGCCCTGGGGTGAAGTAAGTGGACCAGGAGTAAGTGGACCAGGCAGGAGCAGTAGTGACTCAACAGCAGGTCACAGGCCTAGGTGGGTGCTGAAGGTCATGGGAGGCCAGGCCTCCTCGAGCAAGGTGGGGGGTCCCAGGGTCAGGTCAGGTGCAGATCCTGTGGCAGCCACGTCTTTCCATGCTGGGCCTGCTGGGCCCCCCAGGCTTCCTGATGGGGTCCCCAGTTAGGAGCTGCCTGCTCAGGGCTGGGAGGGGAGGAGTGCTGAGCTGCAGATAGAGGGCAGGGCCCACAGTGGGCAGGGCCTGCCCTGGTGTGCAGGTGCCTCTGCAGGAGAGAAGGGCCTGGGGACTGAGAGCAAGGGTCAGGGCCTCTCTTTGGGGAGGCCTCTCACTGTAACAGGACTGGTCAGGCCTGAGAGGAGGGCACTGGGTTCCCTCTTGGGTCTTGTCCTTTTGTCTTGGGGCCCTTTCACTCCCTGCACGGTGAGTGGTGGGCACAGGACAGGGGCTGATGTTGATGGAGTGATGGGAGAGAACTGACAGGGGCTGGGAAAAGCAAGGAGGGAGGAAGAAAAAAGTGGGGGCCTCATCTTCTCTCAGAGAAAGGGCGAATCTGATTTTGGGGCAACTGAAGAGAGAAAAGTCCTTAGGGAATAAACACAACACTGCACCCAGTGGAGCATTTACCCGTTTCCCTCTTCTCCAGAGCTTGTGAGCCTGCAGGTCCTGGATCAACACCCAGTTGGGACAGGAGACCACAGGGATGCAGCACAGCTGGGATTTCAGCCTCTGATGTCAGCTACTGGGTCCACTGGTTCCACTGAGGGCACCTAGACTCTACAGCCAGGCGGCCAGGATTCAACTCCCTGCCTGGATCTCACCAGCACTTTCCCTCTGTTTCCTGACCTATGAAACAGAGAAAATAACATCACTTATTTATTGTTGTTGGATGCTGCAAAGTGTTAGTAGGTATGAGGTGTTTGCTGCTCTGCCACGTAGAGAGCCAGCAAAGGGATCATGACCAACTCAACATTCCATTGGAGGCTATATGATCAAACAGCAAATTGTTTATCATGAATGCAGGATGTGGGCAAACTCACGACTGCTCCTGCCAACAGAAGGTTTGCTGAGGGCATTCACTCCATGGTGCTCATTGGAGTTATCTACTGGGTCATCTAGAGCCTATTGTTTGAGGAATGCAGTCTTACAAGCCTACTCTGGACCCAGCAGCTGACTCCTTCTTCCACCCCTCTTCTTGCTATCTCCTATACCAATAAATACGAAGGGCTGTGGAAGATCAGAGCCCTTGTTCACGAGAAGCAAGAAGCCCCCTGACCCCTTGTTCCAAATATACTCTTTTGTCTTTCTCTTTATTCCCACGTTCGCCCTTTGTTCAGTCCAATACAGGGTTGTGGGGCCCTTAACAGTGCCATATTAATTGGTATCATTATTTCTGTTGTTTTTGTTTTTGTTTTTGTTTTTGTTTTTGAGACAGAGTCTCACTCTGTCACCCAGGCTGCAGTTCACTGGTGTGATCTCAGCTCACTGCAACCTCTGCCTCCCAGGTTCAAGCACTTCTCGTACCTCAGACTCCCGAATAGCTGGGATTACAGACAGGCACCACCACACCCAGCTAATTTTTGTATTTTTTGTAGAGACGGGGTTTCGCCAAGTTGACCAGCCCAGTTTCAAACTCCTGACCTCAGGTGATCTGCCTGCCTTGGCATCCCAAAGTGCTGGGATTACAAGAATGAGCCACCGTGCCTGGCCTATTTTATTATATTGTAATATATTTTATTATATTAGCCACCATGCCTGTCCTATTTTCTTATGTTTTAATATATTTTAATATATTACATGTGCAGTAATTAGATTATCATGGGTGAACTTTATGAGTGAGTATCTTGGTGATGACTCCTCCTGACCAGCCCAGGACCAGCTTTCTTGTCACCTTGAGGTCCCCTCGCCCCGTCACACCGTTATGCATTACTCTGTGTCTACTATTATGTGTGCATAATTTATACCGTAAATGTTTACTCTTTAAATAGACATTTCTGGTCTGTGTTTTATTTCATGCGTCTGGGAGCGGATAAAGTGTGAGGTTCAGGGAGAAGGAGAGGTCTGTCTCAATGCCTTGACCCAGCATCAAAGCAATCTCCCCTCCTTGTTCCCTTTCCCTGCTAGTTCCCAATGACTGACAGATTCACAGCAGAACAGAAAGGACTGGGAAGGGATGGAGGTGGGACATCTGGCGCCAATATTCAGGGGCTGACCCTGTGAGGGAACATCTGCCCTGAAGAGTTGGAGCCTTCATGTGATGACACAGAGATCTCTGTCACTGTATTCAGGGAAAGGATCAAGCCTCACTCCCCATGCAGGGAGGAGGTTCTGGCTGTGATCCGGCCTGTGGGAGAAGTGAGGACCCGCTCCCTCTACAGTGACAGCCAAGAACCTGCAGGTGACAGAGAAGGCTTCCCCTCAACTGTCTCCTATCAGGTTCTTCCAGGCATCAAGGAATAGACCTGGGACATTGCCTCCAGTGACATGAACACACCCAGAAGTGAGGTGGCCCTGCCAGGGGGTCCTGGTGCTGCCACTTGTTTTGGGAGCTCAGTGTCTGGAGAGGGGTGTGGAGAGTAGGCTTTCTGCAAAACAGTAATCATGACCTATAAATTATTTTATTCTTCATTAGCTTTTTGCCATAAAATAAAACAGGTACCCAAAAAGAAAAACTGTCTGAAAATGTTGCCCTTTAATAATAATAATAAATAATAATAATAAAAGATAAACACTCTTTAACCACCAGAGATATAGAAGTTTGTCAGCCAGCCCAGAAACCATCATTTGCCCCAGCTCAGTGATAAAGGCTTCCCTTCCCCACATAAAATCACAGCCTGACCTTTATGATGATTGCTTCTTTGTTCTATTTTATATTTTCATCCTCTGAAATTGTAGTTTAGTTTTACCTTGGGATGTATAATTTTTGTTCTCTTTTTTCTTTTTTTTTTTAAGACGGAGTCTCACTCTGTCACCCAGGCTGGAGTGCAGTGGCATGATCTCGGCTCACTGCAAGCTCCGCCTCACGGGTTCATGCGATTCTCCTGCCTCAGCCTCCCGAGTAGCTGGGACTACAGGCGTCTGCCACCACGCCCGGCTAATTTTTTTGTATTTTTAGTAGAGACAGGGTTTCACCATGTTAGCCAGGATGGTCTCAATCTCCTGACCTCATGATCTGCCTGCCTCGGCCTCCCAAAGTGCTGGGATTACAGGCGTGAGCCACCGCACCTGGCCTGTTCTCTTTTTTTCTCTATGCTCCTCCTTGAAATTTTATTGTCTGGCTGAGTTTTCCATAGTTTGCATTTTGCTGGCTCCACCCCAAGGCATAGTTTAATATGGACCTGTTTTATCTGTACTTTCTACAAATTGGTAGTTGGCTACAGAGATTTGCTTATAGACTGACTTGATTTTCTTCTTGAATACTTCATTTATGGCACTCCATTGTATTCTTCCATCAGGAGGAAGAACTTAGTACTGGTTATTTACTTCTACTCTACTTTTAATTGCCATTGCTTTTCAATGGCTAAATCTGTTAATTCGTTATGGGTTGCAAAAGAATTATAGTCTCAGTCTCTCATTCCTTCCCCATTCACTAGCTGAATAATTTCTAAAATAAGAGATTTACCCTTGGCTGGATGCGGTGACTTACGCCTGTAATCCCAGCACTTGGGGAGGCCGAGGCTGGTGGATCACCTGAGGTCGGGAGTTCAAGACCATCCTGACCAACATGAAGAAACTGTGTCTCTACTAAAAACACAGAACTAGCCGGGAGTGGTGGCGCATGCCTGTAATCCCAGCTACTCGGGAGGCGGAAGTAGGAGAATTGCTTGAACCGGGAAGGCGGAGGTTGCAGTGAGCCGAGATGGCGCCATTGCACTCCAGCCTGGGCATCAAGAGTGAAACTCCGTCTCAAAATAAATAAATAAATAAAGTGGAGCACTTGACGGCCATGGGAGAGAATCGGCTATGACCACACACAGCAAGATGATGAGCCCAGCAAAGATGATGAGCCCAACTACATGAAAACAACTTCTAATTTCATTCAATCAGAACCAACAGAACTCATCTACAGTGTTAAAAATCAAGACAGTGGCTACTCTAGGGTGGGGGAGGCTGGTTTATGACTCAACGGTGTTTCTTGGAGGGTGAAAATGATGTTGCTTGATGAAGGTGTTGTTTATCCGAGTTTTTACTTGGGCAAAATCCACTGCCCACCTGTGATTTGTCCACCTTTCTCCATGCATGTTGTCCTTCATTCAAGTTTACATTTCTGGTGTTTTGAAACAATTCTCTCTAAGCTAATATAGAATTTCTCCTACTCCAAGTCCTTAGAAATGCTGCATTGAAAATACCAGTGAATTTTTTTTTAATTCCAGGAAATAAATGCCCATGACTCAGATATAAAAAGGAGAATCTACAAGAGCAGTAGGCTTGGGAGCTGACACCAGAACAGCTTTGGAAAGGGCTGTCGAGCCAGGAACTAGGAATCAAAACCCAAACAAGACCACAGGAGGTAGAGGGTAGAAATTATGCCCCAGTAGTGCATGAATGAATGAATCAAGGGCAGTGACTCATGGGTTGCCTGGCCAGTCTGGAACTTGGGGAAAATAAAGTTGGAAAATTGGCGGATGGAAGAGAGAAGTGTGCACTGACCACTTTCCATGGGAAGAGCATGTGAAGATAGAGGTTGCATATGGATGCCTGCCAGAGGGTCTCCAAGGGGCTGGGGCTCCCTGTAACCAGGTGAGCGAGATGGCTTGATGGATGATGCCACTCAGCCGCACAAGGCTTGCTCATGAGTCCCTGCACAAAGTGGCCGTGGTGGCTGGGATGGACACTGCATGGACAGAGCAATTGAGTCACCACTCACCAAGGCTGACCTGGCAGCTGCCACTGCTGAGGACCCAGCCTGCCAAAAGCAGCTGTTTCTTTGAACAGAGAAAAAAAACAGACAATGTTAATTAAGAGCAAGACAGTGTTATGACAGATAAATATGCCACTGCAGCTATAGTAGAGATGTAAACAATCTTGAAATTATAAAAAAAAAATGTCGATGGAAAAGACTTACTGCAAGTAAGAAGTTAAAACAGTTGTAAAAATTCTATCTCTGCCCAACTATATACAGATTGTTTCACAGGGAAGTCCTACTAAACCTTCAAAGAAGGTTATTGGACTTATTTAAAATATTCAAGAGAATGGAGCAAAATACAGAAAGCTAGGCAACTCACTTTATCAGCTATGAATAGTGTTAATTCTAAAGCCAGTTAGGGAACAAATAATAAAGAAACAAGATAGGAAAATCACTATTAGTAATTAGATGTAAAATAGATGAGAAAAATAGTAGACTGTGTCCATCAGTGTGCTATAAACAAATTAAATATCTTGACCAAGTTATGAATCCCAAGAATAAAAGAATATTTAAACTTTAAATCTTTTAATGCATTTTAACACTTAATTCAATAATTTAAAAAGAGACAATCATATTTCACTAGATGTAGAAATCACTGTAGATGAAATCTAACACTACACCTGACCTACATTTCTTCAGTTATCTCCACTTTTAAGAATTTGTGATCAGTGCAGCACTATTCACAATAGCAAAGGTAAGGAATCAACCCAGATGCCCATCAACAGTGGAATGGATAAAGAAAACTGCGGCACAGGGCCAGGCGCGGTGGCTCACGCCTGTAATCCCAGCACTTTGGGAGGGTGAGGCGGGCAGATCACGAAGTCAGGAGTTCGAGACCATCCTGGCTAACACAGTGAAACCCCGTCTCTACTAAAAATACAAAAAATTAGCCGGGTGTGGTGGCGGGCACCTGTAGTCCCAGCTACTCGGGAGGCTGAGGCAGGAGAATGGCATGAACCCAGGAGGTGGAGTTTGCAGTGAGCCGAGATCACGCCACTGCACTCCAGCCTGGGTGACAGAATGAGACTCCGTCTCAAAAAAAAAAGAAAAGAAAAGAAAACTGCAGCACTTATACACCATGGTACGCTACCCAGCCAAAAAAACAAGAACGAAATCATGTCCTTCACAGCAACATGGATGGAGGTGGAGACCATTATTCTAAGCAAATTAATGTAGGAACAGAAAGCCAAATACCACATATTCTCACCTATAAGTGGCAGCTAAACATTGAGTACACATGGACACAAAGAAGGGAACAATAGACACTGGGGCCTCCTTGAGGGTGGAGGGTGGGAGGAGGGGGAGGATTAAAAAACTACCTATTGGGTATTGTGCTGATTACCTGAGTAACAAAATTATCTGCACACCAAACACCCGTGATACACAATTTACCCATGTAACAAACCTGAATATGTATCCCTTGAACCTAAAAAATCAAAAAGAAAAAAGTAAAAAAGAATTCCTGATCAGATTGAGCCAGGACAATGGCCGGGCGTGGTGGCTCACGCCTGTAATCCCAGCACTTTGGGAGGCCGAGGCAGGTGGTCAGGGTAGGCCTCTTGGAGGAGCCATGTGAGCAGACTTGAGAAGGAGAGACACAGCCATGCAGATATTTGAAGGAAGAACCTTCCAGTATCCCGCTCTAAGCATACCCAGGACTCTGCTCTGGGGCAGACCCTAAAGCTGCAGTGGAAATGGAGGTGGCCACACTCACAGAGACTGTGGCAGAGAGTGATGGGGATTTGGGTCTCCCCTTCCTGCTGTGGCTGTTAGAAGTGCTGGAGTTGGGGAGGGAAAGGCACTGGCATGTGGAGGAAGACTAGGAGAGGAGGGGAGGCTGAAGTGTGTCCCACTCTCACTCCACCTCTCTGTTCTCTATCTCCTGCATCCGGTGCCTCCCCGACTTCCCCAAAGTTGTGGTCCCTGACAAGGAAGACCCTGAGGGCAACCACACCTTGCCATGTAGAGCACCTGGCTTCTCACTTGCCAACATCACTCTGACCTGGCTGCAGGAAGGGGAGGAGCCAACTCTGGACTCAAGACTCAAGGGGACCAGACCCAGGAAGATGAGACATATCAGGGCTGGGCAGCTGTGGGGGGCCCTCCCAGAGAAGGCCTGAGATACACCTGCCTGCAGGTGCTCCTGGGCCTGGAGAAGCCCCTCAGTGTGACTAGGTGAGGTGTTGTCAGAGGACCAGAGGCTGAGGGTGGGGTGTCCCATCCAGATCCTGCCCCTCTCTCTGCCCCAGCACCCAAGGCCCCTTCCTCCCTCCTCTATGGAGATGCTGGGGATGTCCTCATTCTCCCTCTGAGCACTCACATCTCACCCCTCATCTGTCTCTCTAACCTCCTTCCTTCCTGCTGCAGCTTCTGCCCCAGCCCCAGGCTCTGGCCTCTCTCTCCCCAGTTCCACCCTCCAGGGGGTGATGGTTCACTTCCCTCTGAGGAGCCAGCACTAGGTGAGAGGCTAGGAGAAGGAAAAGCTCATGGGCCATGGGTTGGGAGGGAGAATGGGCACTGAAATGGAAGGGTAGGGAGACAGAAGAGGCAGGTATTTCCAAATCACCATTTTTCTGTCATGGTCCAAGGGTGCCATCCTTCTCCCAGGCCCAGGGATGTGGAAAGAGCAGCAGGAATTGGGAAATACTCCACAGGAAAGAACAATGTGCCTCCTCCCTCCACCGGCTTCTTCCTCTTGCCTATTCTGGTCAATTCTCTAAGTGAATCATGTAACCAAAATGTGAAATGTTTATTTTAGGAAAGTCTCCAAATATTAGGGAATAAAATTACTAGTGCCTAAGCCCTGCATACTGAAAAACAGAAGCTTTAAGAAATAAAGACCTGCATGGAAAATTGCTCATCAAGTCGGGGAAGTCAAAGTCTGAGCTGAATCAGCTCTTTTTTTCTTTCTCTCTCTTTTTTTTTTTTTTTTTTTTTTTTTTTGAGACGGAGTCTTGCTCTGTCGCCCAGGCTGGAGTGCAGTGGCATGATCTCAGCTCACTGCAACCTCTGCCTCCCCGACTCAAGCAATTCTCCTGTCTCAGGCTCCCAAGTAGCTGGGATTACAGGCATGAGCCACCATGCCCAGCTAATTTTTGTATTTTTCAGCAGAGACGAGGTTTCGCCATGTTGGCCAGGCTGGTCTCAAACTCCTGACCTCAGGTGATCCGCCTGCCTCAGCCTGCCAAAGTTCTGGGATTACAGGCATGAGCCACCATGCCCAGCTGAATCAGCTCTAAAGTGGTGCTGAAGTGAGAGCCATTTATGTGCCTGTGTGAGTTCACACAGGTCTTGAGACCTCTGTGTCCTCCTTAGAAGAGTGAAGTGAGCACCCAGTGCCTAGACCTTGGTTGTGCTAAGTCATTCTCTGATAAAAGGATTCAGGGCTCCATAGAAAAACAGCTGATTCTAGGGCTGGCATAGGAAAAATATAAGGTGAGCCTGGAACATCTTGTAATGCCAGAAAGTAACCGCCACCCATCTCCCAACCCTCACCACCAAAAAATAAGGGCATGTCAGAGGGACACAGGAGTCAGCCTGAAAGAGCTCCCTATGGACAAAGCCGGAATAATCCGAGCAACAAAGTTACAATAGTATTGGATTATGACCCAAAATATAAATAAATATTCATTCCACACTGATTTATTTAATCAAAAATAATTAAATAAATAAATAGGGAAGAAGGGGCAAATCTTCCTTACAGAAGAATTTCAAAACATATATTACGAGAATCTCTTTCCCAGGAGATTGGAATTTTATTTCTCTCACCTTGAATATGGGCTGGACTTGCTGACTTGCTTCCAAAGACTAGAGTATGAAAAAGGAAAAATAATAACTTTACAGTGGAGAAATGTAGCAGACACTACCAAGCAATCAGAGTCATGTTAACATCTTGCCCCCCAGAAATGATGTGATGAGGACACTCCCCTCTATGGTATTCTTCCCTTAAACCCATAACCCCAATCTAATCATAAGGAAGCATCAGGCAAACCCAAAGTGAGGGACATCCTACAAATTATCTATCCAGTATTCTTCAAAACTTTCAAGGTCATGAAAACAGGTAAAGACTGAGAAACTCATGATCAGAAAGACTAGGGAGACCCAAAAGCTAAATGCATTAATGGGCCCTGGAAAAACTGGTGAAGTCCAAATAAAGTCTACAGTTTAGCGAATAGTATTATAGCAATGTTAATTTCTTAGTTTCTTAGTCTTGACAGAATTTTGTTAGATGTTAACATTAAGGAAAGCTGGGGTTTATGGAAACTCTGTGTTCTAGCTTTGCAACTCTTTAAATCTATTATTGTTATTGTTATTGGGTTTTTTTGTTTGTTTTGTTTTTGTTTTTTTTTTGAGATGGAGTCTCGCTCTGTCGCCCAGGCTGGAGTGCAATGGCGCGATCTCAGCTCACTGCAACCTCCACCTCCTGGGTTCAAGCAATTGCCCTGCCTCAGCCTCCCCAGTAGCTGGGATTCCAGGCACCCATCACCACGCTCGGCTAGTTTTTGTATTTTTAGTAGAGATGGGGTTTCGCCATGTTGGCCAGGGTGGTCTCGAACTCCCGACCTCAGGTGATCTGTCCGCCTCGGCCTCCCAAAGTTAAATCTATTATTATTCAAAACAAATTTAACTAAAAGTGAAATGAAGCTAGGTACAGTAGCTCATGCCTGTAATCCCAGCCCTTTGGGAGGCCAATTTAAGCCCAGGAGTTTGAGAGAAGCCTGGGCAACATAGTGAGACCTTGTCTTATAAAAAAAATTAATTTAAAAAATGAAATGAATAGACATATATTAAATTAAATCGATAATTAATAACATTCAGAAACAGAAAACATCAGCCCCAAATGGGTTTACTGATAAATTCTATCAAACATTTAAGGAAAAAATTATACCAATTTTCTATAATCTCTTCCAGAAGACATACTTTCTTTTGTTGTTGTTGTTATTCAGTGTTAATTTCATAATCATAAACTTAATGCTGCAATCCAGCTAGGCATGGAAGGGAACAAGGAAAACATGAAACCCAAAGGGAACTGCAGTGAGAGCACAAAGATTCTAGATACTGCGAGCAGATGGATGGAGGGTGTTCTCCTGAGCTACAGAAGCAATGGTCTAGTGGTTAAGATAAAACACAAGTCAGGCCGGGCGCGGTGGCTCACACCTGTAATTCCAGCACTTTGGGAGGCTGACGCAGGTGGGATCACCTGAGGTCAGGAGTTCAAGACCAGCCTGACCAACACGGAGAAACCCCGTCTCTACTAAAAATACAGAATTAGCCAGGTGTGGTGGCGCATGCCTGTAATCCCAGCTACTCGGGAGGCTGAGGCAGAAGAATCGCCTGAACTCAGGAAGCAGAGGTTGCAGTGAGCCGAGATGGCGCCATTGCACTCCAGCCTGGCAACAAGAGCGAAACTCAGTCTCAAAAAAAAACACAAGTCAAACTTAGTCAAGTTGTGTACAGTCAGCGATGGTGATCTTCTTGATGGTCTTGCCATTCCCAGACCCAAAGTGCTCCATGGCCTCCACAATATTCATGCCATCTTTCACCTTGCCAAAGACCATGGGCTTGCCATCCAACCACTCAGTCTTGGCAGTGCAGATGAAAAACTGGGAATTGCCCGGGCTAGGTGGCTCATGCCGTAATCCCAGCACTTTGGGAGGCCGAGATGGGCAGATCACCTGAGGTCAGGAGTTCAAGACCAGCCTGACCAACATGGTGAAACCCTGTCTCTAATAAAAATACAAATATTAGCCAGGCATGGTGGTGCATGCCTGTAATCCCAGCTACTCAGGAGGCTGAGGCAGGAGAATTGCTTGAACCTGGGAGGCGGAAGTTGCAGTGAGCCAAGATCGCGCCACTGCACTCCAGCCTGGGCGACAGAGTTAAGACTCCATCTCAAAAAAAAGAGAAAAAAGAAAAACCGGGAATCATTTGTGTTGGGTCCAGCATTTGCCATGGACAAGATGCCAGGACCTGTATGCTTTAGGATGAAGTTCTCATCATCAAATTTCTCCCCGTAGATGGACTTGCCACCAGTGCCATTATGGCGTGTGAAGTCACCACCCTGACACATAAACCCTGGAATAATTCTGTGAAAGGAGGAACATTTATAATCAAATCCTTTCTCTCCAGTGCTCAGAGCACGAAAGTTTTCTGCTGTCTTTGGAAACTTGTCTGCAAACAGCTTGAAGGAGACACAGCCCAAGGGCTCACCATTGACAGCGATGTTGAAGGACACGGTGGGGTTGACCATGGCTGATAGTATGGGGCTCCTGATGGTGGCGTCTGCAAAGCCAAGACAGACACTTTCTATCTCATTTCATGAGGCCAGGATTCCATGAGGGAATACTTTCTAACTAATTCCATGAGGCCAGCATTAGCCAAATACCAAAATCAGATGAAGACTTCACAAAAAAAGAAAACCACAGACCAATATCTCTCATGAACATAGGTGCAAAAATCCTCAGCAAAATGCTAGCAAATCAAATCCACAATGTATGAGAAGAACAATACACCATGCCTAAGTAAGATTTATCCCAGGTATGCAAAGTTACTTCAACATTGGAAAATCAGTTAATGTAATCCATTAAATCAACTGGCTAAAGAAGAAAATCACATGATCATATCAATAGAGGCAGAAAAAGCAATTGACAACATCCAACACCCATTCATGATGATTAAAAAAAAAAATCTCTTAGCAAGCTAGGAATAGAGAAGACCTTACTCAACTTGATAAACAACATCCACAAAACATCCACAGCTAACATCACACTTAATGGTGAGAAACTAAAAGCTTGCCTGCTAAGATCAGAACAAGGCAGGAATGACCCTCTCAACACAGCTTTTCAACGTTGTACTGGAAGTCCTAGCTAAAGTAGTAAGACAAGAAAAGGAACTAAAAGGTATACAAATTTGGAACAAGAAATAAAACTGTCTTTGTTTACAGATGATATGATTGTCTATGTAGAAAATCAAAAAGAATCCACACATAAAAAACTCCTGGAACTAACAAGCAATTATAGCAAGGTTGCAGGATATAAAGTTAATATGTAAAAGCCAATCACTTTTCTATGTATCAGCAATGAGCACGTAGAATTCGCCATTTAATTTTTTTTTTTCAAGACGGAGTCTTGTTCTGTCGCCCAGGCTAGAGTGCAGTGGCGCGATCTCAACTCACTGCAACCTCCTCCTCCCAGGTTCAAGCAATTCTCCTGCCTCAGCCTCCTGAGTAGCTGGGATTACAGGTGTGCCCCACCATGCCCAGCTAATTTTTGTATTTTTAGTAGAGACGGGGTTTTACCATGTTGGCCAGGCTGATCTCGAACTTCTGACCTCATGTTCTGCCTGCCTCAGCCTCCCAAAGTGCTGGGATTACAGGCGTGAGCCACCGTGCCTGGTCCAGAATTTGCCATTTAAAACACAATACCACTTACATTAGCACCCCCAAAAATGAAACACTTAGGTACAAATCTAAGAAAATATGTACAAGATCTATATGAACAAAACTACAAAACTGACAAAAGAAATCAAAGAACTAAACAAATGGAGAGATATTCCATGTTCATAGTCAGGAAGGCTCAATACTGTTAATATATCTGTTCTTTCCAACTTGATCTGTGGAATGAATGCAATCTCAATAAAAAACCTCAGTAAGTTATTTTGTGGATATTAACAAACTGATTCAAACTTTATATGGTGAGGCAAAAGACCTAGCCAGCACAATATAGGAGAAAAATAAAGTCAAAGACCACCACTACCTGACTTAGACTTTCTATAAAGCCATAGTAATCAAGACAGAGTGGTGATTAGCATAGCCATTGTGGGAAACAGTATGGAGGTTCTGCAAAAATTTTAAAAATAGAAATACCACATGATCCAGCAATCCCACTAATGGGTATATATCCAAAGGATATGAAATCAGTACGTTGAGATATTTGCACTCCCATATTCATTGCATCATTATTCTTTTTTTTTTTTTTTCCTTTAGAGATAGAGTCTATGTTGCCCAGGGCAACTCCTGGCCTCAAGCGATCCTGCTGTCTCAGCTTCCCAATTATCTGGGATTATAAGCACGAGACACTGCACCTGGCTGCAGCATTATTCTCAATAGCCAAGATATAGAATCCACCTAAGTGTCCATCAATGGATGAATGGATAAAGAAAATGTGGTATATATAAAAAATGGAATACTATTCAGCCTTAAAAAACAAAATCCTGTCATTTGTGACAACATGGATGAACCTGGAAGACATTATGTTAAGTGAAATAAGCCAGGCACAGAAAGACAAATACAATCTCACTTATATGTGGAGTATAGAAAAAGCCAGACTCATAAATAGAGAGTAAACTGGTGGTTATCAGAGGCTGGGAGGTCGGGGAATTGGGGAGATGTTAGTCAAAGAACACAAGATTTCAGTTAGGAAGAATAAGTTCAAGAGATCTATTGTACCTTATGGTGACTAAACTTAATAACAACATATTGTGTATTTCAAAATAGTATGAGAATAGCTTTAAGCATTCTCATCACATACACACAAAATATGTATGTGAGGTAATGTACATATTATTAAATTGTTTGGTTTATCCATTCCACAATGTGTGTGTATGTATGTGCATATATATATAAACATGATGTACACCACAAATGTATAAAATTAGTCAATCGAAAAATTAATTTTAGAAAGACAGAGTGGCATTGGCAAAGAATAGACAAATTGATCCACTTGAGCAGAATAGAGAGCCAAGAAATAGTCCCACATAAATACAAGGAGCAAAGACAATACAATAAAGATAGTCTTTTCAGCAAATGCTGCTGGAACAACTGGACAGCCATGTACAAGAAAAATGAAAAGAGCTCTCTTAAAAGGTTACTGTGAAAGCCACCTGTGACAGTAACAGAAAGTGCCCAGCAGGGTCTCTGACACTTAGTAATGTAATCTCTCTCACTGTAATGTAATGGCTAAACTTCAACATCCCTCAGCCCCCATCTCCATAAGACTTTCCCATAGAGGCAACAATGATTCCTGTCAGTCACCCAGTCCTGCCAATCCACTGGGTAGGATACAATATTGAGGGGCCCATCAGCACACTGGCCTTAGGGGGCTCTGCAGCCCCTTGACCTTGTGGATGATGCTGGCCTTAATCTCCTCTTGTCCGTGGCTAAAGACAGGCCCCTTCTGCGGAGACCAGGCCAGAATGCTCATCTGATTAAGACTCTATATTAAGAGTCAGGAATAACAAAAACAACAATAAATAAATAAACACAGTAACATAATCTATGTGTCTTAGTCCGTTTCCTGCCGCTATAACAGAATACTACAGACTGGGTAATTTATTTTGTTGTTTTTTCAGACAGGGTCTCTCTCTGTCGCTCAGACTGGAGTGCAGTGGCATGATCTCGACTCACTGCAACCTCCACCTCCCAGACTCAAGTGATCCTCCCACCTCAGCCTCCTAAATAACTGGGACCACAGACCCGCACGACCACACCAGCTAATTTTTGTGTTTTTTTGTAGAGATGGGTTTTGCCATGTTGCCCAGGCTGGTCTCAAACTCCTGGGCTCAAGCCTTCCACCCACCTTGGCCTCCCAAAGTGCTGGGATTACAGGCTTGAGCCACCACACCCAGCACAGACTGGGTAATTTATAAAGACAATAAATGTTTTTCCCACAGAGCTGGAGGCTGAGAAGTCCAAGAGCATGACACTGGCATCTTATGAGGGCCTGGCTGCAGTATCATCCCATAGTGAGAGGTGGAAGGGCAAAGAGGCTGAACTGATTTCTATCATGCCATACAATGGCATTAATCTATTCAATCTAATCAACCCTGAAAGGTCCCACATCGGCTGGGCACGGTGGCTCATGCCTGTAATCCCAGCACTTTGGGAGGCCAAGGCAGGTGGATCACCTGAGGTCAGGAGTTCAAGACCAGCCTGACCAATATGATGAAACCCCGTCTCTACTAAAAATACAAAAATTAGCTGGGCGTGGTGGCATGTGCCTGTAATTCCAACTACTCAGGAGGCTGAGACAGGAGAATCACTTGAACATGGGAGGCGGAGGTTGCAGTGAGCTGAGATTGTGCCATTGCACTCCAGCCTGGGCAACAAGAGCGAAACTCCATCTCAAAAAAAGAAAAAAAAAAAGTCTTGCATCTTAATACCATTAGGATAGCAATTAAATGTCAACATGAGTTTTGGTGGGGACATTCCACTTTAGCACTAGGTATTCTGGTTTATGTATTTTTTTAGCTTAATTCCTTCATTTCTACAATTATGAGATCCACGATTATCCACTATATTTGGTTTTCTTTCTTTTTGGTTTTGTTTTTTGTTTTTTGAGACAAGAGTCTCGCTCTGTCGCCAGGCTGGAGTGCAGTGGCATGATCTCAGCTCACTGTAACCTCTGGCTCCCGGGTTCAAGTGATTCTCCTGCCTCAGCCTCCCGAGTGGCTGGGACTACAGGCGTGCACCACCATGCCCGGCTAATTTTTGTATTTTTAGTAGAGACGGGGTTTCACCATGTTGGCCAGGATGGTCTCGATCTCTTGACCTCATGATCCGCCCGCCTCGGCCTCCCAAAGTGCTGAGATTACAGGTGTGAGCCACTGCGCCTGGCCTCATCCACTATATTTGAACCGACCCAAAGGCCAGTGCTTTCTTAATTAAGTTCCCACAGGTGAACAAAGCCAAAATTCAGATTCTATTTTATTTATGGTTTAGAATTACCTACTGTGAAAAAAAAAAAAAACTAGCTACTATAAATTATTGGGGGTTAGTCCATTTAGTCCATTTTGGAGTTCATAACCTAAAGCAGAAACTCACATGGTTGAAATGTCACTTTCCCAAAGGATTGTTATTAGTGTATCATTTAGATTGTCTTGCAAAAGTCTCATTTGTTGTTTTTTCTAAATGGCTGCTAATCTTTTAAATTAACAGATAGAGGGCCAGGCACGGTGGTTCACACCTGTAATCCCAGCACTCTGGGAGGCTGAGGCAGTCGGATCACTTGAGGCCAGGTGTTCAAGACCAGCCTGGCCAACATGGTGAAACCCTGTCTGTACTAAAAATACAAAAATTAGCTCGGCATAGTGGCACACGTCTGTAATCCCAGCTTCTTGGGAGGCAGAGGCATAAGAATTGCTTGAACCCGGCAAGCGGAGGTTCCAGCAAGCAGAGATTGTGCCATTGCACTCCAGCCTGGGTGACAGAGCATTGCTCTGTCCACCTCCCAAAAATGTAGTTAATTTTTTTTCTTTTCTTTTTTTTTTTTTTTTTTTTTTTTTTTTTTTTTTTTTGAGAGACGGAGTCTTGCTCTGTCGCCCAGGCTGGAGTGCAGTGGCACAATCTCAGCTCACTGCAACCTCCGCCTCCCAGGTTCAAGCAATTCTCCTGCCTCAGCCTCACAAGTAGCTGGGATTACAGGTGGCTACCACCACGCTTAGCTAATTTTTTGTATTTTTAGTAGAGACGGGGTTTCATCATGTTCGCCAGGCTAGTCTTGAACTCCTGACCTTAAGCGATCCCCCTGCCTCGGCCTCCCAAAGTGCCGGGATTACAAGCATGAGCCACTGCGCCCGGCCAACTTTCAATGTTAATTAGTTGTGGTTTGTTTAACCATATACTGCATAGTTTCGCTTATCTATAATAACAGTAGTTTGGGGCTCTTATATTCTAATAATTAAGACTTTAGCTGTGTACACATTGCAATTAAAGTATGAGTCATGCATAACCTTATCACCAAGATACAAGAGGGAAAGCCCTTCTCCCCTTAAACTTTTACAAAGGTTCTGGGTTCTTTTTCCACTTAAGTGGGAAAAAGTCAGCTAATGAGGAACGTAAAGTCTTTGGCCTCATCTAAAGGTGCTTTGGCCCGCAAGTGTGAGAAGCACTGACCGCTGGGAAGTCCTCACTGCCTGGTTCCTGGACTCTTACACCATGGCAGAGGCCATCTTCCCTCCCAATGCAGAGTGATATCCAGATAGCGAGCTGGCTAGCAGCTGTCCACTCTCCAGCAATCCTGCCTTCTGGGGCATGGTTTTCTAAGGACCTTCCTGTTCCTAGATGATCAAAATTGGGACCAGCCACTCCCTTCTGAGCCACTCCTGCCTCTGGGCCTGTGGCTATGTCACAGTCCAGTCACAACAGGACATCCCTTCAGAACACCCTGCAGGAAGCTGACATCTCTATGCAGACTCACACATGCACGGTGTGTGCACAGGCCTTTGGTTCTACTTCAGGAGGTGTTGGGGGAGGCTCACTAGTCCAACAGAACTTGAGGCCAGTTGTACCAGTGTCATATCCCAGGAGCCAAGGTTACAAGGGATACAAAGTGCCCAGACCTACCAGAGAAGGCAAACCCCTACAGCATGCAGGGCTAGACAGGGGCAAGAAACAAGGTCATTCTGGGCCAGCAAGAAGAGGGAAAGGGAAATGACAGGCATACCTCGGAGATACTGAAGATTTGTTTCCAGACCATAGCAACAAAGTGAGTCACACAAACTTTTTAGTTTCCTATTGTGCATAAAAGTTATGTTTGTACTATATTGTAGTCTGTTAAGTGTACAGTAGCATTGTGTACAAAAAACTGTGTATATACTTAATGGAGTCTCGCTCTGTCACCCAGGCTGGAGTGCAGTGCCACGATTTTGGCTCACTGCAACCTCCGCCTCCTGAGTTCAAGCCATTCTCCTGCTCAGCCTCCCAAGTAGCTGGGACTACAGGTGCCCATCACCATGCCCAGCTAATTTTTGTATTTTTAGTAGAGATGAGGTTTCACCATGTTGGCCAGGCTAATCTTGAACTCCTGACCTCAAGTGATCCACCCACCTCGGCCTCCCAAAGTGCTGGGATTACAGGCGTGAGCCACTGTATCTGGCCATATACTTTAATTTTAAAATACTTAATTGCTAAACAAATGCTAACCATCATATGAGGCTTCAGCTAATCCTGATCTTTTTGCTGGGGGAGGGTCTTGCCTCCATGGATCAGGGGCATGGCTGCTGAAGGCTGCTTTGACAACTTCTTAAAATAAGACAATGATGTTTGCCATTTGCCGCATGGATTATTCCTTTCAATATTGTTGTGCCTCAGGGAATAGGGAGGCCTGGAAAGCAGAGTCGGGAGAATGGCCAGTTGGTGAAGCAGTCACAACACACACATTTTTCCATTAAGTTTGCTGTCTTATATGAGCATCGCTCATGGTGTCCCAAAACAATCACAATAGTTAACTTCAGTAACTGATTACAGGTCACTGTAACAAGTATAATAATGAAAACGCTTGAAACATTTTGAGAATTCCACAGCGTGACATGGAGACATGATGTCTGCCTGCTGTTGGGAAAATAGCACCAATAGACCTGTTTGATGTGCTTGACACAGGGTTGCCACAAGCCTCCAATCTCTAAATAAAAAACAGCATCTGCAAAGAGCAATAAAGGGAAGCACAATAAAAGGTACATCTGCAAAGGGGAATCAGCACTTAAGCAAGGTCAGGATGAGCTTTCAAGTCAGGTGGACCTAGACATGAACCCTCCAGGCCCTACCAACAACCAGCTATGGACCTTCGAGCACATCCAGCCTAGAGCTGCCCCCAACAGACACTTCCCCAGTGAATGCTGAATGAAACCATCTGAGCCAGTTTCCTCAGGTGCAAACCAGTGAGGTAATTCCTACCTTGCAGAGTGAAGTGAGAAAAGACAGTGTTAAGAAATGCCGGGTGCGGTGGCTCACGCCTGTAATCCCAGCACTTTGGGAGGCCAAGACGGGCGGATCATGAGGTCAGGAGATCGAGACCACCCTGGCTAACACGGTGAAACCCCGTCTCCACTAAAAATACAAAAAATTAGCCGGGCGTAGTGGCGAGCACCTGTAGTCCCAGCTCCTCGGGAGGGTGAGGCAGGAGAATGGCGTGAACCCGGGAGGCAGAGCTTGCAGTGAGCCCAGATTGCGCCACTGCACTCCAGCCTGGGCAACAGAGCGAGACTCCGTCTCAAAAAAAAAAAAAAAAAAAAAAAGACACAAGACCTGTGGTAGCCTTTCCTTTCTGTCTGGCAGCAGCCACTGGGTAAACCAAGATGGTGCATACAAGTACATCCAGAAGCTATGGAAGAAGCAGTCTGATGTCATGAGCTTTCTTCTGAGGGTCCGCTGCTGGCAGTACCACCAGCTCTCTGCTCTCCACAGGGATCCCCGCCCCACCCAGCCCAATAAAGCACGCTACTGGGCTACAGCCAAGCAAGGTTATGTTACATATAAGCGCCACGGTGGCTGAAAATCTAGTTCCTAAGAAGGCAACTTAACAGCAAGCCTGTCTATCATGGTGTTAACCAGCTAGTTTGCTTAAAGCCTTCAGTCTGTTACAGAAGAGCAAGCTGGATGCCACTGTGGGGCTCTGAGTCCTGAATTCTCACTGGGCTGGTTAAAGATTCCACATACAAAGTTTTTGAGGCTATCCTAGTTGATCCATTCCATAACACTATCAGAAGGAAACCTGACACCCAGTGGTCCACAACAAGCATAGGGAGATGCGTAGGCTATCTGCAGGCCAAGAGAGCCACGGCCTTGGAAAGGGCTGTAAGTTCTACCACACTATTGGTGGTTCTCGCCATGCAGCTTGGAGAAGGTGCAATACTCTCCAGCTCCACAGCTACCGCTAATGTTTGTAAAATTCATACCTAATAAACACTAGATCAAAAAAAAAAAATCACAGACCTGTGGTAGGCTGGGCACCAGTGCTCTAAAGCAAGTTCTGCCTAAACTGGCAGGGACATTTTTCACATCAGGAACAGGAGTTGTTCCTGGACTCTGTCTGGGGCCAGGCTGGGAGAGACGTGGGGCAGAGTGGGGCAGGGGCAGGGGCAGGGCTGGGGGCTGGGGCCTGGGCAGGGCCAGGCACTCAAGTGAGGCCAAGTCCTGGAGCGAACCAGTTCCTGGTGGCCGTTGGACAGCTCACACAGCTCCCTGCCAGGTCACCCGCCATGGTCCTCCCTCTGCCCTGGCTCTCTCGGTACCATTTCCTTCGCCTCCTTCTGCCCTCCTGGTCCTTGGCACCCCAGGGCTCCCATGGGTGCTGCTCCCAAAACCCCAAAGCAAGCATGGAAGAGCAGACCAGCTCCAGAGGAAATGGGAAGATGACGTCCCCTCCCAGGGTAAGTGGCACCACAGGTAGGAACAGAGGGTGTGAGAATTTACACTGGGGTGTGGGAAAAAAAAACCCTCAATCCCACCCTGCACCACCCCACACCATGCCTACCCCTGCAGCTCTTTTCTTAGTTCAGCTACCAACTCCTCTCCCCACCTCCCCCAGCCCAGACCTCAGGGTTCCCTTCCCTCACCCCACCCCCACCCACAACAGCACAGTCCACAAAGTCCTTGAACAGGATCTATTCCCCCTCACCTAACAGTTAATTATTTCTTAGCGGGGAGGAGCAGCTGATCCTCTTTCCAGTGACCCCATATCCTTGTTCAAGGAAGCCAGTTACAGCCCCTGGGCCAGGGAACTCTATTTGCTCCCCCTACTACCACCCAGAGGCCTATGCCCAAGACAGGAAGCTACCTGGCCTTCTCAGTACAGGTGTCCTTAAACGACCGGTTCAAAAACGAATAGGGAAGGTGGAATTTCTCACTTCCAGCCACAGCCTGCAACAAAGCTTCCCAGGGCCTCAGCCCCCTGCCCTGGCTGATGCTCCCTCCCTTAATTCCCTGACCAGGGCCCTGGGACCCACCGCACAGCTGAGCTGGCCCGAGCTGAAGAGTTGTTGGAGCAGCAGCTGGAGCTGTACCAGGCCCTCCTTGAAGGGCAGGAGGGAGCCTGGGAGGCCCAAGCCCTGGTGCTCAAGATCCAGAAGCTGAAGGAACAGATGAGGAGGCACCAAGAGAGCCTTGGAGGAGGCGCCTAAGTTTCCCCCAGTGCCCACAGCACCCTCCGGCGCTGAAAATACACGCACCACCCACCAGGAGCCTTGGGATCATAAACACCCCAGCGTCTTCCCAGGCCAGAGAAAGTGGAAGAGACCACAAAGCGCAGGCAATTGGCAGGCAGTGGGGGAGCCAGGGCTCTGCAGTCTTAGTCCCATTCCCCTTTGATCTCACAGCAGGCAGGGCACCCAGGCCTTATAGGAATTCACCCTGGACCATGCCCTAAAATAACCTCACCCCAAATACAATAAAGGGACGAAGCACTTATAGATACCACAGACACATGTGTTTCATTTTTAGTTTTGTTAAAAAAAAATTCTGACAAATCAGAAATGGGGGTTCAGGAGTGGTGGTGATGCAAAAGATGGAAGCCATGGGGTGGGGGCTGTCAGGGGTGGGGGCAGTAGTGTCTCCTTCACCCCCACCCTGGTGTCCTCTCCTGAAGGACAGACGGTCACATTCCAAAATGGGCGAGTCTTCTACCGTGTCTGTTCAACTGAGAAGAAAACGTAGCATGGTCAGAATAAGGCATGAAAAGGGGAAAGTGAGGCAGGAACACACGGCACACATGCAGACACTGGTGTACTGCCTGGGTTCAGAGGACGGACGTGGGGGTGAGGGAAGGGATGTAATATGATGAGAGAAGACAAGACACCCCACATAAAGGTCAGAAAAACATCCCAACACAGCATCAAAGACCAGGGGGCATGAACCAGTCAAGTGTCCATTATGCATCAGATGCCCATGACCTATGTGATGGGATTTCGGACAAACACACTAAGGAACAGGGAGGACCTAAAGGGTTTCATGAGATCAGTACTCACTGTAGGAGGAGATGTCTATCTCATCAGGCAGCTCACTAATATTGACCTCAAAGCGATCCTGCACATCATTGAGGATCTTGGCATCATTCTCATCGGACACAAATGTGATAGCCAAGCCCTTGGTGCCAAACCGGCCTGCTCTGGCCACCTGGAGGGAGACAGAGGGTAGCACTGGAAGACCGAAGAGGAAAGAGACCCAGAGGCAGGAATGAAGATGTACAAACAGAAAACAAGGGAATGGGAGAGTGGGATTTTTTCAGCCTGTGAGGTTTACCCGATGCAGGTAGGTGTCAGAATCCTCAGGCATGTCATAATTAAAAGCAATGTTCACCCGCTCGATGTCCATGCCTCGGCCAAATAGGTTGGTAGCCACAAGAATTCGTCGTTGAAAATCTTTAAACTGCTGATACCGAGAAAGCCTTTGTGAGAAAGGAAATTTAAAACATGTTGAGATTCCCTTCTCTCAACTGTCTTTTTCTCCCAAGGACACAAAATATCTTTCCCATCTTCAGCTCACCTCTCCTCCTGGGGCATCCCACGGTGGATGGCAATGGCTGGGAAGTTCTGCTCCACTAGTAGCTGGGCCAAGGCAATGCACCGCTGCACAGACTTCACAAAGATCACCACCTGTTGTGGGGTGGGGTGGGGGGTCGCAAATTGGGGGAATAGGGGTCCATGGTGTGTGAGAGACATTACGTGGGAGAGGGGAGTTTCTAGTAATTACGTTCTCAGGAATTCCTCTTCATTTCTCTTATTCCCCCACTATATATTTAGAGCAGAAAAGGAAATATAACTTTACTTCAGCACTGATTTTTCCCTAAGGAAGCTGGCCTCTGAGGTAGCACAGAGTTCAGAAATCAAAATTGCCAGACATGCTAGGAGATGAGGATGAGATCACCTCATGAAAAAGTGATAAAAAACTAGAATTAAGATCTGGAGGGGTAACTGATATTCCTGCTCACCAAAACATTAAACCTAAGGGAGCTATCCTAATTCTAGAAAGCAGTTTTAAATGCAAATAGACCACTCACAAGTATATTAATTAAACACTTTTTTGAGATGGGGTCTCACTCTGTCCCCCAGACTGGAGTGCAGTGGTGCAATCGCAAGTCACTGCAGCCTCCACCCTCCTGGGTTTAAGAGATCCTTCCACCTCAGCATCCCAAGCAGCTGGGACCACAGGTGCACACCACCACGCCCAGCTACTTTTTTTATTTTTTATTTTTACTATTTGTAGAGACGGGCGTCTCCCTATGTTACCCAGGCTGGTCTTGAAGTCCTGGGCTCAAGCAATGCTCCTGCCTCAGCCTCCCAAAGTACTGGGATTATGGGCATGAGCCACTGCCCTGCACCCAGTCAGAAATGCTTCTCTTGAATAAGCAGTTATTAGAGGAATTAAACATTCAAGAACCCTAACATGCCCCCAAACATCGTTTCAAGACTTTTAACAACTTCCTAAAATCCTTCAAGGACTTTTGGAGACAAGATCTCACTCTGTTGCCCAAGCTGGAGCACAGTAGTGCAATCATAGTTCACTGCAGCCTCAATTTCCTGGGCTCAAGCTATCCTCTCACCTCAGCCACCAGAGTATCTGGGACTACAGGCATACACCACCACACCTGGCTAATTTTTTTCTTCTTTGGTAGTGATGAAGTTTCGCCATGTTGCCCCGACTGGTCTCAAACTCCTGGACTCAAGTGATCCACCTCCCTCAGCCTCCCCAAGTGCTGGGATTACACACATAAGCCACCGTGCCTGGCCAAGGATCTTAATTTTTGAAGTTTATTTTCCTTGAGGTTATTGAGGACATACCCGTGCCAGCCATAGAATAGAAAAGCAGCTCCCACCTTACTCATGCTCAGCCCCTAAGATATTTATACCCTCATTATTCTCTCCCACATCACACATGTGATTTCCTCAATAAAAGTGTACTTAATATCCAGGTTTCTGCTACAGCTGGAGTGCTCCAATGCTCATCCCCCTACTGGACGTCTAACTGACCTGGTTGAACTCAAGGACATCCAGAAGGTCAAAGAGCTTCCGGTTCTTCTCGTTGTCCTTCAGTTTCACGTAGTACTGCTGCAACCCATGCAGCGTCAACTTCGTCTCATCATCCACGAAGATCTCCATTGGCTGGGGGGGAGGAAGGGGGTGGGGAACGGGAGGAGGGCAGAGTGGGGGGGTTAAACCTGGGGGGGTGGAGGAAGTTGATCTCCAATACACCCCATGGGGGGATGGGGAGGAAAGAGAAGATTGAAAACCCCACCCCACTCCCAAAAATACCCACATTTTACTGTGGTCTCTCTCACATTACATCTAATTTCCTTCCTATCAGATGAGTTTTAAGACTGCCCAACTAAAAACTATCATGGGAAAGAAACTGCAAATGAAGTCAAGGAGCAGTGAAACCACCCAATGGCACAGATGCCATTACCTCAAATAGAGGTGGGAGAGGAAAGAAAATGGGAGATGATTCTCAAAGGGAGAGCAAGGACCAAACATCTGGGAAATGATGGGAGGCAGTGACTCAAGGTCAGAATAACTCCATCAGAGGTGCTTCTAAGAACATGGGGTGGGGGGAGGACAACTGCTCCATTTGATTCTCCTACTTCAACTAAGAGAATCTCGTGTGCATTAGCAAAGTGGATGTCTTTTAAGATCAGAATGCTGCAATGGACAGTCAAAATGCCACTTAAGGAGAAACAAAAATTACTCAAGATGAGTTACTTGCCGTCAGACCACAACAGGATAGTTTTAGATGAGACTGGTCTCTTGACTAAGAATTAAACCATCTACAGGTTTACAGGAAAGGTATCAGTAAGTGGTGTTAAAATACCAAATTCAGAGCAGCAGATACACTTTTAAGGGACAGGATCTCACCATGTTGCCCAGGCTGGAGTGCAGTGGCTATTCACTGGCACAATCATAGCACACTATAGCCTCAAATTCCTGGGCTCAAGTGATCCTCCTGCTTCAGTCTCCTGAATAGCTGGGACTACAGGCACACACCATTATACCTCACTGCATTCATCTTTAAAATTAAAAAACCCCCTGAAGGGGAGGAAAGTAACAAAGACAGAAATTACCACAACTCCAAAGCCCAACTTTCCTAACACTTTTTATACTATCCTGGGGGAAGATAGTTAATATGAAGACCCAGAGGACAAAATAGGAAAGGATGCGTGTGTCATGGGAAAAAAACCAGAAGCCCAATCCCAGAAGGCAGGTTTTGTTTTTTGTTTTGTTTTGATACAGGGTCTCTCTCTATCACCCAGGCTGGAGTACAGTGGCACAATTACAGCTTACTGCCACCTCCACGTCCCGGGCTCAAGCAAACCCTCCTGCCTCAGCTTCCCAAGTAGCTGGGACTACAGGCATGCGCCACCACGCCCGGTTTTTCTGGTAGAGACAAAGTCTCACTACACTGCCCCAGCTAGTCTCAAATTCCTGGGCTCAAGCAATCCTCCCACCTTGGCCTCCCAAAGTGCTGGGATTAGAGGTGAGCCACCAGGCCCAGCCAAGGCAGGCTTTCTAAAGAGAAGTTCCATGGCCTCCTTCAAATCTCATTCTAGCCCCAAATACAGCTAAAGAGTGATCATCCCACGGGAAGGAACACTGCAGGGAGGGGAAGAACACACTCCACTGCTTATGCAATTGGCCCCACCTAGCCCCAAACCCTAACAACCACCCGATTACATCCACTTTACCTTTCCTATGTCCCTCTCCTCTGAGTATTAAAAAAAACAAAAAAATTTTTTTAAGAAAAAAAATCTACCACCCCATTCAGGACACCCCTCCCCAACACATATTGGGGGAAACGGGGCACGGCACGCGTTGGGTTCAGGAAAAAAACCGGGAACGGAAAAAGAGGCTGGTTTGGTCCTCAGCTTCCTGGTCAGGTTTCCCCGCGGCCTCCGCTGCCGCCATCCACCGCTGGGTGCCGTCTGCATTCCCTCGCCGCGCCACGGTGCTTCTCTGTTGCCGGCTCACATCAACCGAGGTTCCAGATGGGTGCAAGGAGATGTGGGTGGGAAGGAGTAGGGTATCGGGGATTGAGGTGCCAAAGGCCCCCACCCCTGGAGGTGGGGAAGGGGAGGATTCATTTGTGCTGATGCTCTTCTTTTGGACATGCCCTGCCATCTGTCTGTCCCTCTCTTGCTCTCCTGCCACCGGGAAGTAGGAGTTTTGGTGAGCAGAAGGCTCCAGCTGTACGCTCGATGCCACCTTGAGGGTGCGTGGCTGTAGGGTGCATGTAAGAGACGATGGATGGGTGGGTGGTAGGGCAGAAAAATCCTGCCCTCCCCCAAAGGGAGAAGAGGTTCAAAAATGTTGTGATTTATGAAAAAGTCGAACACTACCCGCTCTCACATTAACCCGACCAAGTCTTCCGGAGTTTCCCTGGCACCCGCGCAGGCCCTAACACTAGCTGTCTCTGCTTCTGTATGTCTCTTCAAGGAGTCATTACTCCCAGTTGGGCACAAGCCGCCTTCTTGGCACTTGAATGACAAGGGAGTCTGAGGAAGAGGGCGAGGAAGGGGAGGAGGCAGCGGGCGGGGAGTGGAGGGAGAGAAGGTAGAAGGGTATTTACATCTTGCATGAACTTGCGGCAGACTGGACGGATCTCTTTGCTCAAGGTAGCACTGAACATCATGACCTGCTTCTCGTGGGGGGTCATGCGAAAAATTTCCTGGACATCCCGACGCATGTCTACAAGAACAAGGAAAAAAATTGTAGGAGAAAATAAGCAGGTATGATAAACAAAGATTAGAGGTAGACTTCCCAGTGAGGTGAAGATTGCTGGAAATAGTAACAACACAATGGAAAGAGCAATGGACTTGGAATCAAGAAGTGGGATCAGATTCCAGCTGTTTGTTTTAACCAAGCAAGAAATAAGGTAAAACCCCAAAGTTCCCAACTATGAAATGGGGATAAAGCCCAGTGCAGAGGCTCTCAAGGCCTTCAAAACATGCTTTATGGGACCTTCTCCCAACCCTTTCCTGCCCAAGCCCCAGCCAGCCTTCAGCAGACTACAAATATCAAGCACATATTATATTCCAGATATCAGAGTCCATCTATGACTCTCTGGATTACTTTTCTATCAAGTCAGGCAAATATGACATCCCTACCTGGAGCCCACCTTTATAGCTCACCATATAGAATTGCCAAAGATCATTTGTAATGACTTATGGGGCCTATGTCCAACCCCACTCTCATTCACCAAGATTCAATTCTTACAGAAAAATCTTCCATTAACCCCACCTGGCACACTAGAATACCACATCACACAAACTGCTACAAACACTCTCTACATTAATCCCAGACCTGAGTCTAGACACTTATTCAGCTATAAATTCTGACTGTAAATGCTGTGCTGGAGATGCCAGAAGGGTACTGTCTTCTCTTTCAGTTTAGAATCTCCGCTATGACTCCCAGTATATGAATCTATAATGAAAACGGTGGTGGTGGTGATGACTTATGCCTAAAATTATCAAAGTCCCCTATTCTCAAAGGTTAAAAACAAAAATCATAGAAAGATGATAGATGACACCCTTTACTGTGCTTAAAAGCATAATAAAGACCAACCAGGGAACCCAGAGCCATCAGTCATGGGTGATAGATAAGAGTCGTCCTTGCACTGAGGTGCTCCTGTTTCAAATAAACATCATTTGGCTCCAAAGAACAACTCCCCAGCATTAGCCAAGCCCCAGCACTGCCACTCACCGAGCTGTTCAAGCATCTTATCACATTCATCCAAAATAAAGTGTTTAATGTGTTTGAGGTTGAGGCTCTTATTTCGAGCCAGGGCTAGGATACGGCCTGGAGTCCCCACGACGATATGCGGGCAGTTCTTCTTCAGCACCTCTTCATCCTTCTTGATAGACAGACCACCAAAAAAAACAGCAACCTGCCGAGCCAGAAGCAAAGAGTCTCAAAACAGAGGAAGGAAAGAGTCCAATCCCCCCAGGGTTCCCACTCTGTTTGAGCTAAACCAATTTTTAGCATGTTTCCAAACTAAAACTAACTTTAGAGGGCACCTAATTTAAAAATTTTATGTCCCCCCCACCAAACACTGAGGGTGATTGCCTAAAGTTACATGGCTAGTCGGAGCAGTCAGGACAATAATTCAGTTCTACTGACTTAATCTAACCAACTTCCTTCATTTATGAGGCCAGGCTTCATTTAAAAAATAAAGGAGCCAGGTGTGGTGGCACACGCCTATAATTCCAGCTACTCAGGAGGCTGAGGCACGAGAACCTGGGAGGCAGAGGTTGTGGTGAGCCAAGATCCCACCGTTGTACTCCAGCCTGGGCAACAAGAGTGATACTCCATCTCAAAAAGAAATAAAATAAATAAAAATAAAATAAAGCCAGGCCCAGTGGCTCACGCCTGTAATCCCAGCAGTTTGGGAGGTCAAGGAAAGTGGATCACTTGAAGCCAGGAGTTCAAGACCAGCCTGGCCAACACGGTGAAACCCCATCTCTACTAAAATACAAAATTTACAAATTTACTACTAAAAAACAAAAAATACAAAATTTAGCCGGGAGGCTGAGGCAGGAGAATCGCTTGAACCCGGGAGGTGGAGATTGCAGTGAGGCGAGATTGAGCCACTGTACTCCAGCCTGGATGACAGAGCGAGACTCCATCTCAAAAAATAAAAAATAAATAAATAAAGGACAGCAAGAAATCACCAGATTAGTGTAAAGTACCACAAAAAACACATGGAACATTAAGGTTTCCTAAATAAACCCAGAATCTCAAACTCTTTTCACACAAACCCCATGAAATTACTGCTTCGGGCTAAATATTATCATTTCATGTTAAAACCATTAGGTGAATAGTTGTTTGGGGATCTGGGCCTTGGTACAGTATCAAATAACACCAGAAACTACTTTCTGGTTTCAAGGGGGAAAAGAACAACTGTGGAATCAGACTGTCACGACGCTAATCCTATGGTAAATCTAAAATCATTAATGAGGCCAGGTGCAGTGGCTCACTCCTGTAATCCCAGCACTTTGGGAGGCCGAGGTGGGTGGATCACTTGAGGTCAGGAGTTCGAGACCAGCCTGGCCAACATGGCGAAACCCTGTCACTACTAAAAAAAAACAAAAATTAGCCAGGCATGATGGCACACTGTAGTCCCAGCTACTCGGGGGGTTGAGGCGGGAGAATCGCTTGAACGTGGGAGGCGCAGGTTGCAGTGAGCTGAGATCGCGCCACTACACTCACAGCCTGAGGGACACAGCGAGACTCCATCTCAAAACAAATAAATAAAAATAAAATAAAATAACTAACATAAGTCGACCAGATTTGTGGCATAACAGGAGATACAGTATCACCTATGAAGGATTCTTGCCAAAAATGCTTAACTTCAATCAGATTTTTTCTTTTTTTTTGAGATGGGAGTCTCACTCTGCCACCCAGGCTGGAGTGTAATGGCACAATCCCAGCTCACTACAACCTCTGCTTCCTGGGTTCAAGCGATTCCCCTGCCTCAGCCTCCCAAGCAGGTGGGACTATAGGTGTGTGCCACCATGCACGGCTAATTTTTGCATTTTTAGTAGAGAGAGGGTTTCATCCTGTTGGCCACATTGGTCTTAAACTCCTGACCTCAAATAATCCACACGCCTTGGCCTCCCAAACTGCTGAGATTACAGGTGTAAGCCATTGTGCACTTGGCCAGAATCCTCAATATTCACACACCACTGGAGCTGTTTTAAAGTTTCCGGCTTTCTCTGCCACATACCCCAAAATTATTAAACTGATATGATTCAAAGTCAGTATAAAGTAGTAAGAAAAGGGTGGTCTTGTGTTAAGCATCATCCATAGCCCAATTACGAATCCTCCTGTTACATAGGAACTCAACACTCTGTTACACCACAGCAAACTAAAGCTTCTCCAAAATTAAAGAGACTATTGGCCTACAAGTTTCTTATCCCTCCAACTTGCCACACCCTCACTCTCAGGTCTCTTTACCTTGGCTTACCTTGACATTGGGCATGTATTTAGAGAAGCGCTCATATTCCTTGCTGATCTGAAAAGCCAACTCCCGAGTGTGACACATCACCAGTACAGACACCTTAGGCAGGAAGTAGACGGAGACATATGGTAAATGTAGCTCTTCATTATCCCCTCTAGGGAAGTGACTGTCACAAAAACACACCTGGGCCGATAATAAATGACTTCAATTATGTGATCTAAATCATGAACCCCACGCTTGCGACAGAACATCCCCCACAGCTGTCAGGTTGTCAAGGGTAACAGAGGTCATGTGCTCATGGCTCTGCAAGCATCATGTAGCTAGGACAAAAACACCCTTCCCTTATAGTCCTAACCAAAATCCCCTCCCCAGCACTCTCCCCAAATATACCTGCCCAGTAACTGGCTCCAGCTGTTGCAGTGTGGCCAAGACAAACACTGCTGTCTTTCCCATGCCCGACTTGGCCTGGCACAGGACATCCATTCCCAGAATGGCCTGAGGGATGCACTCATGCTGGACTAAAAGTTGGGGGGGGAGGAAGATAAATTAGACTTCAGTCTCCAGATAACTCTACCTTTTTCACCATGCCAAGCCCATTTCTTACCACTCAATTCTCAAAGTCTAGTATTTACCTGGTTCTTGCCAACTTCCAGACCCATTTTACCTCTCTCTGCTCAATTACATTCACCTCAAAATCAGACTCTCCTAATTCCTCCTAGCTTTAGCCTCCTCCAGATCTAGGCCTTCCCAGTCCTAGTAACAAACCCCTTGCATCTACCAACCGCTCACCTTCAATGATCCTAGCTCTGTCCTTATTTTTCTTAATCTGTAACAATTCATGACATTTGAATACCTGCCACAGACCACTTCTCCTGCTTAGGTTGCTATACTTCGGGTCACGTAACTACTACAACCCTGGACAAAATGAAGGACTTGGTACCTGACCCAGAAGCCAGTCATCTCTAAACCAGTCATAGAGGTTTCCAGAGACCACAGTTGGCCTGGCCCAACAGAGGGAGACTACAGGTCCAAGCAGGACCTTTCTGGAAATTTAAAATTAGAAGTCAAGTGACAAAATTAAAAATAAGCAGACAAGAAAAGCCAGTCACAAGAATGAATGGCAGACCTGGAAGTCACTTTTGGATCATTAGCACTTTGGTGCTATCACGAAAGAAAGAATAAGCCTGTATAAGCCTCCTCTATCCAAAATTGTTTTTGATACTTATCCCCTGATTTTTTCTTCCTCACTGTCGCCCCGGCTGGTGCACAGTGGTGCAATCACGGCTCACTGAAGCCTCAACCTTCACCTGCTTAATTTCTGAACGTTTTGTAGAGACAGGAGTCTCGCTGTGTTGCCCAGGCTTCTCTTGCACTTTTGAGCTCAAGTGGCCACCCTCCTGCCTCGGCCTCCCAAAGTGCTGGGATTACAGGCGTGAGCCACTGCACCTGGCCCTGATCTAGCCTTAAGTATAAACCCTTACCACCACCTGAGCAACGACAAACACATCTTTGTATTGTACCCTTAAAGAGCCCAATGAGCACTACATGCCCAAGAGAAAATTTACCTTCTGACGGATGCTCAAAGCCACAGTCGACAATGGCCCGGAGCAACTCTGGCTTGAGCAGGAAGTCACGAAAGCCAGAGCTGTGGATGGAGACATAGGAGCCCTTGACATCCTTCTTGGCAGGGGCCTCAGCCCCATCTCCCCCAGCTGCTGTCTCCACCTCATCATCTTCATAGTCCAAGAGCTCATTGTCCACATCGTTCTCTGCCATAACTGGGCCGGCAGGGGAAGAAGGGAAGGGGGATCTGGATGGGTTCTCGCAAAATAGGTGAAAACAAGGGGTGAAGAGTAGGGGATTGAGGAACAGCAAAGGAAAACAAAGATACTATTTCTAACAGAAGAGCTGGAGGGGGGAAAAAAAAAAGCAAGACTTAATCACGAGCACAGCCTTCACCACCTCTTTTCCATCCCCAGTTCCCACTTTCCCTAAACCAGGAAACTTTTACCTGGAAAGAAAAACAGATACAAAACATAAAAACGAAAAGCAAATATAACAGAACAGAAAAAGCAGTACCAGGGAAAGTGGTTAGGACAGAGGTTCCCAACAAGATTAGCAATCACAGTAGCGGAAACCAGAAAAGTTGGAAGGGGAAGACCAACTTATAAATTCTTGATCTGAAAGTAACAGTGAGGAAATAGAATAGATAATAAAAGGTAAAATACGACTAATAACTTAGTAAAGTGGAAAATGGAGATGACAAGTAGAGTCCTGAAAAGTCCTCAAAGGAAGACTCCGCTTTCCCTATTATAATCCCACCGTTATGGATGCCTAACTCAGCAGCCATCAGTCAAGGGTGATAGATGAGGGTCATCACTGCGCAAAGCGCTCACCTTTCGAAAAGAAAACATCATATGGCCGCCGTCCACCTCCCATAGCTCTCAGCCTCCCACTTCTCAGTATCCTCCCTTCCGCTGTTTAAGCAAGCCTTGTGTAATTAGCATGGGGGGGAGGGGCGGTGCAAGACAAATGGCTCGGCCACAAAAAAACAAAATTCATGTCTCCACCCTACAATAAGAAAGCTAATAGGTGACAGAGAAAGGCAATCCCCGCCCAGGCTTTAACAGGATCTTTACCAAGTGGTCTCACATCACTGTTACGCTACGAAGGTGAGACTCCTTTTGGAGAAACATACAATGACACCAATCGTATCGTAAACACTTGGAAGGCACTCCAAATTAAGTTGGGCAAGTCAAGGTGAGAAAAATCCAACTGGGCCCAGAAACCAGCTCCTCCTCCCAGTCCCACCGAGGGCCGAGAAAGAGCTCAAGAAAGGACAAGGAAGGTGAGAAGAGCCCCGCCCTCCGCAAATACCAAGACCAAGGGACGCCGAGCGCCGCCTCTCATTGATGCTGAGGCCTCCAATATGAGAAGAACCCATTGGAAGAAGGGAGCAAAACGAACACAATGGCGCCGAGGACACCATCTTGGATTGGGTCCCCCCTTAGCTTCCCTTCCTTCCCCCAGGAGCTCTTTGCTCTCGAAAGGGATGCAAGCTAAGGAAATAGCGAACCAACTAGGCCCCAGCGACCAGACCATCGCCTGTGAAAAGGGTATCAGGAACCCATGTGACGGGATGGGTGCGGAGAAGCGCAGATGGAAACGGATTGTAGCGAAGGCCAAAGCTTACCTAAACAGGGAGAGCGCGTATGGCGGCAGCAACAGCGACGAAGGAGGGAAATCTGCCTTCACTTCCGGTTGCAGGCTTCCCTCTACTCCAGCCTCCCGCCTTCTTGGCTGCAAGAGCGCAGGCGCAAGGGACCGGAAACAGGGCCTTCCGCGGTTATACAGATCCGTGCGCTCCAGGCTTGCCTTTGGAAAATGCCTGTCTGAAATTTGTTTTAAAACCGTTTCTAACTTCACTGCTACCGCCAGTAACAAAAGATATAAAGGAAACTAACGTCTCCCCCCCACTGTTATCTTTATTCTCTTATCCTACTCCTCTCCATGCCCCTCATCTCTTCGTTTAGGTTTTTGCCACGCAGGTCTTCTCTGTAGGCACCCCTCCATGGATGCGCGAGGAACGAGTGTGGCGAAGGCTGCGAGTTCCCACGGGGTCCTTGGCCCGGTAGTGAAGGTGACCTGAGGACTGCTGGGCACGCACTAGGAACCGGCAGGCCCTAGCTGAGGGGAGGGAGGAGGGAAGTCTCAGGGAACTGGATTGCTCGGGGGTGTTTCCCGACTCTTTCCCAGTCGTGGGGCTGGTGGGCGGTATTTTCCCAAAAGGATGCTGTCCGAGGTAGCTGATGCCCTAGGGCCAGTGAGTCAGGAAGGTGTTCTGAATCCGAGCGGGAAGACGGGGTCTGGATTCGGCCCCAAGTGTTAATAGTAGGGCTTGAGGGTTATACTACATTCCATTAATACTGTTTTTGTTTTTGTTTTGAGACAGAGTCTCGCCCTGTCGCCCAGGCGGGAGTGCAATGTCCTGATCTCGGCTCACTGCAACCGCTGCTTCCCGGGTTCAAGCGATTCTCCTGCCTCAGCCTCCCGAGTAGCTAGGATTACAGGCGCCCGCCACCACGCCCAGCAAATTTTTGTTTTTTTAGTAGAGACGGGGCTTCACCCATGTATGACCTCAGGTGATCCACCCACTTCGGCCTCCCAGAGTGCTGGGATTACAGGCGTGAGCCACCGCGCCCGGCCCATTAATACTGTTAATTCGAGCAGAATGTTCTTGGCCCCGCCCCAACAGCCCCATTGTTCAACCTGGATTTTTTTCCTGAATGAAACATTTGCTATCCCCGTCTTTGAGATGGGGAGCTACAAAAGTAAGACCTGATGTCCTGCTGTGTAATAAAACAACAAACGTTTGGCCCTCTCCCTGTTAACATACTTAATCATTTAATACTAAGGAGTAGGTACCGTTATTCTCATCTTATTGACAGAAGCGAAGCAAAGCAACATATCTCAAGCAGTACGGCTGGTGAGGTTACAGCCAGGATGCAAACATCTCTCATTCTCTATTGTATTCTGCCTCCCTGCTCAAAGAATCTGGTTAGTAAATACACTGCAGGTTACCTTATTGGTTCAAATTCTTGGTGAAGTAAGCTTGTCTTCAGTGACAAATGAAGTAACTAATTCAAGAATGGTGTCATAGAAGGTATTTTCCCAAGTATCATTTAATTTATTCAAAAGTATTTATCAACTGCCTCCCTTGTGCCACATGTTGTCCTAGGATCTGGGGACACAACGGTGAACAGCCCTGTTCTCACAGTGTTTACATTACAGGAAAGAAAACACATAAACACAAATATAATGTCAAGTATCGATAAGTGGTCAGGGTGCAGTGGCTCAGGCCTGTAACCCAACCCTTGAGGAAGCCGAGCCCGAAGGATTGCTTGAGCCCAGGAGTTTCAGACCAGCCTGGGCAAGTGAGACCCCATCTCTACAAAAAATTTTAAAATTAGCAAGGCATAGTGGCACTCGCCCGTAATCCCAGCTACTCAGGAGGCTGAAGTGGGAGGATCATTTGAGTCCAGGGGGTCAAGGCTGCCGTGAGCTGGAACTCCAGCCTGGGCAACACAGCAGGACCTTGTCTCAAAAAACCAGTAGCAGTAAGTGCTATGAAGAAAATGCAAGGTAAAGGGGCAAAGAGCACTTGCTCCTACACTCCAGCTTTTCTCTACAGTTGCGATCTATAGTCCTCAGATTCCCAAATGAGGAACCATGTTTCTCACTTTAGAGAAATAATAAAGTACTACTTGTTCTTGTTTCTCCAAGAAGTTTCAAAGGATAGCCATTTGGGCTGTTTAGGGAATATGTAAACAAAAAACAAGAAAGTGACTGAAGGCCAGGCACAGTGGCTCACACCTCTAATCTCAGCACTTTGGGAGGCCAAGGCAGGTGGATCACTTGAGGTCAGGAGTTTGAGACCAGCCTGACCAACATGGCGAAACCCCATCTCTACTAAAAATACAAAAAATAGCCAGGCGTGGTGGCACACACCCATAATTCCAGCAACTTGGGAGGCTGAGGCAGGAGAATCGCTTGAACCTGGGAGGCAGAGGTTGCAATGAGCTGAGATCACGCCATTGTATTCCAGCCTGGGCAACAAGAGCAAAACTCCATCTCAAAAAAAAAAAAAACAAAGTGACTGAAAATGAGAAATGATGAGGCAAAAGGAGGCTGCTTCAACTCACCAATTTATTTGCCAATAATTATTTTATTGATACTTTTTTTATTGTTACAATGGGAAAGTAAGGTGTCAAGGATATAGAAAGGAAGGGCATGCATATGAGGGAACACAGTATCATTTTAGATCTTAGAAAGCAATGAGCATCTGATAAGTCTTTGGGGAAATAGGAAAGGAGGAAAATCTAATAAAGACAAAGATCAGCAAAAGAAAAACAAAGAGAGGCTACAAAATGCAGTTATCTACCTGGAATTATAAGAGAGGGGCTAAATGTAGTCATCTCCTCTTTTTGGAGATCAGAAGGTCTCTGGGAAAAGAGAAGAACCAATTTTTCAGAAAATAACTAGGGTCACAGAATGAACAAGTGGAATTAGAGAGCCAGTGATGGACGTGAGGAAACAGCTGTGTAGGTTTTGACCAGTGAGCAGGTGGTGGTAATAGTATCACAGGGTTGCTACTTACTGAATCACTGCTACAACATGCAAGGAACTGTGCTAGACTTTACAGAATGATTCCTAATCATTGAAGCAACCCTCACAAGGTAGGCATTATTATCATCCCAGTTTCACAGAGGAGGACATCGAGGCTACCAAGTTAAGTAGCTTGTCCTGGTTTCACAGCCAGCAAGTGACAGGGTCAAGAGAGGGACCCACATCGGCCAGACACTGAAGTCAGGATGTTTTCCACATTCCTACTTCCCCATATTACAAATTTCACAGAGGGTTTAGGTGAGAATGACTTGGAAGTTTACAAAGTCCCAGTGAGGGTTAAAGAACAACAAGGAGATTCAGATGTGAGCAGGATATTTATAAGTGTCACAGGAAAATTATTGGATCCTGCCTCCCAGGATTTCTAGGGGATGGAAAGAAGACAGGGATTATGGTGGGAGGTGATTTTGATTGGAGGATTTCTTTGAGGGAGGGAACTGGCAGAAGGAGTCAGGCCCTACGGTGGCCCTAGGCAGAAATCCGGTAGTTGGGGTGGACCTGGGGCCTGACGTCGCAGACCATGCCAAGAAGCTGGGCCAGGACACGCTCTCGGTTTCTCTGCTGGGAGCTCTGCATGCCCTGCACCTGGCGCCTTGTAGCCTGCTCCACCTCAGCAGACAGGTTCCCCTGGGAGCCCATGGCCTGGGGGGTAGGGAGAGGGGTGGAAGAGAGAAAGGGAAAAGCAGAAACAGACAAGGGTCCAGGCATATGAGGGGAAAGATCCTGAAACAAAGCCTAGAAGAAAGGCCCTCTCAGAAACCACCCCCATCCCACAGAAATATCCCAACACCAAAGAGATCAACACAGTCCCCTTTCCCCTTAGACCTAACATGCAACTTCATCCTAAAACAGACCGTAATATCCCCACCACCTCACCATCCATGACCATAAAACTCTACCCTCCACCACAAATGTTAATCATACTCCACATAGATGTTATACTTTACACAGACTGTGGCATTCCGCCCACAAGCTCTATGTGGCCTTCAAAACTCCCAGACTCTCCTACATATCATCACAAAGTTTCACCAATGTTGTGGTCCCTGCCAGGGTCCCCTCAGCCTCAGCCCTCTGCCACCATATTTTCTTGTTGAGTCACCCTTACACACCTCACTAGATGCACCCACCAACTTGCAGTGGGGTCTCAACCCGACTCTGCCTCAACTCACCGCCTGCTGCTTGCTCTGGAATTCGTGCTCTCGCTCTCTGCGGTATTGCTCCACCTCCATCTGTGCCTCCTCCTTTGCCTGCTTCAGTCGCCGGGCCTTCCCTGGAGGCAGAAGAAAGGACAGTGAGTGGGGATGGACCCACACACACACAATGTAATAGCAGGAGTCAGTCCCTTCCAGAAAGTTATACAGCCTTCTCTCAGCCAACCAGGTGCCAGATTCTAATATCCATCCATTTCTTCCCTCCTAACCAGCCTCCAGACCCTAGCTGTCTGTCTTCCCGCCAGCCTTGGGTTTTCCCAAAATGTTTGCTGTCCCCCACCCCCAATTTTCTTTCCAAACTCCTAAGGGAGGAAAGAGGAGACTCACTCTTTCTGGCATCTGCCACCTTCTCAGCTGCCCGCTTCTCAGCTTGCAGAAGCTGCTGGATACCTTGGGACTGACTGGCCATTTCTGTTGTTATGGCCGATGCTGTTTTGAATGCTGTCAAAGTACCAGATGGCTCCCACCCCCCACCGCTTACTTCTCCTCCTCCAGCTCGTTGCTGCAGTCCTCCACTACCCCTGGGTCTTAGTGCTCCCCTGCTCACTCAGCCTCCTGCACCGAGTGTCTCTCCCAATCTCATCCTCCTATTGATGACTGGTCCTCCTCTCCAGCACTTCTTGCTCAGGCAGTACCCAAAGGGGCCGCCTGGGAGCAGCAGAGACCAGGCCCAAAGCTGCGGGCTTACAACAGGTTAGCCATCCCAGTCGGAAAGGTCTAGGGATGAGGCAGGGGCGGAGACGGGGGAGTACTGAGGTGAGAGAAGGAGAACTTGATTGGTGGTAACAGAGGAAGCATAAAGGGTTGTGAATGCGGTGAAAAGGTAAGGATGTCATCATGCAACCTGTGTTGGGAAAAGAGCATTCTGGGCTTAATTCTAAACTAACTCTCTACCTTTCTCTCTCTCTCCACCATCCCGCCCCCTCCCCTGCCTCCCGTTGTTAACATCTCCATCTTTTTCTACATATTTCTCAAGTCCAAATTTTTGCATCTCACTTGCCCCATCCTACGATAGTCTTCTTCCGTCTTTTGTCTGTATTTTTTCTTTTTTTTTGATCTGTCCCTGTTGTTGTCCCACTGTGGTTTTTGTTTTTGTTTTCCATGTTTAATGTGATTTTTATCCTGTCTTTATCTCCTCTATTTTCTCTGTCTTCTCATCTTTTCGTCCATCACTGAACCATCTCCTCTCTCTGCCAAGTTAGAGGAGGCGGGAAAAAACCTCCAAATAACTCTCTTTTCTCCCTCCCCTCCCCTCGCCTCCTTTTCCTCGCCTCCAGTCCAGTCTTCTGGTTTCAGACGGCCCCTTTAATTTAAGTTCCCTAGTTTCCCCTGGGAGATCTGGCCAAGAACTACCCGGTCGGGGCGGAACGACATCCGGTAACGCCCCTCACAGTTCACTTCCGTCCTCCACCTGCGTCTCTGCTTGCGCCATTTCCTCCAGCCTGGAGTGTCTCCGCCCTTCCCGCCTCCCGTCTCCGAGCTTCTTAAACACAGGCCTTGGGCCTACGGCTCTGGGGGTACTTGGGGGGGCGGGGGCAGGTCTGATGAGTAACCCCTCCCCCCAGGTTCCAGAGGAAGAAGCCTCCACATCTGTCTGCCGGGTACATGATATTCAATTTCTAGATCATTATTGGAGATTATCTGTGACTTTTTAAAACTCAGATTTCTGCTGATAAAAATTTTCCCCATCCGGCCCTGTTGGGTTTTTTTAAAGTTCTTTGTTAAAAATTAAAAATTTACCTGGGCTCCTGAGCCTTAAACCAATTATTTACCCTTTTCTCGAATTTTACATTAAAAAAATTAAACCTCTGATCCTATCACCCCCCTCAAAAAAAATTTTTTTTCAAATCTATCATCTGATAAAGGATCAGGGTTAGGTTAGGCCTCATCTCTTGCTGAAGATATTAAAAAAAGACGGAACCAAAGGGAGAAACAACAGGGGATGTCAGAGATGGAGGGAGAAGGACCAGCCAAGGCTGAAGTCCTGACTGCTGCCTTTTTTCCTTCCCCAGCCCAAGAGTTCCATGGCCTCCACTTCCCGCCGCCAACGCCGAGAACGTCGCTTTCGTCGTTACTTGTCTGCAGGACGGCTGGTCCGGGCCCAGGCCCTCCTCCAGCGACACCCAGGCCTCGATGTAGATGCTGGGCAGCCCCCACCACTGCACCGGGCCTGTGCCCGCCACGATGCCCCTGCCCTGTGCCTGCTGCTTCGGCTCGGGGCTGACCCTGCCCACCAGGACCGCCATGGGGACACGGCACTGCATGCTGCTGCCCGCCAGGGCCCAGATGGTGAGTCTGCTCAGTGGGGAACAAGGTCATAAGCAGCTGACCAGACCTGAAATGAAAGCCAACCAATAGTTGAGAAATAAGCTGGTTATTTGGTCATCAGGACCTAGGGAAGGAGTTAACCAAGTTGGCATGTGGCTGTCATTTGTCCCTTTACATTACTGAGCTACCATTGTCTGAAGAACCCAACATTCCCCAAAGATCAACTGGTCTTCAAATTTCACATCTGTTTAGATTAGTAGCTACTTTGTTTCTTGACAGATTGTTTGCTCGTAGCCAAAAAGTAGCATAGAAGGTAGGCTCTGGAGTTAGATTGCCTGGATTCAAACCCCAGCTCCAAATCCCAGCTCCACACTTCATAGCTACGTATTCTTGGACAGGTTACTTGAGGCTTAGTTTGCCCATGTGTAAAAATTAAAATAATAACAACCTTTGCTATGTGCCAGACATTTCTTATAAAGTAACACATTTAATCCTCACAACAATCTTAGGAGGTGAGTACTGATATTATCCCCCATTTCCCAGCTGAGGAAACAGGGCATAGAGAAGTCATTTGCCAGAGTTACAGTTATTCACTGGTAGAGCAGAGATTATAACCCAGATGGACTAGATAGAGTGTCCATGCTTTTAACAGCTACATTGTCCTGTGTTATACATTATAGCATTGTACATTGATTGTGCCCATGTTCAGAGTACCCATGTTGTGCCATATATGTTTTGAGAATCAACTGACATAGTACATAATTAGAGTACCTGGCACACACGATAAGCACTTGGTATATGCTGGCGATTGTTGTTCCTGTTTCTCTGTTTTTTGTTTTTGTTTTTGTTTTTTATGAAGTTTCACTCTTCTTGCCCAGGCTGGAATGCAATGGTGCGATCCTGGCTCACTGCAACCTCTACCTCCCAGGTTCAAGTGATTCTCATGCGTCAGCCTCCCAAGTAGCTAGGATTACAGGCGCATGCCACCACGCCCAGCTAATTTTTATATTTTTAGAAGAGATGGGTTTTCGCCATGTTGGACAAGCTGATCTCGAATGCCTGACCTCAGGTGATCCACCAACCTCAGCCTCTCAAAGTGCTGGGATTACAGGTGTGAGCCACCACACCTGGCCTTGTTCCTGTTTTTGTTATCAACAGGTCCATACTCCCTTAACCACAATTCTAAACTCAAAAACACTCTGAGAACCAACATTTTTCATCAGGCTGCCACCAAAATTCATTTGGTGACAGAAACCTAATCTGAACTAAAGTAAGACTATTATTTATTTTCATCCTACTGATGTCAATATTCATACATTTCCCTGCAGAAACACTCATGTGTTTGGTTCTTGGGCTGCCTAGGCCCTCCTGGGCTACCTAATATAGAGTGAGTGTACTTTTAGGTCAGCCCTATCAAGTCCCAAAAACATTTGAATTCTGCAAAACCTTTGGCACTGAAGGATTCAAATGGGGAACCTGGTGATATTATAATAGTGGTGGAGGCCAGGTGCGGTGGGTCATGCCTGTAATCCCAGCACTTTGGGAGGCCAAGGCAGTCAGATCACGAGGTCAGGAGTTCGAGACCAGCCTGACCAACATAGTGAAACCCCCATCTGTACTAAAAATACAAAAATTAGCCAGGCATGGTGGCACACACCTGTAGTCTCAGCTACTTGGGAGGCTGAGGCAGGAGAATCACTTGAACCCGGAAGACAGAGGTTGTGGTGAGCCGAGATTGCACTACTGCATTCCAACCTGGGCAACACAGCAAGACTCCGTCTCAAAAAAAAAAAAAAGAGTGGTGGAAGCAGCTCTTTATAGGTAGAGCCCTGCTTACTAGAATAAAAGCTGAAACCTTCTTTCCCCATCTAGAGATTTCCTTCTGGAGTAAGAACATTACAGGAAAACCTCTAGATCCAGATGAACAACCCTAACATCCCCCAGCTCAAGTATAGACAGAAGGCCCCTCCCCCAAAACTCCCCCAAATGGTCAAAAAACCCCCTATTTAAAAATTTCCTTTAACGTACCTGAGATAGGCTAGCATATTCAGATTTGTTTCTTGTTGTTTTTACTTAAAACAGAGTAGGTTTACTGAGTGCAGGCATCTAACTTGACAGCTCATATTGTAAGAGGCAGGACCCTGGAAGGCAAAAGAGCGGATTACCCCGAAGCAGACCTGCATCCAGACCCCAGCTCTGCCATCAACAGGGACATGCAGCTTACCTCTGTGAGCCCAATTTGCCTCGCAAAAATGGGAGTTTTGTTTTTTGTTTTGTTTTGTTTTTTTGAGATGGAGTTTCCCTGTTGTTGCCCAGGCTAGAGTGCAATGGCGCGATTTCAGCCCACCTCAACCTCTGCCTCCTGGGTTCAAGAGATTCTCCTGCCTCAGCCTCCCAAGTAGCTGGGATTACAGGCATGCACCATCACGCCCGGCTAATTTTGTATTTTTGGTAGAGACGGTTTCTCCGTGTTGGTCAGGCTGGTCTCAAACTCCCGACCTCAGGTGACCTGCCAGCCTAGCCTCCCAAAGTGCTGGGATTACAGGCGTGAGCCACCGCGCTCAGCCAAAATGCCCCTGATAGTGTGGTAGGGATTTCCTTTATTGTTTGTTTGCTTGTTTGTTTTGAGACAGGGTCTCATTCTGTCTCCCAGCCTGGAGTGCAGTGGTGCAATCATGGCTCACTGCAGCCTCTACCTCGTGGGCTCAAGCAGTCCTCCCACCTCAGCCTCCCTAGTAGCTGGGACTACAAGCACACACCACCATGCCCAGCTAATTGTTTGTATTTTTGGTAGAGACTGTTTTGCTATGTTATCCAGGCTGTTCTGCATCTCCTGAGTTCAAACAGTCTGCCCACCTCGGCTTCCCAAAGTGCCGGGACTAGAGGCGTGAGCCACCACACCCAACTCCATTGTATTGAATTTTAAGAAGCTGGTGAGACTGATATTATCCCATTTACAGATGAGGAAAGCAGGGCCCAAAAGGTTCGGGAACTTGTCTGAAATCTCACAGCTCTCAGGTCATTGTCTTCCAAAGGGGGACCCAAGCTCAGTGCCTTCACTCCCAGACCCTGGTGTCCTCTCTGGCCTTATTTACTCCTGGTCCTCTGCCAGCCCTGCCACCAGATGGCCTTCTAACTCCTTGGTTGAAAGGCCCATCTCATTCAGCTTCCAGCTTCCTTTTTCTTTTCCTTTTGAGACGGAGTCTTGCTTTGTCGCCCAGGCTGGAGTGCAGTGGCATGATCTCGGCTCACTATAACTTCTGCTTCCTGGGTTCAAGCGATTCTCCTGCTTCAGCCTCCCAAGTAGCTGAGATTACAGGCACACACCACCATGCCCAGCTAATTTTTTTATTTTTATTTATTAATTTTTAAATTTTTATTTGTTTATTTATTTTTGAGACGGAGTCTCCCTCTGTTCCCCAGGCTGGAGTGCAGTGGCAGTATCTTGACTCACTGCCACCTCCGCCTCCTGGGTTCAAGTGATTCTCCTTCCTCAGCCTCCTGAGTAGCCGGGACTACAGGAGCCTGCCACCATGCCCGACTAACTTTTGTATTTTTAATAGAGATGGGGTTTCACCATGTTGGCCAGACTGCTCTCGAACTCCTGACCTTAGATGATCCACCTGCCTCGGCCTCCCAAAGTGCTGGGATTACAGGCATGAGCCACCATGCCCGACCTAATTTTTGTGTTTTTAGTAGAGATGGGGTTTCAACATGTTGGCCAGGCTGGTCTCAAACTCCTGACCTCAAGTGATCCACCCACCTCAGCCTCCCAAAATGTTGGGATTATAGGCATGAGCCACCGTGCCCATCCCACAGAATGTCTTTTGGTTTTGTTTTTGTTTTCTGTTTTGTTTTGTTTTGTTTTGTTTGAAAAGGAGTCTCATTCTGTCGCCCAGGCTGGAGTGCAGTGGCACAATCTCGGCTCACTGCAACCTCCACCTCCCAGGTTCAAGAGATTCTCCTGCCTCAGCCTCCCAAGTAGCTGGGACTATAGGCGTAGGGACTGTAGGCGTATGCCACCACGCCTGGCTAATTTTTTGTATTTTTAGTAGACACGGGGTTTCACCATGTTAGCCAGGATGGTCTCGATCTCTTGACCTTGTGATCTGCTCACCTCAGCCTCCCAAAGTGTTGGGATTACAGGCGTGAGCCACAGCGCCTGGCCAAAATGTTTTTATGTTTATTTTTCTTAGTATGAAACTCCAGCGTATTAAAGAGCATTGAGAACGGTTGATCTGGTAAATCGCTATAAAGGCGGCATTTCTTTTTTTTTTTTTTTTTTTTTTTTTTTGGCGAAGTGGGGGATGGAGTCTCATTCTGTCGCCCAAGCTGGAGTGCAGTAGTGTGATCTCGGCTCACTGCAAGCTCCGCTTCCCAGGTTCAAGCCATTCTCCTGCCTCAGCCTCCCAAGTAGCTGGGATTACAGGCGCCCGCCACCACGCCCAGCTAATTTTTTGTATTTTTAGTAGAGACAGGGTTTCACTGTGTTGGCCAGGCTGGTCTCGAACTCCTGACCTCATGATCCGCCCGCCTCGGCCTCCCAAAATGCTGGGATTAGAGGCGTGAGCCACCGCGCCAGGCCTAAAGGGGGCATTTCTAATACTGGAGAAAGGTGAACTTTTTTTTTTTTTTTTTTCCGAGACAGAGTCTCGCTGTGTCACCCAGGCTGGAGTGCAATGGCGCAATCTCAGCTTGCTACAACCTCCGCCTCCCGGGTTCAAGCAATTCTCCTGCCTCAGCCTCCTGAGTAGCTGGGCACCTGCCATCATGCCCAGCTAATTTTTGTATTTTTGTAGAGATGGGGGTTTCACCGTGTTGGCCAGGCTGGTCTTAAACTCCTGTCCTGACCTGAGGTGATCCACCCACCTCAGCTTCCCAAAGTGCTGGGATTACAGGCATGAGCCACTGTGCCTGACCAGGTGAACTATTTTATAAATAATATTGGAACATTTGGCTCATCTAGGGAAAAACAAGAGTCCCACCTCACACCTAATCAAAAAGTAAATTCCAGCAGATTAAATACCTGAATATGACAGGAAGGTACACACCAAATTCATGGGACAGATGGCCTGGGGAGGAATGAAACTTGGAAGGCGGTATCACGGTAAACTACCTTTATCTGTGATGATTTTATTTCCTTAAAATAAATTATACTACAAACATGACAGTACATTAACAAACCCTGTGGTAGGAATGGGGTTGTGTATTGTATTATACTTTGTATTTTTGAGAGTTTTTTAATTTCTTTTTTGTTGTTGTTGAGACAGAGTCTCACTCTGTCACCCAGGCTGGAGTCCAGTCGCGCAATCTTGGCTCACTGCAACCTCTGCCTCCCGGGTTCAAGCAGTTCTCTGCCTCAGCCTCCCAAGTAGCTGGGATTACAGGCATCCGCCACCACGTCAGGCTAATTTTTGTATTTTTAGTGGAGACGGGGTTTCACCATCTTGGCCAGACTGGTCTTGAACTCCTGACCTCATGATCCACCCACCTTGGGCTCCCAGAGTGCTGGGATTACAGGCATGAGCCACCGCGCCTGGCCGAGTTTTTTAATTTCTAAAAATAAAAATGAGTATACATCTAAAGTAGTAGAAGAAAATGCAGAGAATGTTTTATAATCTTAAAATAGAGCCTTCCTAAGAGTGAAGTGAAATAAAAAGTCAGAAAATAATATATTGATATAGATTTAACTACATGAAAATTTTAGGCCGGGTGCGATAGCTCACACCTGTAATCCCACACTTTGGGATGCCAAGGTAGGCAGATCACTTGAGCCAGGAGTTCAAGACCAGCCTGAACAACACAGTGAGACCTGGTCTGTACAAAAAATACAAAATTAGCCAGGCGTGGTGGTACGTGGCTGTCGTCCTGTAGTCCCAGTTACTCAGGAGGCTGAGGTGGGAGGATCGCTTGAGCCCAGGTGGGGCAGAGTTTGCAGTGAGCAAGATCATGCCACCGCACTGCAGCCTGGGCAACAGGGTGAGACCTTGTCTCAAAAAGAAAAAAAAAGCTTTTTTAAAGATAGATAGAAGAAAATGTTTGCAATATGTATAACACATACAGTATATAGAACCCTCATATCAATATATATAATTTCCAAAGAAAAAGTGGATAAAGAATATGAGCAATTCATTCACAAAAAATACAAATAGCCAAAAGACATGAAAAAGAAAAAAACATTGTTAATAAAATAATTTTTTAATCTATCCAACTGGCAAAATTAAAAGGGTTGATGATATTCAATTTTGGTAAAGGAAGACATAGGCACACTTGTATATTGGCACAAACTTATTGAGAGCAGTTTGACCAAATTGCGCATGTCCTTTGACTCAGAAATTCCACTTATGAAAATCTACCCCCACAGAAAGACTGTAAGATACTCATGAGGCTGAACATTTTTTGAAACAAAGTCTATCGATATTGGGGTAAGGAGATTTGTTTTGTACACACAGTGGAACACTAATTATAAAGTCGTCAAAAAGTATGAGGTAGACTGTATATATTCCTGTGGAAAAATATAAATGAGATGTTAAATGAAAGAAGCAAGTTGCCAAGCAATATTTGTAGTATGGTTACATATCTCCAAATAAATGTGTCATATGTATGCTTTTAGGTACACCAAGGTGGGACTGGAAGGGATCACAGTACACTGTTAATAGTTATCAAATTTGTTCGTCCTTCTTTAAAAAGAAAATTTCAACTTAATTATATCCCTTTCACATTAAAATGTCAAATAAAATTGGGGGAAAAGCCACCTACAGCCCCACCACCCATAGGCTAGAATTTTTACATATTTTTTGCCAGTCTATTTTTTTTCTTTTTTTTTTTTTTTTTTTGAGATGGGAGTCTCCCTCTGTTGCCCAGGCTGGAGTGCACTGGCATGATCTCAGCTCACTGCAACCTCTGCCTTCCAGGTTCAAGTGATTCTCCTGACTCAGCCTCCCAAGTAGCTGGGATTACAGGCACATGCTACCACGCCTGGCTAATTTTTGTATTTTTAGTAGAGACAGGATTTCACCATGTTGGCCAGGCTGGTCTCGAACTCCTGACCTCAGGTGATCCACCCGCCTCAGCCTCCCAAAGTGCTGGGATTACAGGCCATGAGCCACCACGCCCGGCCTCTTTTTTTCCAACCATAGGATTTGGTCTCTTGTTTTAGACAGTTATTATCTGATCCTCTCTCTCTCTCTCTTTTTTTTTTTTTTTTTTTTTTTTGAGATAGAGTCTCACCCTGTCACCCAGGCTGGAATGCAGAGGCGCGATCTCGGCTCACTGCAACCTCCGCCTCCCAGGTTCAAGCAGTTCTCTGCCTCAACCTCCCAAGTAGCTGGGATTACAGGCGTCAGCCACCACGCCTGGCTAATTTTATATATAATATAAAATATAATTATATATATATTTTGTTTGTTTGTTTTAGTAAAGACGGGTTTTCACCATCTTGGCCAGGCTGGTATTGAACTCCTGACCTTGTGATCCATTGTCCCCCCCCCCCAGCCTCCCAAAGTGCTGGGATTACAGGCGTGAGCCACCGTGCCTGGCCACATCTGATCCTCTCTACAGTTTTGTAGCCAGCTTTTTTCAAACACATGCCTCAGTTGTAGTGGCTGTTTAATATTATGTTTTTATAGTTGGAGGCCCTACTCCTTAAAACCTATGAATGTAAACCTCCCATGCAAGCCTGAGCACTCACCATGCTCACCACCTGAGCTCAGGTGGGGAACAAGCGAATGAGAGACAGGACCAGGTACTTTCTGGGTGGGACAAGTTGAGAGGGTCTGTGACAGGTCACAGCAGCACTAGGGAGAAGTGCCCCCCCCCACCAACCCTGATGTGATTTGGGTAGGGATGGTGGGCCTTCGCCAGCCACACCTGGGCCATTCTGTCTTCTTGCCTTCCTGGCCTTGCCTTCCCCTATTCCAGCTTTCTGCCAGGTAAACAGTACTTTCCAGCACTACCAAATAAAGATTTAAGGACTGCTAGCCCATTTCCTCTTACCCCGGGGAAAGAAAGTAGGTCCACAGGAAGGAAGGCTGCCTCCCTCCCCTTCTTCTATCCCCCAAGTGAAAGAGGTGGTTGGTGGCCACAGCAGGTGGGCCTGGCCAGGATGCCTGGGTTGGCAGTGAAGGAAGTAGCATGGCACTCAGCTAACCTTGGGCCAGATGCAGCAAGGTTGGGACTGAAGAAAAGGGGAGTTCAGGAACGTCGGTTCCTCTCCTGTTTTCTCTCAGCCCATGGGTGAGACCCTCTGTCACACTCCACTCCCTTTCCCCTGCCCTAGGTCAGCAGTCATTTGGAAAGAGCTTGCTCTGCCGCCGGCCATAGTTGTTGCCGGTTCACCTCCCCACCCCTCTCCCATCATCCCCTGGTAAGGCTGGCTGAGAGAAATTCCCCTGAAAACATTTATTTTACTCAGTTTATTGATAAGTGATAATAAAAGATAAGTATTACATATTTGTGTATTTATTAATGGCCCAGAGTAGAGCATTCAGATATTTTCCCAGTCTGATATATGGTTTCAGGTGAGAAAATAAGGGATTTATATAGTGACAATATTTTTAAGTGAAAAGTGGAATACATAGTCAAAGAATTTGGGCACTGCCTTGGTGGCTGGAGGCAGGTCAGAAAATGTCAGTTGGCATGGTAGAACTTCTAGGACGCTGAAATAGTTTGTGGAGACACAAGTAAGAATTTTTTTTTTTTTTTTTTTGAGACGGAGTCTTGCTCTGTCACCTAGGCTGGAGTGCAGTGGCACGATCTCGGCTTACTACAAGCTCCACCTCCCGGGTTCACATCATTCTCCTGCCTCAGCCTGCCGAGTAGCTGGGACTGCAGGCGCCCGCCACCAGGCCTGGCTAATTTTTTGTATTTTTTAGTAGAGATGGGATTTCACCATGTTAGCCAGGATGGTCTTGATCTCCTGACCTCGTGATCCGCCCGCCTCGGACTCCCAAAGTGCTGGGATTACAGGCGTGAGCCACCGCGCCTGGCCGAGAATATTTTAAACTACCACACTTACCATGCATGTGGTAAACTATCAGTCTGTATTTATCAGTGATGGTTATTTCCTAATACCCAGGAGGCATCCATGTGAGCCACCCTTCCATTGCTTTAAGACCAAGGGAGCGAGTGACCAGCAGGATTCAAGATGGCAGCTCTGCCGAGGAGTGGGAGTCCCAGCTAACTTCTGCTCCCTGCTCTCCCACCAACAGCCTACACCGATTTCTTCCTCCCGCTGCTAAGCCGCTGTCCCTCCGCCATGGGAATAAAGAATAAGGATGGGGAGACCCCTGGCCAAATTTTGGGCTGGGGACCCCCCTGGGATTCTGCTGAAGAGGAGGAAGAAGATGATGCCTCCAAGGAGCGGGAATGGAGACAGAAGCTCCAGGGTGAGCTGGAGGACGAGTGGCAGGAAGTCATGGGGAGGTTTGAAGGTGAGAAGTCCACTGCTATCCACAGCTGCCCTTCCCCACTGGCTGCTTTCCATCTGCATGAATGCGTCACACTAGGCTCCTCTGCCCCCTCCTCTGTGCTTCCCTGCTTCTTGGGGCCCATCACCTTCTCACAGCCTCTCTCCAACTACCCCCATCCCACCCTCCCAAACAGGTGATGCCTCCCATGAAACCCAGGAACCTGAGTCCTTCTCAGCCTGGTCAGATCGCCTGGCCCGGGAACATGCCCAGAAGTGCCAGCAGCAGCAGCGAGAAGCAGAGGGATCCCGTCGACCCCCACGTGCTGAGGGCTCCAGCCAGAGCTGGCGACAGCAGGAGGAGGAGCAGCGGCTCTTCAGGGAGCGAGCCCGGGCCAAGGAGGAAGAGCTGCGTGAGAGCCGAGCCAGGAGGGCGCAGGAGGCTCTAGGGGACCGAGAACCCAAGCCAACCAGGGCCGGGCCCAGGGAAGAGCACCCCAGAGGAGCGGGGAGGGGCAGCCTCTGGCGATTTGGTGATGTGCCCTGGCCCTGCCCTGGGGGAGGGGACCCAGAGGCCATGGCTGCAGCCCTGGTGGCCAGGGGCCCCCCTTTGGAGGAACAGGGGGCTCTGAGGAGGTACTTGAGGGTCCAGCAGGTCCGCTGGCACCCTGACCGCTTCCTGCAGCGATTCCGAAGCCAGATTGAGACCTGGGAGCTGGGCCGTGTGATGGGAGCAGTGACAGCCCTTTCTCAGGCCCTGAATCGCCATGCAGAGGCCCTCAAGTGACCCTAGGGAAGAAGCAAGAAACTTCGGGGCTGCAGCCTCAGGATGAGGCAGAAGGAAGGGTAAGGGAAAGGATGGGGACCACAAGGAAGAGCCAGGTGCTGCTCAGCAGAGGATATGGGTGGGAGCGAAAGTTGTAACAAGTGGGGGTGGGGGGTGCGGGCCGCCACCACTGCTCCTTGACTCTGCCGTTTCCTAATAAGACCTGGTTCCACATCTCACTCCCAGTGTCTCCTCTGTCTTTTTCCATTGCTGTGGTTTTCATCACCCATGACATCTCCTTTCCCGCCCCGCCTGCTGAAACCCACAGCTCCCACACACCTGCAACACACACGCACACGCTAACACGGGCTCTGAGCTGGAGGCAAGAAGCCTCTGCATGCCCCCTCAGTTCAGCCCTAAGAAGGCCCAGTTTGCCATCCAGTCTCACTCCACTCCCTACACTGGGGTCTTGTCCACCCTGCAATCTGTGGCTGGAGAAATAGATGCGAACAGAGGCAAAAAGGGGAACAAAACCAGTTTCCCTCCCCTCCCTGGCTCCCCAAGCTGAACCACATCCTCCTCCCCACTTAACACCCCCTTCCCCCAACACAGGGCTTTCCCTTTGCTGAGTCACTGAATGAGCGAGTTGGGGGTAGCCGGCGCTGGGGGGCCATGAGGAGGCTGGGGGAGGATGGGGAATACAAGCAGAATGGCTGGAGGAAGAGCCCTGTGGGGGAGTGGAATTTCAGTTGCTAAAATTAGGAGCAGGGGAAGGAGGTGGAAAGAGCAAAATTATGTAACATGGGTTGTCTGTTCTTGGGCAACTGGAGCTCCACACCCAAAGCCAGCCAGGCTGCTGGCTCCATCCATCTCTGCCCTCTAGCTTGTCAGTTGTATCTCTCTTCCTCCAGGGCCCCAATCCTCATCTCCGCCATTCAGCTGCTGCCCCATCCTAAACCTGAGTTCATCTCTGGGCAGCCCAGGCATGGCCTTCCCTATAAACATTTCCTTTTCCAAGAACCAGTAGTTGAAGTCCTGAGAGGTGGAGGGAGAGTCTGGGATTCCCACGGAGGAGAGAGGGGGGCTCCCTGGAAACTAAGATAGGTAGACCCCACTACCATCGCCCAGGACACAACTGGGAACTTGGCAAAAAGAAAGGACAGGGCTGCAAGGAGAGTACAGACATGTGCTGGTGAGTGCACTGTCTGCATAGTTACACCAGAGCATCTTATCAATCAGAAACTTATCTTTCAGGTTTTGAGCCCAGTTCTCTACAGGAGAATCCCAGGAGTGGAAGTGGAAGGCAGTAGAAGACAGGGAGGGCACGCCTCTGGGAACACGGGAACATGGGTGGGCATGAGATCCTTGAATAAGACAGCCTGAAGTTCGGAAGAGACCAAGGCCTCTGAAGGACCAGGCAGATGTTCAGGGTGCAGGAGGGGGAAGGGCTGGTGAGAAAGATCCTGTGAGAGGAAGCTGCTGTGATTCAGAGAAGAGACTTCAAGCTGTGTGTGACCCTGGCGTCCGGTTCCTCTCACAGGCTGGAGCTTTTCGGAAGTGGCATGCAAAGAGTCCAGGTTTGGCCTTGGGGGGAGTTGGGGTTAGGATCCCTAAGCTGGAGGTTGAGAAGTAAATTACAGAAAACTCTGGTGACCAAATTTGCTCCTCCACCCAGGAGATTTCTCACTGGTTTTTAAGCACATCATTTCCCCTTCTGCAAGAGTTACATAAAACCAAAGCAAAATAAGCCCTGAAACCTGGGCCCACCGGACCACAGTCTTTTCAACGTCCCTTCCTGGTGTCTGGCCCCCAGCCCTGGTGGGGGTTCCCCTGAGATAAGGGCTGTTCACTTTCTCTGACCACATGGTTTCCGCTTCTGTGTCTCTTGTTTCCTAGGCTGATAAAAATACTGAGCCCTAGAGGCCCTGGCTTCCTCTGACCCCTTGGGGCAGGCAGCAGGCATCCTGTCCAGCATGGTGGGGGCAGGGACAGGGGCCAGGGATTCCCAAGGGGTGACTCAGTGCCTGCCATGAAACAGTGGGTAGGTGGAAGTGTATCTCTGCTCTCTAGAGCTGGCACCAGGAGTTGAGTCTCAGTGGAGGATGCATTGGGATTCAATTGGAGGAACAGGCCTGGAAAAGAATAATGAGATTGAAGAGGGTCAGTTTGAGGACTCAGGTTGGGGCAGGTTTGGATTAAGTTAGGAAAAGGATCTGGGAGGGACTCTGTTCAGTGTAGGTCAACTGAGCATTATGTAGCCCAAAGATAAATTTAAACCCTGCTTCAAGCTTACAATCTAGTGGGGAGGCAGACCCATACCTAGTTAACTGATTCAAGGCATGATGAGTAAACTTTAAGATGATTACAGAAAGAGGGGAGATTAAGTCCATTTGAAAGCATCCAGGGAGCCTCTGAGGAGACAGCATTTGAACTTGCTCTAATGAATGGGTTCACTAGGTGGAGGTGGATGGAAAGGTTCCATAGGCGAATAACACGTCTTGAGCGAGCCTGACAAGTCAGAAAATGCAGTATGTTCTGGGAAAGGAGCGTCCTGAGGGAGAAGAAGCACAGGTGTGAGGGAACATGTGATGAAGAAAGGACCACAGAAAGTCAAGGTCAGAGATTGGACTGCATCCTGTGGGCAGTGGTCCAGGTGACGATGAAAAAGAGGGAGAACAGGTGAGTGCTGCAGTACAGACAAGGAGTAAGAAAACGGCCATCATCTTGTGAATTAATACCTACTGTGTGTTAACCAGCCCTTTTCCTAACACCACAAATCCTCTCAACGTCTGTCCAAAAGGTGGGTGGTGGTGGCCAGGCACCTCACTCCTGTAATCACAGCACTTTGGGAGGCCAAGGTGGGAGCACTTTGGGAGGATCACTTGAGGCCAGGAGTTCGAGACCAGCCTGGCCAACATGGTGAAACCCCGTCTCTACTAAAAATATAAAAACTAGCTGGGTGTGGTCTTGGGCACCTGTAATCCCAGCTACTCAGGTGTCTGAGGCACAAGAATCACTTGAACCCGGGAGGCAGAGGTTGCAGTGAGCTGAGATCATGCCTCTGCTCTCCAGTCTGGGTGACAGAGCAAGACTCTGTATCCAAAAAAAAAAAAAATTATTAAGCACCTATTAGGAGCAGGGCACTGCTTGACAATAGGTATAAATAATAAAGTCACTGCCTTCATAGAACTTGCAGTCTAATGAGACAGTATACAAATAATAACTATACATTATAGTTATAATGTATAGGTATGCCTGCTTAGGGTAATAAAGTGCTCAATGAAGGTTTGAGGTACCAGCATGACTCTCAGGTGGAGATTTCCAGAAAGCAGGTCTGGAGCTCAAGAGAAGTTGGGTCTGGAGGAACAGATTTGGGCATCATTCCCTTCCCAGTAGAGGTTGAGCCTTTGAGTGGACAGGATCTTCAAGGGAGGGGGCGGAGTGACCAGAAGAGCCCTGAGCATGATCAAAGGAAGAGAACCAATAAAGGAGAGGTTGGGGAGCAGTCAGAGAAGCAGGGCACGGGGGGCGGGGGATGCCAAGCAGAGACAGGGCAGCCATGTTTGAGGCTTCAAAGAGGTCTAGTAAATGAGGGTTGAAAAGATTGTTGGGTTCAGGAACTAGACGATTACAAATTTTGAGAAAACCGTTTCCATTTAATAGAGGGGCAGAAATCACTTTACATAGGTTGAGGAATGAGTGGGAGGTGAGGAAAAGGAGGTGGTGGGCATGAGGTCAGAATGGTGAACACAGAATAACTGAGAATCATCTCTTAGTTCTACCCACAGATTTTACAGTTGAGGGAAATTTTACCAGTTCCTGAAAAAGTGGTTCGTTAAGGGGGCTAGTCTTTTGAGACATCACACGAAAACGGAAGGTGAGATAGACTGGACATTTGAGGGAGAAATATTCCAAGGAAGGATCTTTTTTGTTGTTTATTTTCAAGAAATAAAATTGAAGGTAAAATGAAGATGCTTAAAGAGACAAAGATAGGCCAGGTGCAGTGGCTCACACCTGTAATCCCAGCACTGTGGGAGGCCAAGGTGGGCAGATCACTTGAGGCCAGGGGTTCAAGACTAGTATGGCCAACATGGCAAAACCGCATCTCTACGAAAGATACAAAAATTAGCCAGGCGTGGTGGCACATGCCTGTGGTCCCAGCTATTCACTGAGGTGGGAGAATCGCTTGAACTCAGGAGGCAGAGGGTGCAGTGAGCCGAGATCACACCACTGCACTCCAGCCTGGGTGACAGAGCGAGACTCAGTCTCAAAAAAAAAAAAAAAAAAAGCCCAGGTGCGGTGGCTCACCCTTGTAATCCCAGCGCTTTGGGAGGCTGAGGTGGGCAGACTATAGATATCAGGAGTTCAAAACCAACCTAGCCAACATAGTGAAATGCTGTCTTTACTAAAAATACAAAAATTAGCTGGGCGTGGTGGCACACGCCTGTAACCCCAGCTACTCAGGAGGCTGAGGCAGGAGAATCACTTGAACCCGAGAGGTAGAGGTTGCAGTGAGCCGAGATCGCGCCACTGCACTCCAGCCTGGGCAACAGAGCAAGCCTATCCCAAAAACAAACAAGAAAGGGAGAGATAGTGAAAACATAAGCAAGAAGTGGGGAGAGAATATAGTAAAGATAGAGGAAGTGGGATAGAGTACAGATAAAAGGATCAGTCTTGGAAACAAGAAAAAGTACTGTGAGTCAGTATGTAAGGAAAGATTAAATATAACAAAATTAAGGAAAAAGAGGGAAGTGAGATCCACACTTGATGGCCTTAAGCTCAATGAAATATTAATAGATGAGAGTGAAGAACATCAGAGGCACGGAGATTTAGAACATCACGCACAGTAGTATAATGGGGAGTCAACAAAGAATGAGTAAAAGTTGTGTCCAAGAACACTGATGACTCTCTGAGATTAGCTGGCCAGGATTAGTTATAGGCCTCTTATGGTGACTCAGCTGTCTACTGCAGCGCTTGGCAGCCTAAGACAAAGCCCCAAGAATGAGACCACTTAGTTTACCCAAGTCAATTTTTGAGACAGAGTTTCACTCTTGTTGCCCAGGCTGGAGTGCAATGGCTCAATCTTGGTTCCCTGCAACCTCTGCCTCCCGGGTTCAAGCGATTCTCCTCCCTCAGCCTCCAGAGTAGCTGGGATTACAGTTGCCCACCATCACGCCCAGCTAATTTTTGTATTTTTAGTAGAGATGGGGCTTCACCACATTGGCCGGGCTGGTCTCGAACTCCTGACCTCAGGTGATCCGCCCACCTTGGCCTCCCAAAGTGCTGGGATTACAGGTGTGAGCTACGGTGCCCGGCGGTAAGAGATTCTAAAATGCAGACAAAGTGGAGTTGAAATTGTTGACCATGCAGTACATGTTAAATCAACAAGCAAAACCAGGAAAGCAGAAGCAGCCGGAAGTCTTGGTAAGAATAAAGAACTGATTCAAGGGGAGGCAGAGAGTGGGAGATGTGAAAAGTGAGTGGTTGTGATGAGAAGGGTAATTCAGAGATCAAGATCTTGAAGGCATAATTCTTCCAAGTGATGCTGGGGTTTGAGGTACAACCTTACTCCTGGGTGGCTAAAATGGAGGAGGGAAGAAGAGGCTGTAAAACCAGTAGACTTGAGAAACTTGGAGAATTGAGAGGCCAGACTGTAAGACTCATCTGATCTGTGTGGCTTCTTTTTTTATTTTTATTTTTTTCCTCTGAGACGAAGTCTCGCTCTGTCACCCAGGCTGGAGTGCAGTGGTGTGATCTGGGCTCACTGCAAGATCCGCCTCCCGGGTTAATGCCATTCTCTCGCCTCAGCCTTCCGAGTAGCTGGGGCTACAGGCACCCACCACCACGCCCAGCTAATTTTGTTTTTGTATTTTTAGTAGAGACGGGGTTTCACCTTGTTAGCCAGGATGGTCTCGATCTCCTGACCTCGTGATCCACCCGCCTCAGCCTCCCAAAGTGCTGGGATTACAAGTGTGAGCCACTGCGCCCAGCCGATCTTTGTGGCTTTTAAAGTCACTAAAGATGGTGGTAGGAGGCCGGGTGCGGTGGGTCATGCCTGTAATCCCAGCACTTTGGGAGGCTGAGGCGGGTGGATTGCTTGAGCTCAGGAGTTCAAGACCAGCCTAGGCAACATAGCAAAACCCTATCTCTGGAAAAAAAAAAAAAATACAAAACTTAGCCGGGCACGGTGGTATGCGCCTGTAGTCCTAGCTACTCAGGAGGCTGACGTGGGAGGATCACTTGAGCCCAGGAGGTCGAGGCTGCAGTGAGCCAAGATCACGCCACTGCACTCCAGCCTGGGTGACAGAGCAATACCTTGTCTCAAAAAACAAACAAACAAGGATGATGGTAGGGATAAGATGTGGAGAAAGACTGAGCTAGTTATACAAGTTGTTAAGAGCATAATAAATATTTTGATGGATAAGATTGTGCTGTGAAGACAGGAAAAGCATGGCAAATGCAAAAGGCACGTGCTTTGGGAGATGAGGAGGAGTTTATCAGTGGTCTGGGGGAGAGAAAATAACGACCCCTCTCTTCTGCCTTCATTCCCCTAGTGATGGAGGTCGAAGAAAGAGCAACCTTCACCACAGAGAGGAGTAGCATCATTAGGGGAAAGCCAGGTTTCAAAATGCCCAGAGGAAAATGCTTTCAAACATAGAAGACAGGATTTGAAAATGTGAAGAGTTCCACCAAATATTGTGAAATGGATTGGTAGAAGGGTCCTTGTGGGGTAGGGAATTGAATCCAGGGAGGTTAAATCCCAGTGGGAATTCAGAAGACTAAGTCTGGAGAGTTTAGCTTCTAGGAGCAGGAGGTTGTTGCCTCTGGAATTCAGAATGGAAGATGCACTGCATCCATTGTGAGGGGAAACAAGTGCCTCAAAGGGGTCTTATAGGGATGCACAAGATAAGTTCCATGGCTTTAAACACCATCCTCATGCTGACCATGCCCAGGTTTCTTTCTCTAGCTTGGACCTTGCCCCTGAAATCCAGATGTGTATCTGCCCAGTGGCATCTCTACTTGCATGTCTAATAGACTTAGACTTACCACACCCAAAATAGAATTTTTTAGTTTTTCCATCCATCAGAATCCTGCTTCTCTCCCAGTATCTACATCTCCCACCCATCAATCCATCATCTAGTCCTGTTGTTTCTACCCCTGGAATGTATAATATATCCCAAACTTGTCTACTTCTCTCCATCTCCATGGCTGCCACTATTTTCTCTTCACCATCAATGCCACTGCCACCTGTCTCCTACCAGCCAGCCTAAACACAGGAGCCACAGTGATCTTTTAAAAACAAGTCCAGGCTGGGCGCGTTGGCTATGCCTATAATCCCAGCACTTTGGGAGGCCGAGGTGGGTGGATCACGAGGTCAGGAGTTCAAGACCAGCCTGCCCAACATGATGAAACCCTATCTCTACTAAAAATACCAAAATTAGCCAGGCACGGTGGCGCATGCCTGTAATCCCAGCTACTCGGGGGGCCGAGGCAAGAGAATCACTTGAACCTGGGAGGTGGAAGTTGCAGTGAGCCAAGATCATGCCGTAGCACTCCAACCTGGGCAACAGAGCGAGACGCCATCTCAAAAAAAAAAAAAAGTCCAGGCAAGGCTCAGTGGCTCATGCCTGTAATCCCAACACTTTGCGAGGCTAAGGTGCAAGGATTGCCTGAGGCCAAGAGTTGAAGGCTGCAGTGAGCTATGATGGTGCCATTGCACTCCAACCTGGGCAGAAAAGTGAGACTCCATCTCTTAGAAAAAAAAAACCAGGCCGGGTGCAGTGGCACATGTCTGTAATTCCAGCACTTCGGGAGGCTGAGGCAGGCGGATCACTTGAAGTCAGGAGTTCAAGACCAGCCTGGCCAACATGGTGTACTTTCTATACTAAAAGTACAAAAATTAGCCAGGCATGGTGACATGCACCTATAATCCCAGCTACTTGGGAGACTGACATAGGTGGATTGCTTAAACCTGGGAGGCAGAGGTTGCAGTGAGCCGAGATTGTGCCACTGCACTCCAGCCTGGGTGACAGAGCGATTCTGTCTTAAAAGAAAAAAAAAAAAAAAAAAGGCTGGGTGCGGTGTCTCACGCCTGTAATCCCAGCACTTTGGGAGGCCGACGCAAGTGGATCACCTGAGGTCAGGAGTTCGAGACCAGCCTGGCCAAGATGGTGTACTTTCTCTACTAAAAGTACAAAAATTAGCCAGGCATGGTGGCATGCACCTATAATCCCAGCTACTCAGGAGGCTAAGACAGGAGAATCGTTTGAACCCGGGCAGCAGAGGTTGCAGTGAGCTGAGATTACGCCATTGCACTCCAGCCTGGGCAACAGAGTGAGACTCCGTCTCCAAAAAAAAGAAAGAAAAAAAATCCAGGGCCAGTGTGGTGACTCATGCCTGTAATCCCAAAACTTTGGGAGGCTGGCCCAGCATGGTGGCTCACACCTGTAATCCCAAAACTTTGGGAGGCTGAGGCAGGCGGATCACCTGAGGTCAGGAGTTTGAGATCAGCCTGACTAACATGGTGAAACCCCATCTCTACTAAATACAAAAAATTAGCCGGGAATGGTGGCATGCACCTGTAATCCCAGCTACTTGGGAGGCTGAAGCAGGAGAATCGCTTGAACCCAGGAGGCAGAGGTTGCAGTGAGATGAGATCAGTCATTGCACTCCAGCCTGGGCAACGAGCGAAACCGCCTCTCAAACAAACAAAAAAAAACTTTGGGAGGCCAAGATGGGCAGATCACTTGAAACCAGGAGTTCGAGACCAGCCTGAGCAGCATAGACCCTGTCTCAACAAAAATTTTAAAATATTTTTTAAAATTAGCCAGGCACAGTGGCACACACCTGTAGTCCTAGATACTTGGGAAGCTGAGGTGGAAGGATGACTTGAGCCCATGGTTTTGAGGTTGCAGTGGGCTATGATGGTGCCACTGCACTCCAGCCTAGGCCACAGAGCAAGACACCATGTCAAAAGAAAAAAAAATCCAATCACCTCTGCTCACCTCCCTCTTTCTCTCTCTCTCTCTCTCTCCCTCCCCCTCTCTCCCCTGCAACACACACACACACACACACACACACACACACGCACGCATGCACGCACCACACACTCTGACGACCTTTAAAGGCTTCCTGTGGCTGGATGAAATCTAGAGGCTTTACCCTTCTTGCATGGCCCTGCATGACCTGGCCCCTGCCCTCCTCTCTGACCTCATCTCCCACCCGCCTCCCAGTCTCTCTCTCTGCTCCAGCCACACTGGCCTTCTGTTTGTCGTCAACACCCCCAGCTTGGTTCCGCCTTCCAGCCTTTGCAGTAGCTGCTCCCTTTACCTGAAATGCTTTGCTCCCAAACTTTTACCTGGTCACTATTTTTTGTCATTTGGGTCTCAGCTCCAGTGCCACCCAAACACTCAAAGAGGATTTTGCTGACTACTGTATTTAAAAGTAGCTCCCTGCCACTCTTACAACATCAGCCTGTCTTATTTTCTCATAGTACCAATTTCTTCTTCAGTTTCTTTCTTTTCCGTCTGGCCTCACTGGAATACAAGCTCCACAGGTGCTGGTACCTTCTCTGATCCCTTTGCCTCCATGTCCCTCCTGCCTTAGGACAATGCCCAGCATGTGTTAGGCACGCAGATACTCACTAAATGGAGGAATGGATGAATAATTCATAAAGCAGGATAAAGTTCAACTTTAGGCTTGTGGCTCAGATTGGACTTACATTTAGAGTCAGATTTAAGTTTAGTGTTAGGAGTGGTGGTAAACTGGTTTCAAGATTAGCCCTAGAAACAGGGTTGGGTTGGGGTAGAGGAGAAGTTTTATTTAGGGGGTTATTAATTGGGATGTGTTTAGATTTAAGGTTAGGGTTACAGTTGGGGTTGAGTTTGAGTTGTGATTTGGGTTGAGGTTAAATTTGGGTTAGGGTTGATGTTGGTATTAAATCCCAATTCAGGTTTTGAGGCTAAGTTCAAGTTTGAAGCTAATGTCATTTCAGTCTCATTTGGAGGCTTCAGAGATTTCACTAGTTTCTCCACAAAGACCACTATAAAGACTGTATTTCCCTGAGTCTGGGGCACAAGACTCCAGTCATCAGCTCTCCCACCCAGGGAAAGTCCCAAACCAACTGCTGGCCTGCCCAAGAAAGAAACCAAATTCATACAACCTCCGAAACTGAGATTGAAACCAAGATTGGCCCATCTCAAGGAGCATCCTTCGCATATCTCACATGCACGTGACACTGAGCCTCAGCCCAGTCTTACCCTTCCTTCCTCTGTGTCTCTCATGTCTCCCCATCACCCTTCTTGCCTTCCCTTTTTTGTCTTTCAATGTCCCATTCTTCCTCTTTAATTTAAATTTCTCTCTGTGTCTCACTGTTAATTGCAATACCTTTTTTTGTTTGCTTGTTTTGTTTTGTTTTGTTTTTTGGTTTGTTTGTTTGAAATGGAGTCTCACTTTGTTGCCCAGGCTGGAGGGCAGTGGCACGATCTCGGCTCACTGCAACCTCCGCCTCCTGGGTTCAAGCAGTTCTCCTGCCTCAGCTTCCCTAGTAGCTAGGATTACAGGCGCGTGCCACCATGCTCGGCTAATTTTTTGTATTTTTAGCAGTGATGGAGTTTCACCGTATTAGCCAGGATTGTCTCTATCTCCTGACCTTGTGATCTGCTCGCCTCAGCCTCCCAAAGTGCTGGGATGACAGGCATGTGCCACTGCTCCTGGCCTTGTAATAACATTTTATATTTTAATATAGCTCAGCTGGGGTCCCAGTCCATCAGCTCATACCATTAGAGAAGCAGAAAGAGACAACAGGAAGCAAAAAGGACCCTGAGAGAAAGGGCAACACAGAGAAAAAGAAAGGAGCAGGGGCTAAAAGGGAAACCCACACTGACACAAGAGATAATAAGGTTAAAAGAATGAGAAGAAGGTTGGGCGCAGTGGCTCACGCCCATAATCCCAGCACTTTGGGAGGCCAAGGCTGGTGGGTCACCTGTGGTCAGGAATTCAAGACCAACCTGGCCAACATGGTGAGACCCCGTCTCTACTAAAAATACAAAAAAAAATTTGGCGGGCTTGGTGGCGTGTGCCTGTAATCCCAGCTACTCGGGAGGCTGAGGCAGGAGAATAGCTTGAACCTGGGAGGCAGAGGTTGCAGTGAGCCAAGATCGTGCCACTGCACTCCAGCCTGTGCGACAGTGAGAAACTGTCTCAAAAAAAAAAAAAAAGGAAAAGAAATTTTCTGACCTATCTCATCTGATAGTAGGTTATAAGACCCTCATTCCAGAAGAGGTTCTGCCCTATACCTGGGAGGAAGGAATGCTGTACAGAGAGACCAAGAAGAATATGGCCAGGCCTTGCTGGGATCCCCCCAGTCCCAGTCTGTGACCATTAGATGATACTCCTTTTGTTCAATTACATTTCTGCACAGCTGTTCATTCTTCATCAAATCTAAGCATAAAAATAGTTTTCCCCTGGGTCCTTGGGTCTTCATTTCTGAAGGCTCCCATGTCACCTAAAACTTTGATTAAATAAATGTATTATGCTTTTCTCTTGTTAATCTGTCTTTTATTATAGGAGTATTGGCCATAACCCTTATGATGGGTCAGGAAGGGATCACCCCTTTCTGCCCCTACAGAAATAATAGCTAAGACTAGTAAAGCATAAAAGGCAAAGGGGCAGGTCCTCAAGTAGAGAAGAACAGGAGAAATAGCTCATACACACCCAGAATGTTACTTACATGTCCCTCCATGTTACACCAAGACCCCTCAGGGACCTTGTGCCTGGGGAGAGAAGTGGTCTGCCCCATGCAACAGTGGGCTTTACCCCGGGTCACCACCAGCCCCAGCTCCAACCCCTCTAACACTCTCCAAGTAAAATCACATCAGTAGCAGTAATAATATTTGAGGTGACAAGTTGGTATTATCTCAAACTTAGGAAAAGTGAATAAAGTCATCTTTAGAAACTGCTTTTTTTAAACCTTGTAACTTGCAAGCTAAGTGAAAATGGGCTCATGTATGAGAATGTTCGTGTTAGACATTTTTTGTGTTAGACAAAAACTAGAAACAAACCAAATCCCCATCAACAGAATATATTAGAATATATTGATACAATAGAATATTACATCATAATTTTTTTTAAAAACATTACTGATACATACAACCACGTATATGAATCTCACAAACATAATGCTGACTGAAAGAAGTCAAACAGAAATGAGTACATTCTGTGTGATTTCATTTATATGATGCCCCAAACCAGGAGGAAATAATCTATGGTGATAAAAGTGAGAGAGTGGTTGGTTATCTTTGGAGGGTATCAGCAGGGAGGGGGCATGAGGGAACCTGCTGGGGACCTGAAAATACGTGGAGCTGGGTGGTGGCTACATACAGATGGAAAAATTCATCAGCTGTACACTTAAGAGGTGTCCACCTCATACCTAAGTTACATATCAATAAAAAGGAAAAAAATTTTGGAAACTTTTTTTTTTTTTTTTTGAGACAGAGTCTTGCTCTGTCCCCCAGGCTGGAATACAGTGGTGCGATCTTGACTCACTGCAGCCTCCGCCTCCCAGGTTCAAATAATTCTCCAGCCTCAGCCTCCCGAGTAGCTGGGACTGCAGATGCGCACCAGCACGCCTGGCTAATTTTTGTATTTATTATAGAGATGGGGTTTCACCATGTTGGCCAGCTGGTCTCAAACTCCTGACCTCAAGTAATCCGCCCACCTCAGACTCCCAAAGTGCCAGGATTACAGGTGTGAGCCACTGCACCAGGCCTGGAACAATTTTAAAATAATGTATTGGCTCTGCAAATGCAGCTTCAGAACAAGTCCCTTAGCTGTCCCCACCCCACCCTAAGTCACCACCCTTAAGCCTCACCCATGTGGAATTCTGAAACTTCCTTTGTAGAAAACTTTGGAAGGTGTCTGCCACATTGATCCTGGAATGTGTGTTTATTTGGGGTTATATAAATCTGTTCTGTGGAAGCCACCTGAAGTCAGGAAGAGATGGAGGGCATCCTTCAGGAGTGAGATGAGACCTCATCATACTTGACTGTCCAGCATCATCTCTGAGTAAGGGGACCAAAAAATTTATCTTCCAAACTAGGACACTTTCAAGAGTGGAAGGGGGATCCATTAATATTTTCACCTGGACAAGAGGCAAACACCAGAATGTCCCCGATGAAGGGGATATATAATGGACCTTCTTGATGTGAAACCTGCCAGATGGGCTGGAAAGTCCGTATACTGGGACAAGTATGATTTGAGTTGTTTGGGACAAGGACAGGGGTACAAGAGAAGGAAATGGGCAAAGAGAGAAGCCTGTACTCAGCCAAGGGTGCAGAGATGTTATATATGATTGCTCTTCAGGGAACCGGGCCTCCAGCTCACACCCCAGCTGCTCAACCACCTCCTCTCTGAATTGACTGTCCCTTCTTTGGAACTCTAGGCCTGACCCCACTCCCTGGCCCTCCCAGCCCACGATTCCCCTGACCCGACTCCCTTTCCCAGAACTCAGTCGCCTGAACCCCCAGCCTGTGGTTCTCTCCTAGGCCTCAGCCTTTCCTGCCTTTGACTGAAACAGCAGTATCTTCTAAGCCCTGGGGGCTTCCCCGGGCCCCAGCCCCGACCTAGAACCCGCCCGCTGCCTGCCACGCTGCCACTGCCGCTTCCTCTATAAAGGGACCTGAGCGTCCGGGCCCAGGGGCTCCGCACAGCAGGTGAGGCTCTCCTGCCCCATCTCCTTGGGCTGCCCGTGCTTCGTGCTTTGGACTACCGCCCAGCAGTGTCCTGCCCTCTGCCTGGGCCTCGGTCCCTCCTGCACCTGCTGCCTGGATCCCCGGCCTGCCTGGGCCTGGGCCTTGGTGGGTTTGGTTTTGGTTTCCTTCTCTGTCTCTGACTCTCCATCTGTCAGTCTCATTGTCTCTGTCACACATTCTCTGTTTCTGCCATGATTCCTCTCTGTTCCCTTCCTGTCTCTCTCTGTCTCCCTCTGCTCACCTTGGGGTTTCTCTGACTGCATCTTGTCCCCTTCTCTGTCGATCTCTCTCTCGGGGGTCGGGGGGTGCTCTCTCCCAGGGCGGGAGGTCTGTCTTCCGCCGCGTGCCCCGCCCCGCTCACTGTCTCTCTCTCTCTCTCTCTTTCTCTGCAGGTTCTCCCCATGACACCACCTGAACGTCTCTTCCTCCCAAGGGTGTGTGGCACCACCCTACACCTCCTCCTTCTGGGGCTGCTGCTGGTTCTGCTGCCTGGGGCCCAGGTGAGGCAGCAGGAGAATGGGGGCTGCTGGGGTGGCTCAGCCAAACCTTGAGCCCTAGAGCCCCCCTCAACTCTGTTCTCCCCTAGGGGCTCCCTGGTGTTGGCCTCACACCTTCAGCTGCCCAGACTGCCCGTCAGCACCCCAAGATGCATCTTGCCCACAGCACCCTCAAACCTGCTGCTCACCTCATTGGTAAACATCCACCTGACCTCCCAGACATGTCCCCACCAGCTCTCCTCCTACCCCTGCCTCAGGAACCCAAGCATCCACCCCTCTCCCCCAACTTCCCCCACGCTAAAAAAAACAGAGGGAGCCCACTCCTATGCCTCCCCCTGCCATCCCCCAGGAACTCAGTTGTTCAGTGCCCACTTCCTCAGGGATTGAGACCTCTGATCCAGACCCCTGATCTCCCACCCCCATCCCCTATGGCTCTTCCTAGGAGACCCCAGCAAGCAGAACTCACTGCTCTGGAGAGCAAACACGGACCGTGCCTTCCTCCAGGATGGTTTCTCCTTGAGCAACAATTCTCTCCTGGTCCCCACCAGTGGCATCTACTTCGTCTACTCCCAGGTGGTCTTCTCTGGGAAAGCCTACTCTCCCAAGGCCACCTCCTCCCCACTCTACCTGGCCCATGAGGTCCAGCTCTTCTCCTCCCAGTACCCCTTCCATGTGCCTCTCCTCAGCTCCCAGAAGATGGTGTATCCAGGGCTGCAGGAACCCTGGCTGCACTCGATGTACCACGGGGCTGCGTTCCAGCTCACCCAGGGAGACCAGCTATCCACCCACACAGATGGCATCCCCCACCTAGTCCTCAGCCCTAGTACTGTCTTCTTTGGAGCCTTCGCTCTGTAGAACTTGGAAAAATCCAGAAAGAAAAAATAATTGATTTCAAGACCTTCTCCCCATTCTGCCTCCATTCTGACCATTTCAGGGGTCGTCACCACCTCTCCTTTGGCCATTCCAACAGCTCAAGTCTTCCCTGATCAAGTCACCGGAGCTTTCAAAGAAGGAATTCTAGGCATCCCAGGGGACCACACCTCCCTGAACCATCCCTGATGTCTGTCTGGCTGAGGATTTCAAGCCTGCCTAGGAATTCCCAGCCCAAAGCTGTTGGTCTGTCCCACCAGCTAGGTGGGGCCTAGATCCACACACAGAGGAAGAGCAGGCACATGGAGGAGCTTGGGGGATGACTAGAGGCAGGGAGGGGACTATTTATGAAGGCAAAAAAATTAAATTATTTATTTATGGAGGATGGAGAGAGGGGAATAATAGAAGAACATCCAAGGAGAAACAGAGACAGGCCCAAGAGATGAAGAGTGAGAGGGCATGCGCACAAGGCTGACCAAGAGAGAAAGAAGTAGGCATGAGGGATCACAGGGCCCCAGAAGGCAGGGAAAGGCTCTGAAAGCCAGCTGCCGACCAGAGCCCCACACGGAGGCATCTGCACCCTCGATGAAGCCCAATAAACCTCTTTTCTCTGAAATGCTGTCTGCTTGTGTGTGTGTGTCTGGGAGTGAGAACTTCCCAGTCTATCTAAGGAATGGAGGGAGGGACAGAGGGCTCAAAGGGAGCAAGAGCTGTGGGGAGAACAAAAGGATAAGGGCTCAGAGAGCTTCAGGGATATGTGATGGACTCACCAGGTGAGGCCGCCAGACTGCTGCAGGGGAAGCAAAGGAGAAGCTGAGAAGATGAAGGAAAAGTCAGGGTCTGGAGGGGCGGGGGTCAGGGAGCTCCTGGGAGATATGGCCACATGTAGCGGCTCTGAGGAATGGGTTACAGGAGACCTCTGGGGAGATGTGACCACAGCAATGGGTAGGAGAATGTCCAGGGCTATGGAAGTCGAGTATGGGGACCCCCCCTTAACGAAGACAGGGCCATGTAGAGGGCCCCAGGGAGTGAAAGAGCCTCCAGGACCTCCAGGTATGGAATACAGGGGACGTTTAAGAAGATATGGCCACACACTGGGGCCCTGAGAAGTGAGAGCTTCATGAAAAAAATCAGGGACCCCAGAGTTCCTTGGAAGCCAAGACTGAAACCAGCATTATGAGTCTCCGGGTCAGAATGAAAGAAGAAGGCCTGCCCCAGTGGGGTCTGTGAATTCCCGGGGGTGATTTCACTCCCCGGGGCTGTCCCAGGCTTGTCCCTGCTACCCCCACCCAGCCTTTCCTGAGGCCTCAAGCCTGCCACCAAGCCCCCAGCTCCTTCTCCCCGCAGGGACCCAAACACAGGCCTCAGGACTCAACACAGCTTTTCCCTCCAACCCCGTTTTCTCTCCCTCAAGGACTCAGCTTTCTGAAGCCCCTCCCAGTT